>NC_000018.10:14210699-14510749 GCF_000001405.40 Homo sapiens
CAAAAATCAGACAGCAACTACAGACTTTGGACACGTGAACCTCATAGTTAAAGAAAGGATTAATTTTGGAGCTGTGTTTCTATCAGGGAATTATACTCTTCATTACCTGCGTGAATCGCAGTTATTAGAGTAGAGAGAGAGCAAAGAAGGGAAAGAAGCATAGAAAATTTTATTCTAGATTACCTCGGTTGGCTTCATGCTACCATAGTTCTGACTTTTAAAAAGTCATTTTGTGGTCCAATGTACTTTGTGTTTACTCCCCTTATGCAGCCTACCACCAAACAGAATGCTTCTTAGCAAGGCATTTGTATTCTTCCCTTAAGGAAAGCAACATATAAATAACAAAGAGAATGAGGAGAAAGAGTAATTTCATTGAGGTTGTTATTTAACATAAATTTGAGTGTGGGTACCATGATTATATTTAGAATTTTGGGACTGGATGGGAAAACCAGCTACACATCTACAGATTCCCTACTCAAACACAATGTGCCTTTGTTTTATTTTTACATCTCTAATTTTGCAAGTATTCAGTACAACTGTATGCAGTGTCACTAAAAATACCTTCCAAAACCAAATATTAAATAATGCCTATGGCTTTCTGTTTTATAGTGTTGATTTACCCAATACTAATGGGAACCATTGAGCATTTGCCTTGTGGTGTCTCCTCAGCTGTATTCACACATTCCATCACCTTGTCTTAATGGATAATCATGCACTGTGAGTACGGGTTTTCAGAAGAGCTGTGTCATTTAAAGATAACACAGGAGCATCAAATTTAATTCTGCTAGAACACCTGGTCTACTGATTAACTGCAGCTAATATGGGGTCTACTTCACATACAAGTTAAATGCAGTGCCCTTAATCAGTGATATGATGAGGTCAACAGTAATAAATTATGCAATATTTTTCCCCCACCCCTACAGTTTTAATTTCTTTTTCCCCTTATGTCTAGAATTAGCATTTTGTTTTATAAAACATGATGATAATCTTCTAGAGTAGTGATGACAAGCTAGAAATCCAAAGTTTCTTACCTATGCAAATGTCTTGTTTGCTTCTATTTTCTCATGAGCTTGGTAGATCCAGGAAACATAACTTTTAAAACAAAATTCCCATATGTGGCTGGGCGCGGTGGCTCATGCCTGTAATCCCAGCACTTTGGGAGGCTGAGGTGGGTGGATAACCTGAGATTGGGAGTTTGAGACCAGCCTGACCAACATGGAAAAACCCATCTCTACTAAAAACACAAAATTAACTGTTCATGGTGGCAAATACCTGTAATTCCAGCTACTTGGGAGGCTGAGGCAGGAGAATCGCTTGAACCTGGGAAGCAGAGGTTGTGGTGAGCTGAGATCATACCACTGTACTTCAGCCTGGGCAGGAAGAGTGAAATTCCATCTCAAAAAACAACAACAATGACAACAACAACAACCACCACAAAACCCAAATGCATTTCCTTGGCACAGTAAAACTGAAACAGAAAAAGTGTAAAGTAAATACAAGTAACTGAGACAGTTTATTTATATTATCTTACTTCTCATTTGATAAAATTTGTAAAGTAATGAGCAGAGTGTATTTCTCCAGGGACCTGGATATATACATTTATTCATTCAATAAAAATTCATTCTTATAATGGCCACTGATACTTGTATCCTAAACATTTCTGAAAACATCTCCTCAGGCCTGCATCATCTTTGCAACATTGCCATATTTTATCTTTGTTCATTTATTTATATGTCTCAGAATTTTATGCTCCTCACAGTATTTAGAGTTAATTATCTCTAATGTAAATAGATCCATGAACCACTCCTGAATACCTAATGTCCAAACATCTTAAAGCTTTATATAAGGATTTCAGAAACTGACTTCTGGGTTGGGCACGGTGGCTCATGTCTGTGATCCCAGCACTTTGTGAGGCTGAGGCAGATGGATCATTTGAGGTCGGGAGTTCAAGACCAGCCTGGCCAACAAGGTGAAACCCCATCTCTAATAAAATACAAAAAATAGCAGGTGGTGGTGGCACGCACCTGTAATCTCAGCTACTCGGGAGGCTGAGGCAGGAGAATTACTTGAACCCAGGAGATCGGGTTGCAGTGAGCCAAGGTCATGCCACTGTGCTCCAGTCTGGGAGACAGAGTAAGACCTTGTCCCAAAAAAAGAAAAGAAAAGGAAACTGATTTCTGCCCAAATCTCCATCTGTAGCCCTTTCCCCATCTGCCTTTTTCTCTGGAATTACTCAGCTGCTGGTAATTGCCCCCTCACCATTCCTCTTTTGTAGAGAAACACGTACTCTCTTGGAGGCTTCTCTCCCTCTCTTGTTGCTGCCTGGCACGTGCTCACCCTTTCCTGCCCTCTGCCTCACTTAATCTGGCTAACCTCACTCTCTAAGTCTCAGCTCATGCATGATCTTTAGGAAAGCCATCCCTGACAGCTTTTATGTTCCTTCCTTATACCCCAGTGCCTAACACCTAGCAGGAACTCAATAACTAATTATTTAGCAAAATTAAGACTGTTTATACAAAGATGATTCAAAAGATTGTCCTCTACAGTCTAACAGCAAAGGGGATCAACATGTAAAGACATGATGTGCAGTTCAGGTGGTAAAGTGACACTAGAAAAATTGACAAAGTACTAAGGGACCGCAATGAAACAGACACCTGTGTGTGTGGAGAAAGATAGCTAGAATCAAGGAAGACTTCACACAGCATTCTGAGCCTCTTTGTTTTCTTTTTCTGTTGTTGGAGACAAGTTCTTACTCTATCACCCAGGGTGGAGTGCAATGGCGTGATCGAGACTCACTGCAACCTCAAACTCCTGGGCTCGAGGGATCTTCTCACCTAAACTTCTTGAGTAGCTGGGACTACAGGCACATATCACCATACCTGCCAAATTTTTTGTAGAGTCAAGGTTATCTATGGTTCCCAGGCTGGTCTTACACTCTTGGCCTCGAGCAATTCTCCCATTTTGGCCTTCCAAAGTGCTGGGATTACAGATGTGAGCTATTATGTCCAGCCTACTTTCTGAGTCTTAAAAGATGAATATAAATTTTTCAGAATAGCAGGGGAAAACATTTGCGATGTAAAAAATGGGGTGTACACTAATTAAGATATAAACAACAATAATTTTGCAAATTATTAGTAACTGCCAACTCAATTAGTGTCTTGTTAAAAAGATACTGTTATGTACATTGTATGTTTTGACTGTATTTCAAAATTTTGTTTTGTTTCCAACAGTTTTGTTGATTTATGTTGGGTGGAACAATTTGTGAGTGACTCTGAGATTTTGTATGGCTGAACCTGGTGATATCTAGTGTCTCCCCAAGTGGTTTGTTGAAGTTTTGGATAATTAGAAGTATTTCTTAAAGAAGTAAATATTTCAGTAAACATTAAGCTTCATTTAAACCCTCAAAATATAAAATACAAAGAAATGTTATTTTCTATTTATTTTTATAAAGATTATAGTCTTTATCTAACTGTTCTTAGTTCATTTGAACTAAACCAATGAATTTGTCAACAGAACAAGCCTTACCAGTGGCTTCAGAGGAAGAACAGCAAAGGCGTGAAAGAAGTGAAAAGAAGCAACCACAGGTATATGAAAATTTAAGTTTCTTGTTTAATATTAGGTTTTTTTTTTTTGCTTTAGTAACAAAGTGTAGTCCAAATGACATGACCTTTTAGACTATACCTTTAGAATCCAATAGGTCATAATTTTATATTTAATTTTTAAAACATTTTAACCAGTTATGAAACTTAAGATATTCTTACTATCTCTAGTAACTATTCGTTATTCTAGTAATTCTTACTATCTCTAGTAACTCTTAGCTGTTTTTACCCTTGGAATTGAGGCAAGAATTTTTCACAATTATCTTGCTCTTTTATTTGTATAACCTTACTCATAATACAGAAGGTAACATGAAATATTGGGTCATATTACTAAGGAATAGAAATTATGAACAATTTAATAAAGATGGCCACTGAGTTAAACTAGTGTTAAAAGAGTCATCATTGCCAGTGGTTCAAATGTTGCAGTTTTATATTGCTGGTCACCAGTGCCGAGTTTAAAGATTTATTCTCTTTCATGGTCACCAGTTGACTTCTGTGTCTGTGTTCAGGGAGTGAATGGGGTCATAAAAGTCAACCCAGTTGCCTTTTAAGAGAATCCTACCTTGCAGAATGGGACCTTTGGTATCAGGGTACAAACAATAACTTCATTTCAATATAAATACATAGTAAATATTACTAAAATTAAAAAAATCCAAACACTGTCAGTACTGGAACTTAAAATATATTAGAAGTGGATATGAGCAGAAACTCTATCTAGATAAATAACACTATCATAGTATATCATTTGAATTAGAATTTAAAATTTTGCTTCTCTTTCTTATTGGTGTTCAGTTTGGCTCTTAATAATTTAGTGTTTGCCTAGTCTCTAGTTAATCTTCAGAAATATACATGCACTGTAGGGGCTCACTCTTTCTGGCATGCTGAGGTAAAGTCTTTGTAAGAGAGGAAGCTTTTATAATACTACCTATCATCTTTGAATTCATTTCTGGTAGACTTTACACATAATGCATTAAGTTTAGTCCAAACAAACACTGAGAGTTCAGCTTGCCGGTTTATGTTTCTGTCGTATGTTAAGCCAAGGCAAATTATTTTTCACTTTTTAGTTACAATCCCATAATTTAAGAGTGGCAACACACAGATTAAGTTTCACAGTTAAATTTTAATTATTTTCTAATATTTCTTTGTTTATACTTGATTAAAGCTAATTTTAGAACATGCATTCTGACAGAAAAGACATCTGAGAAACAAAACAAGCAAATTTGTTTTCCATTTTGCACCTGCCAAAAAAAAAAAAAAAGTCTCAAGAACCAGAACTGGGTAAGAATTGTGAAAAAGGAATCTATCTGTATATTCACGACTTTCTTTAAAATTCATTACAAACAAGTTCAAGCTGAATATTGGTAAAAGTTTTGAAAACTCCAAAATTACTGCTTGCCCTGAGGAAGAGCTTCTACATAGTAACTCTAAAGAGGGACAAAGGAAAAAGGAGTGCCCTCTAATCTGACGAATCATATCCCTGATTGTGAGGAGAAAAATGCATCTGGAGGGTCTAACTCTGTGGCAGTCCAGGCAGCACCTGAACAGAGGAATCCCATGTCAAATGTCTTTTTATTCCATTCACACTCCAGGTCCCTGAAATACACTTACCAGTCATCTTCTAAGCTTCATTTAAATGAAAATAAATCAGACTATAAAAATGATAACAAACCAGACACATAGCTTGTTTCTAACACAGGTGATGAAAATTTTTGTAATGATACAGAAACTGAAACATTAAGGAACCCAGTAATTGTGATTGAAATGAAAGATTATTAAGAGTTTCACATGCAAATGGCAAAAAATATAAACCCAAATACCACTAATTGGAAATTAGACATTAGGCACTGGCCTCAGTCTAGAGATCCAGAAAGTCTTTTTGATTTGTGGTTTACCCACCTCAAAGAAATGAAGCATATGATTCAGATAGAAAGCCACAGTATTTCTGCTGCTACAGACACTTATAAAAACAGAAAACCAATACAGTGCTTACTCCAGAAGCCACTATATGACAATCCCAGTGCTAATAACTACAAAAGCATGAATCTTGAATTATAAAATGTGGGTTTATTCTTTGCCACATAGTGAGAGAACATCAAAAATATAGCTAGAAGACACAGCAAGATATTCCAAGGTCACCAACATGGCACATGTATACATATGTAACAAACCTGCACATTGTGCACATGTACCAGAACTTAAAGTATAGTAATAGTAAAAAAGAATGAGGTAGCATGTTACCAGTAGAGTTCCTAGCTTTGGAGAAGGAAAGTCCAACTTCAAAAAGACAGAGGTTCACTTGCTGCTTCTTTTTTCTCTTTATCAATTATTTGATTCAGTCAGATTTTCTATTCAAGAAAATCTCGTGTACAGTTACAGTGGGATTATCTAAATGTGTAATTATGTGTCAAAGTAGATTAGTTTTGCTATCTAAATAATGGTTCTGGAGAATGTTCTCATAATGTTTGTTCATTAATCAACCTAAGTCTCCCTATCAGTCTTCCAAGTGGCATATGAGCTGGGAAACTAATTCAGCCATATACCATGTGACCTTCTGAACCAGATCAACATAAAGAAATTGCTAAAGAAATAAGCTCTGGATTCTAGATTCTTTTTTCTGTATTCATTTAGAGATGAATTACATTTATTTAATGATAGAATGGTAATACAATGGGAGGGAAGCAATGACTGCGACAAGCCACAAAAACACGTCTAGCCTTGAGAGTTGCAATGGATATTCCCAGCCAAATGAGTCTGTTTAATGTGTTTTCATGCATGCAAGTTTATCTGCTTAGCTCAAACTGTTTGAACTTATAGTCCCATCATGGTTATTTCCAATATTTTGAAAACAAATATATACTTCCACATATTTTAAAAAATCACCACTCTCCAATATTTCTGTTGAATCAGACCTTACATTATGTTGTTTAATAAAGTATGGTAAGTTTTGGCATGTATGATTTTTATCATGTAAGAAGCATAATTTCTTAGCCAAAAATTTAGCCTTTGACTCTTTAGTAGAAAATTGAGTTCTGTACATTGTGTTCTAAAGATAGACAAAATTCTAGAGATTTTCTTCTTTCAAAGTAAAAGCAGATGAGGCCTTTTTCCACCCTCTGAGGCATTAAATTGCTTTGCTTAAGTTAGACTTTTAATATATCTGACTAATTTGATAAATTTATCTGGTAATTTATGTAATTCAGAAATATGGAATTGTATCATGTTATTTGGTGCCATGAAATGCTAGGGAATGCCACCTCAAGAGCTCTGGATGAAACATTTAATATGTCTTGGTTGGTTTGACTCCCATTATCAGTAGATGATGGGGCTAAAGTAGGTAACTGTACCATATGTTTTGCACCTATAAACTTTTGTGGTAATAGAATGTGAAATCTGGGAAGCATCTCATTTTCCAGAATTCTGCACTAGAAACTCAGCAGTTTCACTCTGCTTCTTGTGTTGTGGCAAACTTTGGTTCCCATAGTTCAGGGAGAACCTTTACTTTTTTGATATCCCAGGATTCAAAAAAAAAAAAAAAAAAAAAGAGAGATAAAAGGCACTGGGGAAAAGAATAGCTTAGTGCAGAAAAGGGAAAACTTCTTTACTGTTCCTGAAGCCCTACAAAGTCACATCCTCTTAATCTGGCTATTTCATGTAAAATCCAGGTGGTAAAGACAGAAGACATATGTTATGCCTGTGTCTTTTTATTTCTCTGTTTCTGCCAGTCAGATAACATAAACATTTATGTCAGATAGCAAAGAGTGGATGGGAATAAAAGCACAAAATGGAGAAGCGGACTTTTTAAAATTTTCCATTTTTTTAATTTTAAAATTCTTCCATTCACTCAAACAGAAATGAGCAGACTTGACAAAAATTTCAATGATAAAATGATGAGTACCTTATAATTATAATAATTATGTATAATGATAAAATTAAAGTAAGCACAAAATACTTTTATCATTAAAATGGTGATAGTTAACCTGAATCAAGTGAAAAAATCAGGGAAAATGTTCTTTTTATTGAATAAAATAATTATTATTCATATTACTTTTATTAAAGGTCATAGAAGGAAATAATACATACAAAAGTGAAAAAATACAACTATCAGAAAATATATGTCATAGTACATTTTCTGCTGCTGCTGACAGATTAACCCAACAAAGAAAGATTGGGAAAACATATCCTCAGCAATTTCCCAAGAAACTGAAGGAAGAGCATGATAGGTAAGTAAGCCTATAGCAGTGTGTTTGTTTTGTTTTGTTTTGTTTGGGTTATTTTTTTTTTTGAGATGGAGTTTCTCTCTTGTTGCCCAAGCTGGAGTGCAATGGTGTGTTCTTGCCTCACTGCAACCTCTGCCTACTGGGTTCAAGTGATTCTCCTGACTCAGCCTCCCTAGTAGCTGAGATTACAGGCATGTGCCACCATGCCTGGCTAATTTTTTGCATTTTTAGTAGAAATGAGGTTTCACCATGTTAACCAGGCTGGTCTGGAACTCCTGACCTCAGGTGTTCTGCCAATCTCAGCCTCCCGAAGTGCTGGGTTTACAGGAGTGAGCCACTGTGCCTGGCCACGTATAGCAATATTTCATAGGAGATAATTGTCGTTGTGCTATAAACTAATTCAAAATTGGACTAATATTCCTTAGGATTAACAAGTTTTATATTTTTACCAGGGATATTTAGCCCTGCCTGGTAATCAGAAAAATGTAAATTAACATAAAATAAGATATATTTTGTAAAGTCATGCTGATATTTAAACAGTAATTACTCGTGTTGGCAAATGTGAGGAAAAAGGCATTCTCATACACTGTTGGTATATGAAATTGGTAAATTAGTTCTGAAAGGTAACTTAGTGCTGTGTATCAAAATTTCAAATAACCTGACATCCCTTTAACTCAACAACTCCACTTCTGGGACTAGATTTCCCAGGAAAACATAACTTGTGTAAACATACACACACTTATTAAGGGCATTAATTATATATTACACATAATGAACAATAGGCTAATAAATATATAAAATATATATAATAAGAAGGTGAATTGAAAGTATTAAGAAATAATTATAAAAAGTGTGGGGTAACAGATGTTAGACTCTTTAGCCTAGTTTTGGATGACAGTCATTTGCAGATATAGTTTTTGTGAGAGACATCTTACTCTGTAAATCATTTGGAGAGACACCCACAATATTTCATAAAGATGAAAATTTATTTCTAGTGAAATTATACACTTGTCAATAAATAGTAACTTTAAAATTTTAGTTGATTGTAAATGACCTTTTCTAATTAGGGAGTAATTATGACTGTGTGATTTGAAAAGGTAATTTTGAACTTGTAACTTTACTGAATTATCTCCAGTATCCTTTTTTATAATATATACTAGAGTGACTAGTAATAAAACCTTTAGCAGAATATTCTTTCCTTACTACTTTTCAAGTATATGCATTCTTTTGAAGATGTTGAAGTGAGAAATTAAATATCTGAGAACTGCAAAGGAAAAATAATCCAGAACATAGAAATCTTATTAGGATAATAAACAACATCTGCAGAGGTAGATAACAGGATGAACTCTTTATTTTTTAACAAAATGAATTTTAAGATAAATGTCTTTATCTGCAGATGCACCTTAAAACAAGAAAATGAAGAAAAAACAAATGTTAATATGCTGCACAAAAAAAATCGAGAAGAATTAGAAAGGAAAGAGAAACAATATAAGAAAGAAGTTGAAGCAAAACAACTTGAACCAACTGTTCAATCACTAGAGATGAAACCAAAGACTGCAAGAAATACTCCAAATCAGGTAAATCAATCTTTGGTAAAAATTCTATATTTTAAACTTTATTTTATCAATGTTACTTATAATATCCACTTGATTTAATATATATTATTTAGGTAAAAAACAAACCAGAAATGTTATCTCATTTTTAAAAATGAGTGATGACACTTACAGGTACAATTATTAATATTTACTATAAATCTTGGCATCCACATAGGATATTATTTTATTACAAAGAGCTTTTGAAAACAATAATATGCCATAATATATACTTAGTGATAACCTATTGATAAAGATTTTGTTCCCAGTAAAATTGTTCCATGTACTTTCCCCTATTTCATATTGATTACTGTACCTAATATTATAAAGAGGAGACAGAAATTATTGCAATCACAAATAACTCATGATAATCTTAGAAGAGCTCTATAAATTTTATCTTATTTACCACTGGTGTTTTGAAATAAAAGTTTTCTTTCATATGGATATATTTACACCACAGAAGTAATTGTGATCTGTTGGAGAACTAGAAGTAGAGTCAGAAGTCCTGGGGAAAATCCTGTAGCTTGCTTATATTTTTAACCTTTCTTTCTCAAAATTATGGTAACTAGATGAGTTCATCAATGAATGTATATAGGAGTGACTAGTATAATGTCTAGATTTATGATTTAGTAAATGTAATTCTTATAACTGACTATAAAAGTGTTAAAAGAGTCAAATTGAAATAGAATGTTATCAGTGAACTGTAATAACTCTGGGAAATTTTATCTGTCCAAATATGTGTGAACTAAGGTTCTTACTATAGGGTGGTGTATGGGTTAGATATCAAAGTGTAAATGCAATTTTTTGATATATTTTAATTTAGTCAAATTTGTTAATGCTTTAATTTATACTTTTGAGTTTGTTGTAATTCAGGGAAAGGCTTTTCCAATTCTGAAATTCTTAAAAATTCTCTGGTGTGCATGTGTGTGTGTGTGTTTACTTTTATAAATTCATTGACTTTAAATAAATTTCTGAACTTTTTGGAATTTATGCTCTATAAGGTTCAAAATTTTGCTTCAACTTTTTCTCCAGTTGGATATCCACTTACAGTAACCTTTTTAGTGCATGGATGTGCAGGTTATTCTTTAACTTCAGAGGTAATCATGATATGTTATTTTATTGAGTACTAGCTAAAACTTTCTTTTGTATTATTTAGGATTTTCATAATCATGAAGAAGTGAAAGATCTGATGGATGAAAATTGCATTTTGAAGACAGATATTGCTATACTCAGACAGGAAATATGCACAATGAAAAATGACAACCTGGAAAAAGAAAATAAATATCTTAAGGACATTAAAATTGCTAAAGAAACAAATGCTGCCCTTGAAAAGTGTATAAAACTCAATGAGGAAATGATAACAAAAACAGCATTCTGGTATCAACAAGAGCTTAATGATCTCAAAGCTGAGAATACAAGGCTCAATTCTGAACTGTTGAAGGAAAAAGAAAGCAAGAAAAAACTGGAAGCTGAAATTGAATCTTATCAGTCTAGACTGGCTGCTGCTATATAAGTAAACACAGTGAAAATGTGAAAACAGAAAGAAACCTAAAACTTGCTTTAGAGAGAACACAAGATATTTCTGAGCAAGTAAAAATGAGTTCTGATATTTCCGAAATAGAAGATAAGAATTAGTTTCTTACTGAACAACTTTCTAAAATGCAAATTAAATTCAATACCTTAAAAGATAAGTTCTGGCCGCTGCCGCTGCAGCCTGCTGGGCTGGAGGAAGTGGAGCTGGTGCCGTCCCTGCTCTCTTGCTGGGAAGCAACTGAGGGGGCGGCGCGGCAGGCCCCGGCAGCCGAAGAGGCTGGCAGGTGGCACTGTGGGGTGGGTGCTCCTGGTGAAAGGAGTCCACTGCATGCGTGTGGGTGGAGTCCGGCCCCCGAGAGCCACCGACATGAAGAAAGACGTGCAGATCCTGGTGGTGGGAGAACCTAGAGTTGGGAAGACATCATTGATTATGTCTCTGGTCAGTGAAGAATTTCCAGAAGAGGTTCCTCCCCGGGCAGAAGAAATCACCATTCCAGCTGATGTCACCCCAGAGAGAGTTCCAACACACATTGTAGATTACTCAGAAGCAGAACAGAGTAATGAACAACTTCATCAAGAAATATCTCAGGCTAATGTCGTCTGTATAGTGTATGCCGTTAACAACAAGCATTCTATTGATAAGGTAACAAGTCAATGGATTCCTCTCATAAATGAAAGAACAGACAAAGACAGCAGGCTGGAGTGCAGTGGCGGGATCTCGGCTCGCTACAACCTTCACCTCCCAGCCGCCTGCCTTGGCCTCCCAAAGTGCTAAGATTACAGCCTCTGCCCGCCCGCCACCCCATCTAGGAAGTGAGCAGCGTCTCTGCCTGGCTGCCCCGTCTGGGAAGTGAGGAGTGCCTCTGCCCACCCACCACCCCGTCTGGGATGTGAGGAGCGCCTCTGCCCAGCCACCCCATCTGGGAAGTGAGGAGCGCCTCTGCCCAGCCGCCACCCCGTCTAGGAAGTGAGGATCGTCTCTGCCTGGCCGCCCATTGTCTGGGATGTGAGGAGCCCCTCTGCCCAGCCACCCTGAATGGGAAGTGAGGAGCACCTCTGCCTGGCCGCCCCATCTGGGAAGTAAGGAGCACCTCTGCCCGGTTGCCACCCCATCTAGGAAGTGAGGAGCGTCTCTGCCTGACCGCCCATCCTCTGGGATGTGAGGAGCACCTCTGCCTGGCTGCCCCATCTGGGATGTGAGGAGCACCTCTGCCCTACTGACCATCGTCTGGGAAGTGAGGAGTGCCTCTGCCCGGCCGCCCCATCTGGGAGGTGAGGAGCGCCTCTGCCTGGCTGCCCTGCATCTGGGAGGAAGTGAGGAGTGCCTCTGCCCGGCTGCCCCGTCTGGGAAGTGGGGAGCGCCTCTGTCCAGCCGCCCCATCTGGGAAGTGAGGAGTGCCTCTGCCTGGCCACCACCCCATCTAGGAAGTGAGGAGTGCCTCTGCCCGGCCGCCCTGTCTGGGATTTGGGGAGCGCCTCTGCCCAGCCGCCCCATCTGGGAAGTGAGGAGTGCCTCTGCCCAGCCGCCCTGTCTGGGAAGTGAGGAGTGCCTCTGCCCAGCTGCCCTGTCTGGGAAGTGAGGAGTGCCTCTGCCCGGCCGCCACCCTGTCTAGGAAGTGAGGAGTGCCTCTGCCCGGCCGCCACCCTGTCTAGGAAGTGAGGAGTGCCTCTGCCCAGCCGCCCCATCTGGGATGTGGGGAGTGCCTCTGCCAGGCTGCCCCGCCTGGAAGGTGAGGAGCGTCTCTGCCCGACTGCCCCATCTGGGAATTGAGGAGCGCCTCTGCCCGGCCGCCCCGTCTGGGAGGTGAGGAGCGCCTCTGCCTGGCCGCCACCCCGTCTGAGAGGTGAGGAGTGCCTCTGCCTGGCAGCCCCATCTGGGAACTGAGGAGCGCCTCTGCCCAGCCGCCACCCCATCTGGGAAGTGGGGAGCACCTCTGCCCGGCTGCCCTGCCTAGGAAGTGGGGAGCGCTTCTGCCCGGCCACCCCGTCTGGGATGTGAGGAGTGCCTCTGCCCAGCCGCCCTGTCTGGGATGTGAGGAGCGTCTCTGCCCAGCCGCCACCCCATCTGGGAAGTGGGGAGCGCCTCTGCCTGGCCGCCCCATCTGGGAAGTAGGGAGCGCCTCTGCCCGGCCACCCCATCTGGGAAGTGAGGAGCGCTTCTGCCCGGCCGCCCCATCTGGGAAGTGAGGAGCACCTCTGCCTGGCCGCCCTGTCTAGGAGGAAGTGAGGAGCGCCTCTGCCCGGTCACCCTGTCTGGGAGGTGAGGAGTGCCTCTGCCCGGCCGCCCCATCTGGGATGTGGGGAGTGCCTCTGCCTGGCCGCCCATCATCTGGGAAGTGGGGAGCACCTCTGCCCGGCTGCCCCATCTGGGAAGTGAGGAGTGCCTCTCCCTGGCCACCCCATCTGGGAAGTGGGGAGCGCCTCTGCCCGGCCACCCCGTCTGGGAAGTGAGGAGCGCCTCTGCCCGGCCACCCCGTCTGGGAAGTGGGGAGTGCCTCTGCCCGGCCACCCCATCTGGGAAGTGAGGAGCACCTCTGCCCAGCTGCCCCACCTGGGAAGTGGGGAGCACCTCTGCCCGGCCGCCCATAGTCTGGGAAGTGAGGAGTGCCTCTGCCCGGCCGCCCCATCTGGGATGTGGGGAGTGCCTCTGCCTGGCCGCCCATCATCTGGGAAGTGGGGAGCACCTCTGCCCGGCTGCCCCATCTGGGAAGTGAGGAGTGCCTCTCCCTGGCCACCCCATCTGGGAAGTGGGGAGCGCCTCTGCCCAGCCACCCCGTCTGGGAAGTGAGGAGCGCCTCTGCCCGGCCACCCCGTCTGGGAAGTGGGGAGTGCCTCTGCCCGGCCACCCTGTCTGGGAAGTGAGGAGCACCTCTGCCCAGCTGCCCCGCCTGGGAAGTGGGGAGCACCTCTGCCCGGCCGCCCATAGTCTGGGAAGTGAGGAGCGCCTCTGCCCGGCCACCCCGTCTGGGAAGTGGGGAGCACCTCTGCCTGGCTGCCCCGTCTGGGAAGTGAGGAGCATCTCTGCCCGGCCACCCATCGTCTGGGATGTGAGGAGCACCTCTGCCCTGCCGCCCTGTCTGGGAAACGAGGAGCACCTCTGCCCGGCTGCCCCATCTGGGATGTGGGGAGTGCCTCTGCCCAGCTGCCCATCATCTGGGAAGTGGGGAGCGCCTCTGCCCGGCCACCCCATCTGGGAAGTGAGGAGTGCCTCTGCCCAGCCGCCCCGTCTGGGATGTGAGGAGCGCCTCTGCCTGGCCACCCATAGTCTGGGAAGTGGGGAGTGCCTCTGCCCGGCTGCCCCATCTGGGAAGTGGGGAGCGCCTTTGCCCAGCCGCCCATAGTCTGGGAAGTGGGGAGCACCTCTACCCAGCCACCCCGTCTGGGAAGTGGGGAGCATCTCTGCCCGGCCACCCATCCTCTGGGATGTGAGGAGCACCTCTGCCCCACCGCCCTGTCTGGGAAGCGAGGAGCGCCTCTACCCAGCCGCCCCATCTGGGAGGTGTACCCAACATCTCCGAAGAGACAGCAACCATCAAGAATGGGCCATGATGACGATGGTGGTTTTGTTGCAAAGAAAAGGGGGAAATGTGGGGAAAAGAAAGAGAGATCAGACTGTTACTGTGTCTGTGTAGAAAGAAGTAGACATAGGAGACTCCATTTTGTTCTGTACTTAGAAAAATTCTTCTGCCTTGGTATGCTGTTAATCTATAACTTTACCCCCAACCACGTGCTCTCTGAAACATGTGCTGTGTCAACTCAGGGTTAAATGTATTAAGGGTGGTGCAAGATGTGCTTTGTTAAACAGATGCTTGAAGGCAGCATGCTGGTTAGGAGTCATCACCACTCCCTAATCTCAAGTACCCAGGGACACAAACACTGCCTAGGAAAACCAGAGACCTTTGTTCACGTGTTTATCTGCTGACCTTCTCTCCACTATTAGCCTATGACCCTGCCACATACCCCTCTCCGAGAAACACCCAAGAATGATCAATAAACATTAAAAAAAAAAGATAAAAGAAAAAAAAAGATAAGTTCCGTAAGACAAGAGATACTCTCAGAAAAAAGTCATTGGCTTTAGAAACTGTACAAAACGACCTAAGCCAAACACAGCAGCAAATAAAGGAAATGAAAGAGATGTATCAAAGTGCAGAAGCTAAAGTCAGTAAATCCACTGGAAAGTGGAACTGTGTGGAAGAGAGGATATGTCAACTCCAACGTGAAAATCCGTGGCTTGAACAGCAACTAGTTGATGTTCATCAGAAAGAGGATCATAAAGAGATAGTAATTAATATCCAAAGAGGCTTTATTGAGAGTAGAAAGAAAGACCTCATGCTAGAAGAGAAAAATAAGAAGCTAATGAATGAATATGATCATTTAAAAGAAAGTCTCTTTCAATATGAGAGACAGAAAGCAGAAACAGTAGTAAGTATCAAGGAAGATAAATATTTTCAAACTTCTAGAAAGAAAGTTTAAACATTTGGTTCTGGATACATGTTGAACCTAGTTGAATATAAAAATCAGTAGATAAAAAGTGTGTTTACTATACTGTATAATTCCATTTACATGAAGCATCCAGAAAAGAGAAAGGTATAGGTACAAAAAGTAGAATAATGTTTGTGAAGGGCTGGGGCTGGAAGCTGGTAGTGACTGCTAATGGGCGTGAGGGATCTTGCAGTGATGGAAATGCTCTAAAGTTGGATTGTAGAGATGGCTGCACAGCTCAGAAAATGTACTAAAAATCTTTTAACTTTATGTTAAAACAGATACATTCTATAGTATGTAAATTATATTTCAACAAAGCTTTTTGGTTTAAAAAAAAAGGAAAAATGTGTTCACTACATCAGCTTAGAAACATAACTTGTTTCCATAGAGGTGAGAGATGATTTACTTTGAGAGAAGACATTGTGTCACCTATGACATTTTATTAGGCACAGAGTCATATTTTAAGGTAGATAGTCCTGTAGTGCTGAAATAATAATTTTAATGTCTTTATATTGCCACATGTTAAGACCATGGTGAAGGTATAAATGGAAATGTTTACACCTGAAATGAGTATTTTCAAATTAAAATTTAATTAAGTGATTTGCTTCAACACTTAATTCTAGATTTCCCAGATGAACTGAAGTGTATTGCTGTATCTTGTAATATCTTGCTTTAAGTAGTTTTTTATATATTTTAGTTGGTATAGCTTTATTATTATTCATATTAATTTAACTTAAATCTGAAAATGTCAGTCTCAAATTACATATTTTAATGACCACGTAATGTTTTAAAGGCACCTACTTGTTATAAAATTATAATTTAGGGTAAATGTGGTAAATTTTAGCAAAACTATATTTGATTTAGTCTTCCCACTCGTATTCATAATTTACTTTGAATATTTTTATTAATAATTAGCTCATAATTTTTATTTCAAGGCTCAATGACTATCATTTGAATATAACTTTGTCCAGTACAAAGATACTGTAGCTGCCTGTGATTTATGAGTTAGGCATTAGATCCCCATTTTCAGACTAAAGCGGGGTGGTAGGCTTCACGTACAGTGGGAATGGAGTAATTACAGGAGGGAGTTGTAGAAGCTTGAAGTCAGAGAGGGAGGTAGAGGCCTGTTTACCTAGGGCCTCAAAGGCCATTGGACTTTTACTTTTATTCTGAGACAGGAATCTGTTGGAAGGATTTGAACAGTTGATTGAATATGTTAGGAACTTTGAGGTTGAGTTGAGCTTCTAAGATGATTGAATGGTGGGATGAATCTGTTGTATTAAGAGAATACCAATTTGGCAGGAGGATAACACATTCTGCATCCCTCACTGAATTCAGTAATAAATAAAAATGTGTACCTGTGATGAAAAGAAGGTGAATTGATGTGTGTGAGATAATTTTCAAAGTAGGTATGTTAGAGTTAAATGTTCTTAACATAATTTAATAATAAGGCAATTTATAAAATCAGTAACAAAAGTATTTTATCAGGTGGTTATGAGACAACTTCAACAAGAAGTGGCTGATTCCCTTAAAAAATTAACTATGTTAGAGTCTCCACTGGAAGGTACATCATGTTGTCACATTAATTTGGATGAGACACAGGCCTCAAAGAAGAAATTATTTCAAGTGGAAAGTCAAGTATGTATGGAATCTAACATGTCGACAGTTATTCTGTAGCTGGTTGAATTATATAACATGTTTTAGGATACTAATTTTGGCAGAAGCTTGATTTTGTACTTTCATTATAATTAATTATTTCCATTTTACTATCTTTATAATGTACTTTTTTTAAATATTGTGACTTTTGTTCTACCATTTTGAAAAAGGATTGCATACCTTTTCTCTTACAATATGTACCCTTGGAAAAGTTGATAATTATACATCATTCCTCAGAGAAAATTGACTTTTTTCCTGTTAAACATATTTTCAAGTAATTTTTGTATTGCTATGATGAGGCAGGCCAGATTAAATCAGAGGACAATGTTTAATGGAATGTTCCAGAAAATTGTCTTATTTCTTCACTTTTGTGAAAGGACACAGAATCTGTGTCTATTTCACAGATTCTAAGTTAACTTGTATAGAAAGGCCATTATACTATTCTTTGAAATGTACATGTTTTATGTCAATTTACAAACTATTTGAAAAGTTAGGCATTTTCTTTATTTACCTTTTATTTAAAATATAAAAGTATAGAAATATTTAGATCTGATATAGTAGGTACATCAAAAATTGAGAGCTGAGAAAATTTTCTTGATCCTGCCATTGGATTTTAAAAACAGTTTCACTGAGATATAATTCATGTATCAGACAGGTCAACCATTTAAAATGTGCAACTCAGTATCTGTTAGTATATTCACAGCATTTTCATCACCCTGAAAAGCAACCCCACATCTCCTAGGCATGACTGCAGCCTTCCTCCATGTCCCTCCACCTACCCCTGTTGTAGGCAAACACCATCTATTTTTGTCTCCATAGGTTTGCCTGTTCTGCATATTTCATATACATAGAGTTAGACAATACATAGTCCTTTGTGACTGGCTTTTTCACTTAGCTTAATGTTTTCAGAATTCATGCATGTTTTAGCACACATTGGTAGTTTATTTCTTGTTATAGTTAAATGATACTCTATTGCATGGCTATACTGGTTTTCCATTCATTCATCAGTTGATGGACGTTTACGTTAGTTTCCACTTCTAGCTATTATGAAAAATGCTGCTGCAAACATTCACTTAGAGGTTATTATGTGGACACGTGTTTTTATTTCCCTGCCATTGGACTTTATCCTCAGAGTTAATTGGGCAGATTTCAGCACTTGTCTTGCTCATGCTATCCTTTCTGCCTTCTCAGTTTCTGTTCATCTAGCCTCATTCATTCAGACCTGGCAGACAATTTTTTTGTTTTTATGAAGCTTTCTCTGACTGTTCTGACTCTCATTGACCTTATGTGTTAGGAATTGTTGTCCAGTCTGTGCAGAAAACTTAGTCCTTAATTTTACATGGCTTTTTCTTTTTTATGGAAGATAATTTTGTCTCAGTATAAATTTGCTTAATGGGGGAATAATATATAATATGTATGGCACCTATCCTTGCATAAATTGAAAATATTTTAGCTTAGAAGTTTTTAGCATACAATTAAATATTTTATACCATACCAATTATTTGTTCTTTGAGACCTTGACACAGTAAGGTTTATATTCTAAATGTATTTTTAGCAATTAAATATCAAATCTAAACCAATTAGTCTAATAGAGGAGACTCGTTCAATCACATGTTTATGTTTTTCTCTCTATGAAAAAGAATCTAAATTGGCCTTTTTTCACTATGCAGCCATTACTGTATTTCTGGACTGCTCCCAGTTTGTCAGCTGAACAGTTCTGGCTGCAGCTTGTCTGATGACAGATAGCACAGCCCCTCAATCTGAGTGCTCAGCAGAGTGCTTGTGAAGGCAGCACCACAGCAACAGTTGCTCAGAGGGAACAGATTCAGGAGCCTTGGTTTAGCAATAGAGTCCAGGGTTTTCAGCTCAGTGTCTTTAGCCTGTCTCTGCTGGTCATGTCAGTTATGTACTATTCCATCCAGGAGGTGCTATTTACATTGTAGTACATACATAGTCATTGCCTACTGAGTCATACACAGAGAAAAGTAAGTTATAAATTATATGCCCCCCATTTGCTGCAACTCTCAGTGGTGAGAAGAATGATTCAGTGCAGCTATAGGAGACTACTTCCATTGGCATGCCACCTGCCTAACATACACAATTTTGTTAAGATATACAATAAAATTATTATGCTACTAGCAAATATTTTATGTAGCTCACTATGTTCCACGTACTCTTGTAAGTGCTTCATGTTAGTCCCCAGTTAAACACCTGGTTGGGGGAGGTGGCTCATGCAAGTAATCCTAGCATTTTGGAAGGCTGAGGCAGGAGGCTCGCTTGAGCCCAGGAGTTTGAGATCAGCCACAGCAATATAATGAGAACCTGTCTTTAAAAAATAAATAAATAAATACTTAGAGGCATGGTGGTGCATGCCTGTAGTCCCAGCTACCTTGGGAGTCTGTGGTAGGAGGGTCGGTTGACCTTGGAATATTGAGGCTGCAGTGAGTGTTGATCAAGCCACTACACTCCAGTCTGGGTAACAGAGTGAGACTCTGTCTCATAAATAAAACGTTTTGTATAGATTCCCATAGAAGTGAGTTAGACATCAGGCATAGTATTGTTAGCCACTTTGATGTCTGCCTAGGGAGTAAAACATATAATAAGGGACAGCATTAAACCATCTCAGTCAGTAGCCTCTAACTTCTCAAGAAGGTTCTTATCTCCTGAATGTCTAAGCAAGAGACTACCTGGATGAAGACATTTGGTGGACACCATTTTGAGATGAAGAATCTCAAATGGGAAGAAGGGAGATGTCTACTTGACTGGAGCTTCCCAATGATATATTTGAGTGTCCCCCAAAAGAAACTTTAGAAACTTTAGAACAAGACTTTCATCATTCCATATCTCTATGGAAAAGGAAACTCTTTAAAAGAAAACAAAGGCAAACAATTGATAATCTGATTCTCTTGGGAAAGTTTTCATTATAAAAGAAAAAAAGGGCTGGGTGTCGTGGCTCATGTCTGTAATCCCAACATTTCGAGAGGCTGAGGTGGGTGGATTACCTGAGGTCAGGAGTTCAAAAACAGCCTGTCCAACATGGTGAAACCCTGTCTCTACTGAAAATACAAAAATTAGCCAGGCGTGGTGGTGTGCACCTGTAGTCCCAGCTACTTGGGAGGCCAAGGCAGGAGAATCACTTGAACCCAGGAGGTGGAAGTTGCAGTAAGCCAAGATGGCGCCACTGCACTCCAGCCTGGATGACACAGTGTGACTCCATCTCAAAAAAAAAAAAAAAAGAAAAAGAAAAGGGACAAAGTATACTGGTCCAAAAAAGAAGAAAGAAAGAAAAAAAGGACAAAGTATACTGTTCAATATCGTAATGGTGAGACTGTCCCCCTTTGAGATAGAAAATAACGGTATACTCAAAGTAACATCAATAAGAACCAACATAAAATAGACAAGATTCACTATCTACAAAAGTAATCTGCACCAAGTAGCAATGTCTGAGCGTGTGGTTGAGAATATTGTCTATAATATGTGTACTAGAAGGAAGAGGCCTCAAGAAAAATGTCAGAGCTGGAAATGTAGATTAGGGAATCTAGTTCAAAGTTTTGAGATTTTAGGAGTCCTGAGAGAATTTAAAAAGTGGAATAGCAGCCAGGCGTGGTGGCTCACGCCTGTAATCCCAGCACTTTGGGAGGCCAAGGCAGGCAGATCATGAGGTCAGGAGTTCAAGATCAGTCTGGCCAACATAGTGAAACCCCATCTCTACTAAAAATATGAAAAATTAGCCGGGCGTGGTAGCACACGCCTGTAATCCTAGCTACTTGGGAGGGTGAGGCAGGAGAATTGCTTGAACCCAGAAGGTGGAGGTTGCGGTGAGCTGAGATTGTGCCACTGCACTCCAGCCTGGGTGACAGTGGGGGACTCCATCTCAAAAACAAACAAACAAACAGAAAGGAATAGGACTGAAGAACAGAGGTTGCTGCATTTAGAAATGAAGTGGGGTCAGAGGAGCAGAGGGAACATTTGGTCACTGCTCGCAGCTGCTGCTGAGTAAAGCAGGATAAAGTCCTTCATGACCCTTGAACTTTTTTATTGGAATTATTAAAAATCAGATTTCCATATTAAAAACACAATAAGTGATGAAAAATAGATTTCTGGATGAGACCATGTGTCACAGATTCCAATGGAAGGGGAGAAACAGGATAATAGAAAAACCACAAAAAGTAGACAAAAGTTGTGTTTTTGTTTATTATAGAAAAAAACTTTATTTAAAGAGAAAGGGTTAAGAGAAAGGGAAAAACTGAAACGTGTGGGTGAATACTTACAGAGAATGACAGTATTTAGCTCAACCTGAAGACAGATGAGGATCAAAAAGGTAATGGGAAATAGATAAGAGTTTTCTAAAACTCGTCTTAGTAAGATGTAATTTAAGAAAACTTGGAATATCTTAAACTATTATTAATGACAATGTTTCTAGAGCATCTTTAAAAAGTAAAATGTAAATATAACTACACATTTTTTACTAACCCTTAGTATTTTATGTGTAAAAACCCTTGTTTGTAACAAACATTTTTGGCAGTTTAAATTTCAGAAAATATAATGAAAGTATGTATCATTTTTAGCAGTTTTAAGAAAAGTGACTATTTCTGAAATCTGCCCTTATTGGCATCAGGCTTATAAAATGCACTTTATACCCATGCCTAAATACATATTACTCATCAACTTATGAGAAATAATATTTTTAAGATAAAAGAGGGTCTCTAGATTTTACAAAAATAATTTTAAACACTTTTTTTTAAGCCTGAAGAAAAAAATGAAGAATTAAGGAAAGTTTTTGTGTTAGTATCATCACTGGAGTATAATGTGAATCAAATAAGAAAGAAAAATCATGAATTAGAAGAAGAGGCAACTGGGTATGGTTTTCATATTGTAGAACATGTTAATCATTTATTAATTGATTTAGCTCTAATTTTACTTGACTAAAACTGAGATACAATTTCATTTTATGTCTCCATTTTAATAATTAAATGAATTCTATTTTAAAATGTATTTCAGAAACTCACAACAAAACTTTATAGGCATGTGCATCATGGGGTTGGGAGTCAGCTGAGCTGCTGGGGCAAGGTTGGGATGAAAAAATTTGTATTAAAATATGTATAAAAGAGAAACAACATAATCTGACAATTTTTTGAATGCCAAAATATTATACTTATTTATTTATTTATTTTTATTTTTATTTATTATTATTTTTTTTGAGACAGTGCCTCTGTCTCCCAGGCTGGAGTGCAATGGCGCCATCTTGGCTCACTGCAACCTATGCCTCCAAGCAATTCTCCTGCCTCAGCCTCCTGAGTAGCTGGGATTACAGGCATGTGCAACCACACCCGGCTACCTTTTGTATTTTTTAGTAGAGAGGAGGTTTTGCAAAGTTGGTCAGGCTGGTCTCAAACTCCTGACCTCGTGATCTGCCTGACTCAGCCTCCCAAAGTGGCATGAGCCACTGTGCCTGGCCGCTTATTCTTTAATGATTTTGAAAACAATGACAAAGCCTTGGACATATAATGTCAAGTCCACTCTTCATTATCTAGTTTGAATTTTTATTTCTGAAGATATTTTTGCTGTCTGTGGTCATCTTTTCTTCCTTTTGTAGTATCCTCTGCTGCATTCAAATTCTTTAAAGAAGACCTATTGTGTCATTCTTTAACATCAAAATTTATCTTGATATATAGCTTATATTTTGTTTCTGCTTCTTTTTCTTTTAGATATAAAACATGGAAATTTACTCATTTTACACAGATACCTCCGTTGTATTCACGAAGTATACATGTTATTAAACTTCTGTTTTACAGCAATAAATTTCATATATATAAAAATATATGTATAACTTAAAAGTAAAATGAGCATTCATGTTTTGATCACATATTTTTTTTAAAAAAATGGAATGTGTCTTTGAAGTCCTGAACACAGCTACTTTTCTATTTATTTACTGAGCACTTAAGTTGGTTTTCTGATTCTAATCTACATTTTTCTGTCATTGTCTTTCTCTACATGGTTTTGTATCTCTTTCATTTTGTTGACATTATGTCAGCAAAGATCTCTAGATCTCTTCTTCAAAGTCCTTAAATTGTCACACATCTCTCTGCCCCATTCTTGGTCTTCTCTTTTTCTACATTGAATAATGTCCTTGATGCTTTTTGTGTGTACTTTTTTTTCTTCTTATAGACTGTGAATGGGTATCAAAATGTAATTTTTTGTCTTTTTCAAATGTATGTGTTTTACTTTTTTATCTTGGTTACTCATTTCTAGGTTATGGCTTATATTTAGTAATAGGTTATTTTATCTTAGCATACCAACATGGGTATGAATAGTTTATTTACAAAAAGTGTATGGTTAGGCCAGGTGTGCTGGCTCACACTTGTAATCACAGTATTTTGGGAGGCCAAGGTGGGTGGATCATTTGAGGTCAGGAGTTCAAGACCAATCTGACCATTCAAGGCCAGTCTGACCAACATGGTGAAACCCCATCTTTACTAAAAATACAAAATGAGCTAGGTGTGGTGCTACATGTCTGTAATCCCAGCTACTTGGGAGGCTGAGGCAGGAGAATCACTTGAATCCAGGAGGCAGAGGTTGCAGTAAGCCAAGATCACACCATTGCATTTCAGCCGGGGAAACAAGAGTGAAATTCCATCTCAAAAAAAAAAAAAAAAAACAAAAAAAAAACACTGTATGGTTGTAATACCACTTTACCTGCCATATATGCCATAAAATTGTTCTTCATATTATTTATCTAAGATTATAATTTCATATACAGTGCTTCCAAACTATGCTCAGTTGAAACTGAAAGGATCATAGTTTATAGATGTGTTTCTTTGATATGCTATAACATAATATCTTTTAAACAATTATTAAATATTTACTCTTAAAAATATTTGACTTACTAATTCTGTACATTTCTGCAGATATAAGAAACTCCTGGAAATGACAATAAATATGTTAATGTATTTGGAAATGAAGACATCGATTGCCATGGAGACTTAAATACAGATCAACTGAAAATGAATATTCTGATTAAGAAGCTAAAACATAAGGTAATTTTTTAAAAAAAATTATCTTAAGGTCTAGATTACATGTGTGAGATGTGCAGGTTTGTTACATAGGTAAACGTGTGCCATGATGGTTTGCTGCACCTGTCAATCCATCACCTAGATATTAAGCCCCGCAGGAATTAGCTATTGATCTTGATGCTCTCCCTCTTGACCCCTACAGGCCCCAGTGTTTGTTTTTCCCCTCCCCGAGTCCATGTGTTCTCATCGTTCAGCTCCCACTTATAAGTGAGAAAATGTAGTGTTTGGTTTTTTCTTCCTGCATTAGTTTGCTGAGGATAACAGCTTCGAGTTCATCCATGTCCCTGCAAAGAGCATGATCTCATTCATTTTTATGGCTCCATGGTGTATATATACCACATTTTCTTTATCCTGTCTATCACTGATGGACATCTGGGTTGATTCCATGTCTTTGCTATTGTGAATAGTGCTGCAATGATCATATAAATGCACGTATCTTTATAACAGAATAACTTATATTCCAACATACGGTAATTTTAAATCAGTTTTGGGATTAAAAATCACGTAATTTGGGAATATATTGATAATGGAAAAACCCAAATTCTGCCAAAATATGTTGAGAAAATAGAGGGTAAATATATCTTTTCAGACTTTGAATGCATCAGCCTCTTAGTTAATCTTCCCCAGATCTGGGAAGACCTAGAAGGGGACAGATTGGGCTACATTAATGAGGGCCATTTCAGTCTCTTGGCCCTGCAGCAGCCATTTCAAAATATGTCAGAAAAATATATTTGGGGGTTAAATATTTTGATTTCCTTCAGCTTCTTCTCTCTGTGATGCTGTACCAGAATCAGGTGAGAAAGGAAGCCACATTATAAGAGTTAATAAAACCCATCTGATGAGATTTAATAGTTTGAAGTGTGTGATTCTCAGACCCTTTAGATAGAAATTGGGGCCAAAGAAAACAAGTTCTTATTCCTCAATATAAATCTCTCAGTGCTTTAAGCAGTGAAAGAAAGATTTTTCATTTAATTTTACAGAATTGATACTAATGAAAAGGATAGTTTTAAAAATATAAACCTTTTTTCTATAAAAAGGACATGCTGTTGATTCTCTTATGTCTTTAACTCTGGCCAGTGATCTGAAACCAAGCAGTACCTGTCTCCAGACCACTAGTACCAAATTAATTTGGGGGGGGGGGCTGGGTAACCGGTTTATTGAGAAATAATGAACACACCATGCAAGTCACTCATTTAAAATATACGAGTCATTGACTTTAGTATTTTCAGAGAGTTATGCAGTCATAATTACAATCAATTTTAGAATATTTTCATCACCCTGAAAACAAACCCCACATCACTTAGCCATCTTCACTAGTTTTCCCTTCCTCCCCCAGCCGTAGGGAACCACCAACCTCCTTTATATAGATTTGCCTATAAGCCTCTGAAATAAAAAGCAAGTGGTCTACTGTGACTGGCTTATTTCACTTAGCATAATTTTTCATGCTGCATCTGTGCTGTAGCAGGTATTGATGTGGGGTTTTTCTCATTAGTTCAGCTACATCTGGGTTCTTCTCTCATGACCAGGAAAAATTAAGCACGCAGACACATTGAAGGGTGAGGAGGACAGAATTTATTAAGTGAAAGGAAAGCTCTCAGTAAAGAGAGTGGTCCTGCAAACAGGTTTCCACCTCACAATTGAATACCAGGAGCACATGAGTTGAAGCAGCCAGGCTCCTCCCCTGCATAAGGCATGAATTTCTGGTGGCTCCACCTCATCCCCCCAGTGCATGTGGGCCTCTGGTCTGCTGCAGGCATGTCCAGGCAAGACAAGTCCAGGTTCCCTTATCTGCACTTAACATCTGGTGTAAACACTTGTGGGGCTGGTTGGAGATTCTCCAGGGACCCTTCCATATCTGCCTAGGCATTTTGCTGTCTCCTCCTAATACAGTATCAGTACTTAATTTCTTCTTATTGCTGAGTGATATTCCATTGTATGGATATATCAAACAGTTTATTTATCCATTCACCAGGTGATGGACCTTTGGGTTCTTTCCCACCCAAAGGTGATGGACTTTTTGGTTCTTTCCACTTTTTGACTCATATTAGTAATGCTGCTGTAAACATTTATGTACGAGTTTTTGTGCTTGCATGATTTTTGTTTTTCTGGAGTATATACTTATGACTGGAATTTCTGGGTCATATGGTAACTTCATGCTTAACCTTTTGAGGAGCTGCCAGTTTGTTTTCCAAAGCGGCTGCATCACTTTACATCCCCAGCAGCACTGGATAAGGGTTTTAATTTCTTTACATTTTTCCTAACACTTATTTTCTCTTTTTTATTGAACAAAGATTTTATCCTGTGGTGTGAAGTGATACCACATGTGGTTTTGATTTACATTTTCCTAATGACTAATTACATCAAGCATCTATTAATGTCCTCATTATCCATCTTTACATCTTCTTTGCAGATACATCTATTCAAAATCTTTGCCCATTTTTAAAATTGAATTATCTTGTTACTCATGAATTGCAAAGGTTCTTTACATATTCTATGTATGTAAGTCGCTTATCAGGTATATGCTTTTCAAATACTTTCTTCTACTTAGTGTCTTGCCTTTTCACTTCTTGATGCTGTCTTCTTAGGCACAGCAGTTTTCAATTTTGAAGTCCATTGAGTCCATTTTTCCTTTGGAGTCATAGCTAAGAAAACACTGCCAAATGCAGTCACAAAGATTTATGCCTGGGTTTTCTTCTGAGAGTTTTATAGTTTTAGCTGTTACAGTTAACTGTTTTATTTTGAGTTAATTTTTTAAAAAGATATTTGGTCCTAATTTATTTATTTTTTGCATATGGATACCCAGTTGTCCCAGCACCATTTGTTGAAAAGACTCTTCTTTTCCCATTTTGTTCTTTTGTTAACTTTATATAAAATCAATTGACTGTAAATGCACAAGTTTATTTTTAGATTATCAATTCTTACTTTGTTTATGTCTATTATTATGCCAAGGCCAAAATGAATTTACTGAGAAGTTTTTTTTCAATCATGTTGCATATTACCAGTTGTCTTATGTCATAATAAAAATTAAATTTAGTGGAATATCTTTAATTTCACCTTTTGTGTCTCAAAGGAGTCTGTGGCCAGCTTATACCTTACTTACTCTAAGACATGATGGGAAGCCAGGCCTATAAGACACACTTTATTTCTTTTTTCTCCCTTCAAATCTTTAGTCTCTTTTCCATTGCCTCCCACTATAGTTTTGTTTTCAGTAAGTTTTGGTCACAGGATCTGCTGACATAGTCTAATATTTAGTGCATTATGTTTTGCTAACTCATTATAATTCATAGAATCTTCCATAGATGTTTACCATCCAGGAAGGAGAAGTTTAAGTCTGAGCCACCAGCTTTCCTCAGTGGAAATCAAGTGAAGTCATCATCTTGCAGTTCACAGATCCTCTTTCCACCTGGTAGCTGGTTCTCTTGGGTAGCACTGTGGCTAATCCTTTTCTTGGTGCAGATCTTGCATTCTCAGAAACCACAGTTAGCTGTATTGACCGCCTTTTACTGAAACAGAGATGCACAGCTCTGCTTTCTAGCTCAGTAGAGGATTCTTGGAATATAAAGTTTAACTCATTCCAAGAAAAGGTCTTAGGAGTGCAGCACTTCAAAATCAGGTAATGTTCAGGCATTTTATCAGAGACACATAGTAGATTAGTATTTTGACTTTCAAAATTTCAGAGCCAAGTTGTGTGCTATAGAGAAGTCTTGTGGTATAGCATAGAGATGGGATGGTCTTAACTTCTCCAAACAAACAAGCTTGAAGTAAAGTAAAGGAGAAATTGCATTTGATTGCTTAACACTCAAAGCACTCTATGTTTATTTTACTTCTGTGAAGACTAAAAATCACTTCATAATGTTCTCCTTATTTCCTCATTGAGAAAAGGAAAATAAAAATTAAATACTAGATTGATTAATAAATACTGAAAGCTTATCTTTTAGAATTTTAGTTAATTCAAATCAGGTAAATATCTGATTTTGATTGTATAACCAAGTATTTCTAGTTTTTTTTCATACCATATGTCTTCTTCTTGCTTCCCAGTCTTATTTCCTAACTTGAGGGGAAACCTTAAGGAGACACCCTTGCCTTGTTATCAGAGTTCATAATTGAAGGAGTTTTAGGAAAAGTTTCTCCTCAGCAGCTTATGTCTCTGTCCTGGTTATCTGCTGCTTCTCAATAATGTTTGCCATCAATAAATTAACCTCAACATTTATTAGATCCTACTTTAAAGGAGACTCTTTTCTGCTGCATAAGTTATGTTTCCTGTTGTCTCTTTTTAAAACTTATTTTTCTAACAATTACCCAGAGTTTTGTGGCTTAAAAGAAAAATATTTATTTTGTTAATGAACCTGTGGTTTGGAAAAATCTTGGCTGGGACAGCTCATCTCTACTCCCCTCAGCTTCCCTAGGAACAGCTATCAGTTGGGGAAATGGAATCCTCTGAAGCGTTGCTCACCCACCTGTTTGATGGTTGATGCTGGCCATTGGCTGGAACCTTGGTTGGGACAGGCAGCATGAACACTGACACTGGCACTGCCAGGTTCTCTTTGTGGCCTGAGTGCTGTCACAATCTGGTGGCTGGGTTCCAAGGGAAAACAGTCTGAGATAGGTAAGCCACATGGTATCCCTTTTACTGCATTCTATTTATTAGGAGGAAGTCAGTAAGGTTGGCCCATATTCTGTTTTTTTAAATGGGATCAATGTAACTTCTCTTTTGTTTTAATTGACACACATGTACATAATTATGGGTTATAGAGTGATATTCTGATACATGTAAATAGGGTGTAATGATCAAGCTAACTAGCACATTTACTACAACCATTTTTCATTTCTTTGAATTGTGAACATTCACAATCTTCTGGCTTTTTAAAAATATACAATAAATCATAGTTAACCATATTCACCCTACAGTGCCGCAGAACACCAGAACTCCTTCTTATCTAACTGTAATTCTATATCCATTAACCAACCTACCTTCCCCTACTTCTTTGAGATTTTTGTTGTTGTTAAGAGACAGGGTCTTGCTAGTGTAGTCTGGGCTCTGGGCAACTGTAGTCACCCAGACGGGAGACAGTGGTTTGATCATAGTTCACTGCAGCCCCCAACTCTTGGGCTCATGTGATCCTCACACCTCAGCCTCCTGAGAAGCTAGGATTATGAGCATGCACCATTGCACCAGTCTGATTTTTGACTTTATAGAAATATCTCCCTATGCTGCCCAGATGCTCTGGAACTTTTGGCCTCAAGTGACTCTCCTGCCTTTGTCTTTCTAAGTGCTAGGAAATTACAGGCATCAGCCATGTTGCCCAGGCCTCAATTTTTCTTTAGCTCCCTCACAGGAGTGAGAATGTGCAGTATTTATCTTTCTGTGTCTGCACTTAACATAACATCCTCCAGACTGATCCACGTGGCCACGATGACGGGATTTAATTCCTTTATATGGTGAATAGTATTCCATTGTGTATGTGTGCCACAGTTTTTTGTCTTTTCATTTGGTGATGGATATGTAGGTTGATTCCATACATTAGCCGTTGTGAATAGTGCTACAATAAACATATGAGGACAGGTATCCTTTTGATCTATTGTTTTCTTTTCTATTGCCTGAATACCCAGTAGTGGGCTTGCTGGATCCCTCGGCAGTTCCATTATTAATTTTTTGAGGAAACCTCGTGTTGTTTTCTATAGTGGCTGCACTAATTTACCTTCCCACCAACAGCACGTAAGAGTTTACTGTTCTCTGGAACCTCTCCGGCATTTTTTTTTTTATCTTTTCAATGATAATAGTTTATTCAAGTTGAAGCAAGATTATATCATATTGTAGATTTGATTTGTGTTTCTCTGAGGGTTAGTGATCCTGAGCATTGTTAAATTTATTTATTGGCTATTTGTATTTCTTTTTTCTAAAAAAAAGTATAGTTAGATATTTTGCCCAATTTTGAACTCAGATTTTTTTTCACTGTCAAGTTGTTTGAATTTCTTGTACATTTTGGATATTAGTCCCTTATTAGATTAATAGCTTGATGATATTTTCTCCGATTCTACAAGTTTTCTCTTCACTCAGTTGTTAGCTGGACAGAAGCTTTTTAGCTTAGTGTAGTACCATTTGTCTATCATTTGTTTTTTGCCTATGATTCTGATATCTTACCCATAAAAATCTTTGTGCAGACTGTCCTCAAGAATTTTCCCTGTTTACTTATAGTAGTTTGATAATTTTGGGCCTTACATTTCAGTCTTCAATTGATTCTGAGTTTATGTTGTTATATGGTGTTACATAGGAAGCTAGTATCATTCTTCTCCATATGGATATTTAGTTTTCCCGGTGCCATTCATTTGAAGAGGCTGTCCTTTCCCCAGTGTATGTTCTTGCCACGTTCATCCAAAATCACTTGGCTGGAAATATGTGGATTTATTTCTGGGTGCTGTATTCTATGGCATTTACCCCAAGAATCATTACTTCTTAAAATGCAACTCAAATTAGCATGAAACATTTGCAGTTTAAGGAAAGGCTTATGGCATCAGAATACTTATTTATAGGATTCATTATTTTGTGTTTTTTTGAGATAGGGTCTTTGTCTGTCATCCAGGCAGAAGGGCAGTGATGTGGTCATAATTCACTGCAACCCTGAACTCTGGTACAAGCTATCCTTTTGCCTCAGTCTCCTAAATAGCTGGGTCTTCAGACATGAGCCACCATGCCTGGCTAATTTAAAAAAAATTTTTTTTGTAGAGATGGGGCCTCACTATGTTGCTCTGGCTGATCTCAAATTCCTGGCCTCAAGTAATCTTTCTGCCACAGCTTTTTAAAGTGCTAGGATTACAGGCATGAGCCACCATGCCTAGTATAGAGTGTTATATTATTTTCAAAGTCTTATTCCTAGAGCCATTTATTGACTTTGGCTTAAATAACTCAATGTGATATTTCTGAAACTTTTTTTGACATATTATGGGGAATGATAATGAGGGAAGGGGGATAGACACTTTTTACTAAGAGATAGCTTAGTGCCACTTAAGGAGGAATAAAAATAAATTATCAGAAAAATAAAAGTAAAATGAAGTGCAAAAGTTCTGTGGCAAAGATGATGATAGTTAAATAATGTATTTTTGTGACTCATGGTAGCTTTAACTTTGTTCTTAAAATTCTGAGTAATTTAAGGGTTCACATTTGAAGAATCTACTGCACTACACATAACAGTTTATTCCAAGTAAATGCATTTCAAAATTTGCTATTGATTTTGTATTAGATTATTCTCAGCCTACTTCATTATCAAGCTATACTATTTTATTCATGCAGTTTGATGATCTTACAGCAGAGAAGGAAGCTGTATCTTCAAAATATGTCAATTTGGCTAAAGACAATCAAGTTCTTCAACAGGAGTTATTATCTATGAATAAAGTACAACAGGAATGTGAAAAACTTGAGGAGGATAAAAAGATGTTGGAAGAAGAAATATTAAATCTTAAGACACATGGAAAACAATATGGTAGAACTTAGTAAACTACAAGAATATAAATTGGAGCTAGATGAAAGGGCAATGCAGGCAGTAGAAAAATTAGAAGAAATCCATTTACAGGTTAGTTTTTTAAATCAGTTAAGTTTATCTGTAATGTGGTTTCCTTTATTTCACTGCAAATTATATTTTGGATATGTGTATATTGTGTTTCCTCTGCCTCTCTTGTAGCAATTTACTTTGTAGAGTTTTAGAAAAAAAAGGCATCTGTTTTTTCTTTTAAATATTTAAATTTCCATTATTATTATAACAAAATCAACCTTTCAGAGTAATGATTCTTACTATGGAGTCATTTGATGATTAAGACCAGTTGGCATAAGAAAAAGTTGTGATTTAGAAATTATGTGATACTTTTGAATTGGTCTTAAGCTACATTGTTCGTTGATCACTTTTTAAAATTATGAATGGATTCTATTGCTTTTTTTATGACCAGATTACATTAATACTAACATAATTATGATTTCAAATTTTTATGAATCAGACTTAATTCTGAATTCAGTTATTAGTTTTGATACTACTGATAAACATTTTAAGCTTCAGCCTCTTTTTTTAACAGATTCAAAATTGCTCTTTGAATCACTGGCTCAAAATGAAAGACAACAAACATATAATAATTAGGTTATAATTGTTTTAAAAGTATATTCATTTGTTTTAGAAACAAGCACAATATGAAAAACAATTAGAGCAGTTAAACAAGGATAATACGGCTTCACTAAATATGAAGGAACTCACACTTAAAGATGTGGAATGTAAATTCTCCAAAATGAAAACTACTTATGAAGAGGTTACAACCAAATTAGAAGAATATAAAGAAGCCTTTGCAGCAGCATTGAACGCTAACAATTCCATGTCAAAAAAATTAACGAAGTAAGTCCAAACATACACTCATAGAAAATGAATTCAGCTCATTAATTTGTTTTGAAAGCATAATTTTTAGTGAGATGGCTTCAGAATATTAGTAGGAAGTGAATGCTAATTTGACAATGTAATTTTGGAAAATAATGTTAGTAAGTAATCTTACCTTTAAAATGTTAGTCAAGGATAGTTTCTGTCTCTCCTCTCATTTTTTTTTTTTTTTTTGCTTTTGTATGGCTTTTTTCCCCTGAAAAGTCTCTTGTAGTTAATCTGTTAGTTTTTTTTACTAAGTATTTTTGAAGCTTTATAATTAATAAAGTGATCTTGTTTTAAATTACTTGTCAGAATTTCCCTAAATAGTAATATTAATGAGTTTATTTTTCAGTAGATCACGACCTAAACCCAAGTGTCAAGTGGTACTGCTACTCTGGGCACAATCGTTTTTGATTGTGATCTTTAGTATTATCAATAGAAGGTGCCTCAAGAAAGACTATTTGTGTAACATATTCAAGATGTTATAGAAAGGCATCCTTATGAAATAGGGAACAATTATCACAGGAATTTAAAGAAGTGTAATTCACAAAGTGGTTAAAAAATAACACCTTGTTCAGTCTGAAGGGGTGTGTGGAGGGCAAAAAGAACAAGCCCCACCTCCAGTGCCTTGGTCACAGTGCTGGGGGCTAATTGCCTTCAGAGATGCTTTAGTTCTTTTTGATCAACAACCAAACAATCTAGTTCTCCCCTAGGAGTTGTTGCTCTGAATTATTCCTCATTACCAAATGTTTAATTGGTCCTAGATAATTGGTGAAATGTACAGGGGTGAAACCTAAAACTGGTTTACTAAACACAAGTATTCCTAGATTTTTTTTGTTCATTTTAGTTTTGTTAACCTACATTAAGGAGTACAACATGATGTTTTGATATAATTATTTCTAGTGAAGTGGTTCTTATAATCAAGCAAATCAACATATTCCTTTTCCCATGTTGTTACCCTTTAAATACAAGTATTTCAAATGGAATCTTCAGAATCTTACAAGTAGAGCCATTTTAGAAGGCAGCAAGTTTTATCTGTTGAGCCATACATCACTGGTAGCCATTTCTCTTCCCTGTCTACTTTGTTTGAGCTGCTTGTTCAGTATAAATCACCTTAGAAACAAAGGTGCTTCTTTAGAATGATTTTCAAAGTATAATTCCTTACAACAGGTATGCTCTCACACATCTTCAGTGTGAAAACACTGTTTAGTGGGTAATTTGGTTTACTCTCAGGGCAAGTTTTTAAAAACTACGAGTCATTAAGAATCATTTAAGGAAAAATGAAATACTAAGCATTTGTCTTTGCTATCTTTACAGATCTAATAAGAAAATAGCAATGATCAGCACCAAGCTCCTTATGGAGAAAGAGTGGGTGAAATATTTTCTCAGCACTCTTCCTACAAGGCGAGGTCAAGAGTCACCTTGTGTTGAAAATCTTACTAGTATAGTACTCAACAGTAAATATATTCCCAAAATGACCGTAAGAATTCCTACTTCAAACCCTCAGACCTCAAATAACTGCCAGAACTACTTGACTGAGGTTAGTTATATGACCGTTTCTCTTTAGGGTTTCATTTCTCTAGTGTAATTCTTGTTTTTAATTTGGTGAAATACTCAGTTGTTCTGTTGACTTTTGCATGTTAAGTAAAGATCATAATTAGCTGTGTTAACACAGAAAGGAAATGGGAACTTTACATTTTTTAATTCTCTGGAGCTCTCATTTTTGAGAGATATCCATTTGCTAACTTTATTCAATAAATGTGACTAAACTGACACATTTAAAATGTCTTTAAAAGCTGCATTTAAGTTAGGTTTTAGAAATTGCATGTTATTGTCTTATAACTGATGATATACTTTGAGATACTTTGGCTTACTCTCTAGTTGATTGTAGTTTAGCTGTGGTTCATACCACATTTTTTTTTCTTTTTTTTGAGGCAGTGTCTCACTTTGTCACCCAGGCTGGAGTGTCATGGTGCCATCTCCACTCACTGCAACCTCCACCTCCCGGGTTCAAGTGATTCTCCTGCCTCAGCCTCCCAAGTAGCTGAGACTACAAGCACCCACCATTACACCCAGCTAATGTTTGTATTTTTAGTAGAGACAGGGTTTCACCATATTGGCCAGGCTCTTCTTGAACTCCTGACCTTGTGATCTGCCTGCCTCAGCCTTTCAAAGTGCTGGGATTACAGGCATGAGCCGCCGCACCTGGCCCATGTTACTTTTAAAGTTTCTTTGCACAGCCAGGCATGGTGGCTCATGCCTGTAATCCCAGCACTTTGGGAGGCCAAGGCAGGTGTGTCACGAGGTCAGAACTTCAAGACCAGCCTGGCCAAGATGGTGAAACCCTGTCTCTGCTAAAAGTACAAAAAAAAAAAAAAAAAAAAAAAAAAGCCGGGTGTGGTGGTGGGCACCTGTAATCCCAGCTACTAGGAAGGCTGAGGCAGAGAATTGCTTGAACCTGGGAGACAGAGGTTGCAGGAGCTGAGATCGCACCACTGCACTCCAGCCTGGGTAACAGGGCAAGACTCCGTCTTGAAAATAAAAAATTTAAAAAAAGTTTATTTGCATCATCTCAACTCTTCCCACCCATAATCACAACTGAATGATTGACATCCAAACACTTTACCACATATGGATGTTTATTATTTAGTAGAATCCAAAATAATTGCATTTTATGAATTAAACCAAACACTAAAATGTTCATTTCCATTTTTATGTTAAAAGCTTTGTGCTTGGCCAGGCACGGTGGCTCACACTTGTAATCCCAAAATTTGGGGAGGCTGAGGCAGGTGAATCACCTGAGGTCAGGAGTTTGAGACCAGCCTGGTCAACATGATGAAACCTGTCTCTAGTAAAAATACAAAAATTAGCAAGGCATGTTGGCAGGCATGTGTAATCTCAGATACTCAGGAGGCTGAGGCAGGAGAATCACTTGAACCCAGGAGACAGAGGTTGCAGTAAGCCAAGATCATACCACTGCACCACAGCCTGGGTGATGGAGACTCCGTCTCAAAAAAAAAAAAAAAAAAAAAAAAGGCTTGTGCTTTTCTTACATAAGAGTACATCTTCTGACTATAAAAATCCTGGAAGAAAACCTAGGAAATACTCTTCTAGACATCATATTTGTCAATTTATGGCTAAGTCCTCAAAAGCAATTGCAAGAATAACAAAAATTGACAAGTGTGATCTAATTTAGCTAAAGAGCTTCTGCACAGCACGAGAAACTATCACGGGATTAAACAGACAGCCTAAAGAATGGAAGAAAATATTCACAAACTATGGGTATAGCAAATGCCTATTATCCTATTATCCAGAATCTATAAGAGACCTAAACAAATCAACAAGCAAAAAATAAATAACACCATTAAAATTGGGCAAAGGACATGAACAGACACTTCTCAAAATAACACATGTAAGTGGCCAACAAACATTAACAAATGCTTACCATTGCTAATCATCAGAAAAATGCCAAACAAAACGTCAGTGAGATACCATTTCACACCAATCAGAATGACTTTTATTAAAAAGTAAAAAAAAAAAAAAAAAAAAAGATGTTGGGGAGGCTGTGGAGAAAAGGGAACACACACCGTTTGTGGCAATGTAAATTAATTCAGCTACTATGGACAGCAGTTTGGAAATTAAGAACTAAGAATGACCATTGGATGCAGCAACCCCGTTACTATACTAGGGGTATACTGAAAGGACAATAAATAATTGTAACAAAAAGATGCATGAACATGTATGTTCATTGCAGCATTATTCACAATAGCAAAGACATGGAGTCAATCCAAGTGCATCCAAGGTAGATTGAAAATCCAAGGTAGATTGGAAAATTCCATATATACCATGGAATATTAAGCAGCCATAAAAAGAACAAAATCACATCATTTGCAGCAACATGGATACAGCTGGAATCCACTCTCCTAAGCAAACCAATGCAGAAACAGAAACCAAGTATCTCATGTTTTCACTCATGTGGAAGCTACACATTGGGTGCACATTGTCATAAACATGGGAATAATAGACACTAGGAAATAAAAGCAGGGAGGGACAGAGTGGGCCAGGGTTGAAAAATTACTTACTGGGTCCTACGCTTACTACCTGTGTGATGGGCTCAACTGTACTGCAAACCTCGGCATCCCTCAATATGCCTTTGGAAGAATCCTACAGAGGTACCACCTAAATTTAGAATACAAACTAAAAAAAAAGAAAAGAAAAGTTTACTATAAGTAGAGAATAGAAATTTCTTTTTAAGATAAAATTTATTGAAGTAAAAAATGGATTAAACTTTTTATAAAGGGCAGAGTTTTCTCAGAATTTCAAAGCAATGCATTCATTGCAAAAGATGGCTTTAATTACTTAATCTTTTTTTTTTTTTTTTTTTTTTTTGAGACAGGGTCTCACTCTGTCACCAGGCTGGAGTGCACTGGTGCAGTCTTGGCTCACTGCAACCTCCATCTCCTGGCTTCAAGCAATTCTCCTGCCTTAGCCTCCCAAGTAGCTGGGACTACAGGTTCGCATCACCACGCCCAGCTAATTTTTGTATTTTTAGTAGAGATGGGGTTTCCCCATTTTGGCCAGGATGGTCACGATCTCCTCACCTTGTGATCTGCCTGCTTTGGCCTCCCCAAGTGCTGGGATTACAGGTATGAGCCACCATGCCTGGCCATTGTTTAACCTTTGTACTAATAAAACACTACCTTTCTAAAATCATGTATATGCAATAGATCAATATTAACTGTATTTTTGTCCGATTACTCTAAACAGCATTACACATATACATCCTCTGTTACCTAAACTTAAAATAAGTAGAAATTTTACTTTATTTATGTGATTATTTTTCTATTTAAGCAAACTTCAAGTTATGTCTAGTCACTAAAAATACTAAAGGCCACATTTTGTAAATGATACATTATTTTCATGATAATGTTTCTTGTTTAACTTAAACATTATTATTATTTTTACTTATTTTAGATGGAGCTGGACTGTGTAGAACAAATAATTAGAGAAACAAAGAGAAGTATGTTGCCAAAATTTATTAATTAAATTTAGGTTTATTTTAGAAATAAAGTGTAAATAGCAAATGGCATTCCTTTTCATTCTTGGGTTAGTAGATACTACGTCAAGTATTTTTTTTCTTACACACATCTAATGAAAGATGTGAAAACAAAAACTTTCACAGAGAAGACTGTACTTATGCACCATAAATTCATCATGTTCTGTAGCTTAAAAAATTCCCAAGAAGTCTGTGCATCTCTTTTTCACTGGCTCTACACTTTCTTAAGTTTTGCCATCCTCATGGAACTGTCAGCCAGCACACCGAAACGATTCTCAGAAAACACAGGCATCATCAAGTTCTCAGGGTTTTGGTAGAAATTGAAGGTCAACAGACCTCAGACTCATTCAGAAATGCTTAGTTGAGCCATAACCCTTCATAAGCAGTCACTTGACAGGTGACATTTTAAATCTCCTGTCATTTACTGTGTCATTGGCTTACACTTGTTCTCAGGAAACATTCCAGATTTTTCACCATGAAATAAAAACACCCATGTCAATGTAATTCTTGTCAAGTTACTCAGCCTTGTCTCTCACCACTTACTGCACTCTGCCCTTTGCTCTAGCCCAAACTGGATGGAGTGGAACTCTGCAGGGCTCTTCCTCACCTCAGGCTCTTTGCCTTTGCCTCTTCCCTCTATCTGGCAAGCTTTTCCTTGTCTTTCAGGTATCAACCTATGTTATCTCCTCCATCAGAAAGCCCATGATATTGACATAAAAGTGGGTAGGTGTCCCTTCTGTGTTTTCCAGCAGTGCCCTGCTGTATACATGTCGTGGTATCTATGACTCTATATGGACATTACCTGCCTGTCTGTTTTTTTAGGTTATAGCATATGACTGTTGAGAGGTGGACCACACCATCTTCATCTTGTAATTCCAGTGCTGGTTCTAGTACCTTGGCACATGGCTGTTGATTACATGAATGAAGAATGAAAAAGCTCTGATGTTTAAACACAATTAGAATTAATGCCATGTGTAAATTATTAAATAGTAATTTTGTATTGTAAATGTACATACATATTTCTCATACTTATTAACTCTGATAAAGTTCACAACTCTTTAGTTTTTAAACTCACACTAGTTAACTGAAGTGTTTTAGGTAAAGGACATAATTCTTTATTTTTCTTTCTAGCTGTTGCTGTGTTGGACACTTGCTCCCATCTATTTTCTTCTCTAGAATCCACTGGTAAGCCACATCTAATGAAGAGAATATTTAACCATAAAGTTTTAAGGAAAAATTGTATGATTTAAAAGATTATAAAACTTTATTACTGGGCTATTTACACATTTTAATTGTTTCTCATAAAATATATAACATTACAATATTTATGGAAGTAGGATATTTTTGTATCATATGTACGATGATAATTTATAGGGTATTTTAAATGATGTTTTTTAGCCTCCTTAAGTTTTAAGTGGATCTTGCAAATGAAAACAAGTATTATTGAGTTTGACATACTCAAATTGCCCAAATATCAGCTGTTTAAACAACCAAGTCATCATTGATACTTTAGTAAAGGTTAGTAAATGTCATCAAAGGCTTATTTGCAGTTTACAGTTTTTATTACTTAGGAGACTTAAGGAGTACCTGCCAGGTTTGTCCATGCTAATGCTACGATTTTGTTTTTGTAGTTCAACCATATTTTGTATGGAGATACTTTGAGGCTCTGTAAATTTCTGGTTACTCCTCAGAACCCACTAGATTTAGCATTTCATGGATGACTTGTGTTTGAACAATTATTACTATAATGGTTGCCAGATGATTATTTTCTTATTCTCTTCTTTGTTCTACATGGAGAAATAAAACCAATAAATAAGGGAGAAGGAAAGCTCATGATTCTGATGCTCCAATTCCCCAAGATTAGGCCAGTGGTAGACATTCCAAGCTGACTTGATGTGTTTTTGATTTGTCTCCATTACTCTGTCAGCACTTTTTTACTTTCTGGCACAAGATGTTCTAAGCTAATCTTGTATTTTCTCTGCCACAGCCCTGGAATGAGTCATTTTTTTTAGAAGCAGAGGTGGAGCCACTGAGGAAGCACAGGCGAGCCCTCCCCAGCGTGTACTCACTGGTCCCCAACAGAAGAACAGCTGCCGCATCCACTGAGGTACCAAGAAACTAGCAAAGGGCCTTCTGGCTGTCTGGGGACAGTCCTCATGTGGTCCCTGGCTCAGCCTCAGAGGTTCTGGATTAGTCTTCCTGTAGCCTCTGTGCTGTCTTTAGATCGGGGCTCTGTGGGAAGGGCCCTGGGAGACCCAACAGCACAGGGTGTCTCATCTGCCAAATGTCCCTCCCTTCCTAACACTCTGACACTCAGGAATAGGGTAGATGGCGTGTCCAGGCAGTGCCAGGCCACCTCACTGTCTCCTTTGAGATGGGCCCAGAGGGCCTTTAGGGTGAGTGTGGAGCTGGGAACCTGGAGCCTGAGGCTGACTGTCTCTCCCTGTGTCTTGGAGGAAAGGCCATTTCCCAAAACAAACCGCAGGGCCTGACCTCTGAGCACACATGCAGGGAGGGAGGGTCTGTGAGCTGAGGGGGACATTGTAATAAGACTTTGAGCATGACTGCTCAGGGGCCTGGTCAGTGGCCCATGGTCAGAGGTGACCTGGTCATCAGGACCTAGTCATTTGGGACCTCATCAGCAGGTGCCTGGTTAGTGGTGGGCTCCTCAGTAAAGGCCTCATCAGTGGGGACCTGGTGACCTAGTCATTGGAAGCCTGGTCAGTGGGGGGACCTAGTCAGTGGTGGCCTTATTAGTGGGGCCTGATTGGTTGGAACATAAACAATGAAAAACTGGTTGGTGGGGCATATATAGTATACCAGGGGCCTGGTCAGTGTGGGGCCTTGGTGGCTTGGAGCCTGGTCAGTGAGGGCCTGGTCAGAGGTGGCTTGGTCAGCTGGGGTCTCATCTATAGAGAATTGTTCAGTGGGGGGTCGGCTGAGCAGCAACCTGGTAAATAGTGGTCTTGTCAGTGGGAACCCGGTCTTGTCACTGGGGACCAGGTCAGTGGAAAATTGGTCAGTGGAGTCTGGCCCATGAGGCCTATTAAGTGCGGGCCTGGTTAGGAAGACATGGTCAGTGGGGACTTGATCAGTGGGACCTGGTCAATGGAGGAGTGGTCATTAGGGGCCTCATCACTGGGAACCTGGTCAGCGGCGGTTGGTCAGTACCTGGCCCGCTGGCCACTGTGTGACCTCAGGTAGGGGGTTTGTCTGTGGAGCCTCATGTCCATCTGCAGGGAAGGTGAGTCAGGGCACCCTGGAGGGTGGCTGGAAAGAGAAGGTGAGAAGATGTGTTGAATCCAATACTGCTTGGCAGACCTACAACTTTACAAATGACCTGTGTTCCACCTAGAGAGGGTGCCAGCCCTCTCAGCATTATGCAGTGCCCCTCCTCTGTCTGCATCCCCAGGACCACCATGGGTGGGGAGGTCAGAGATTGGGGAGCACCTATAGAGGCTCTAATGCTCTAAGGTGACAGTGATGAGGACCTGGGTGCACCCATGAGTGGAGAAGCTAGGCCTGTCCAGAGAAGCAAGACAAACACACACATATGTGCGCGCACACACACACACACAGGCACACATGCATACACAAACACATTGCATGCACACATGTCAGTTCAGGGGATAGAGGACACTGACTCTGGGCCCTGTTGACCCAAGCAGGCTTCCATTGTGGTGGGTTGTGTCACCCCACAATGTCACTGTTGCTGAGTCTCCATCGCCTCTGTGTTGTGGAGCAGTTAGAGACACACAGCAGTGTCTGTGAGTGGCTCTGTTGAAGGACCGTTTTCTAGATGAGAGGCACATCTCAACACAGCTCACTGATCAGACTCAGGTGAGTGGGACCTGCTCTCCTCTCTTCCTCCTGGCTTGGGGACAGTCACTATCAGGTGGGTGGTTTTGGCCTCTGGGCAGCTACTGAGGGGAATCCCTGAACACTCACCGGGTGCCTGTTCTGTGCTGACGGTCGTCTCATTCATCCTCGCAGCAATTCCATTCTGCATCTTTTCTCATCACCTCCGTGACCACCCAGGACAACCCCATCAGGGCCCTGTCACCAGGCCCAGTCCAGCTCCATGATAACCAAGACACAGGTCCAGAGACAACCATCCTGCATCATGCCTGCATCTGAACCCCCTTGGTGGGTAGTGACCAGCATAACATGGAAGAAGCCAGGGCAGCATGCGGCCAGCTGCTCTGCAGCCCCAGATGGCTCCTGGGCCTTGGGAAGTCATTCTTAAAGGGGAAGCTGGTCACTTTGAGGTCCCTGAAGGGAAGGGTGAATGTGCATCCCAACAGCCCTGGCAGCCAGCAGCATGCCATACATCTTCTCACCCAACCTGTGTGACAGAGGGCCCCTCCTGGGGCACAAGTCCCATACCTAAAGCATCCTGTCCCAGTTGGACCTCATCCTGAGCCCTGGGAGGGGAGGGGCATCATGGGCCCCCCTGCAGCAGCCAGGATTACCACCCAGGGGACTTGGCCTTCTGTGGCCCTGGCCAGACTTAGAATTTGGCCCAAGACAAGACAAACTCACTCGGAGCAGCTTTTCAGTACCCGGGACCTGTGCATGCCAGGCGAGGCCAAGCTGGCTCAAAGAGCAACCAGCCACCTCTGCAAGGGTGTGCCAGGAGCAGGTGGACTAGCCACCAACCTCCCCTACTCAGAGGAAACAGGGATGGCCAGGTTCCCACAGCCTGAGCGACCACCACCTGACAGCTGATGGAGCAGAGGCCTGAGGAAAAGCAGATGGCGCTGGGGCTCTACCTCCAGGGCAGAATAACTGATTTATCCTGACTGGCAGGGAGTGAGGTTGGTGGCTGGTCCACCGGCTCCTGGCACACCCTTGCAGAGGTGGCTGGTTGCTCTTTGAGCCAGCTTGGCCTCGCCTGGCATGCACAGGCCTCAGTGCAACAAATGTGCTGCAAATGGAGCCACACAGAGGAAATGAGCAGCAGGCTCAGGAGCGGGGTGTGCGCTGCCTTTGGGGCTCCATTCCATGCATCAGGGCTTCTACAGCACCGTGGGCTTCTTGGATGCCAAGAGGCAGACCACAGGCCATCTTGAGAAGGACTCTGGTAAGAGCTTACTTGGGTATGTGGATGATGTCCAGGGTGTTGGCCTGGTGTCCCTGAGACAGCATTAACAGGTCCATGACTGGGTCCAGGTCCTGCCTGGGCTGATTGGCAAAGAGCTCACTGACAATGTGGAAGGCATCTATGGTGAAGTAGTGTCTATGTTCAAGTGCAGAAAGGGCCCAATCTGGTGGATGAACCACACGGCCAGCTTCTGGATGCAGGCACAGTGCCACATTTTTTGTCACTTCTGATGCGCCCCACCAGCACCGAAGAGACAGCCTGGAGACAGGGCAAGAGGAAGGCTGAGAAGGATGAGTTGGTGAGTGCCAGATTCTTCCTGGCCCTGAGCCCACCCCCAGGGCGACACTCAACCTTTAGGAGTGGGAGAGCAAGATTGACGGCTTCCAGTGCTTCACCAAGAAGATGGACAACAGGGCACTCAGCTCAACTTCACAGCCAATGAGTGGTGACAGGCCTTAAGAAAGAGCATCAGAAGGCCGCCAGTTCTTCTTCAGCCTCAGCCAGGCCTTGGAGCTGGACCAGGCCATTCACTTCAGTATAGAGATCTTCCACACTGTCAGTGAGGTCTTTGCCAATCAGTCCAGGCAGGACCTGGACCCAGCCATGGACCTGTTGGTGCTGTCTCAGGGACACCAGACCAATATCCTGGACATCATCCACATACACAAGGAAGCTCTTACTAAAGTCACGGAGAGCAGACAACAAGTGGCAGAAGGGAAGATAGACGTGCAGAGGCTGATGATGTCAGAATCACAGGAACAGGATTTCTTTGGCCACTTTGGCTGAAATTCACCACTTCCATCCAATTCCAGTGAGAGACATGGACTCACAGATGCAGCATTTCTTGCAACAAGAGATACTACTTTTTCAAAAAGTCACCCAGGAATTGATAGTGTTGAATGACTCGATACTCCATCGTGGACTGTTTCCAGTTCAAAGGTACTTTCTACAGCATAATAATAACACTAGCAAAGAGCTAGTACAAGGATGGTTTTGTGCTCAACTGAAATCCAGCTGAATACAGAATTGTATAGGAAACAGTTAATATGGTGATAGAATAGAAACAGTAGCAAATGTGAACTAAATCATGCTATGAATGCCTAAACTACGCTGTAACTTTTGGAACAATGATAATACCACTTTATTGCGTTTTGAAGTATGAATATTTTAGTGTATGTACTCTAGACCTCAAACCCTATAAAGAGTCTCAAAGAAGTTGGCTGGATAAAGCCTGCTGTGGACGTCTTTATATTCAAAGATTGATGATGCATTTCGAATATGTGTCCACACCGAATCTCATGTTGAGTTATATTTCCTAATGTGGAAGGTGGATCCTGCTATAAGGTGATTGAATTATGAAGGCAAATTTCTCATGAATGGTTCAGCACCATCCCCTTGTACCATCCTCACAATAATGAGTGACTTCTCATGAGATCTGGTCACTGAAAACTCTATGTCACATCCCTACTCTCTGCGTTTTCCCCTTGCCATGTGAGACAACTGATTCTTTCTTTGCCTTCCATGATTATTGAAAGATTTCTGAGGCCTCCTAGAAGCAGAAGCACTGTGCTTAGAACCATGGGACAATTAAACCTCTTTTTCAAAATAAATCATACAGAAAATGGCAAATGAAGACTGGAGCTTGCTATAAAGATACCTGGAAATGTGGAAGCAGCTTTGGAACCAGGTAATGGATGGAGGTTGGAAGAATTTGGAGGGCTCAAAAGAAGATAGATAGATGAGAAAACTTTTGGACCATCCTAGAGACTGGTTCAATGGTTGTGACAAAAATCCTGACAGAAACATGGACAGTGAAGGCCAGGCTGAAGAGGTCTCAGAGAGAAATAAGAAGCTTTCTGGAAAATGTCTTCCTTTTGGATATGGAAAGCTTACACAATGCCTGTACCATCATTGTACCTTAGAAGCAGTGAACTTGCTTTTTATTTCAGAGACTCATAGGCAAAAGAGACTGTAGCCTTGATCCAGATGACACTTTGGACTTCGTAACTTTGAGTTAATGCTGAAGTGAGTTAAGACTTTGGGAGACTGCTGGCAAGGCATGATTGTATTTTGCAATGTGAGAAGGATATGAGATTCGTGGGGTCAGGGACAGAATAATATGGCTTTTCTCTATGTCCCTACCAAAACTCATGTGGAATTATATTCTGTAATGTCAGAGGCGGGGCCTAGGTGGAAAAAGATTTAGTCATAAAATGGTGCAGGTAGATCCTTCACGAATGATAAAGGACCATCACCTTGATAAAGGACCATCACCTCCTGATAGTGAGTGAGTTCTCATGAGATCTGATTCCTTAACAGGCTGTGGAACCTCTTTCCTCACTCTGTCTTCCTCCTGCTCCTGCTTTAGGAGGCATCTCATTTTCCCTTGGCTTTCTGATATAATGAGGAGGCTTCCTGATTCCTCCCAGAAACAGAAGACACTATGCTTTCTTCACAGCTTGCAGAACCATGAGTCAATTACACCTCTTTTATTTACAATAATACAGAAAATTAGAACTGCAGAGAAGAGCTGTGAAATGTCTTCAAGGCCTTTTTCCCTTTGTGTTGGCTATTAGCACAGGGCTTCTTTATATGCAAATTTCTGAAATCTTCTTGAATTTTTCCCCTTAAATGGGATTTTTGTTATTGCTACATAGCCAACCTGCTAAATAAATATCTGAAAAAGTAAAAGCAGGCTCAGTAGTGGGTAGCAAACAAAGATTGGAAGGGTTTGGAGGGATAAGAGTATGAGAGGGAGTGGGAGGGAGTGATTTAATCATGGATGGGTGGGGGTGGATGTGGAAGGGAAAAAGGGGTGGGTACGGTGGGAGGGAGTAGACTGGCTGTAGGGTGGTGGGAGGGTGGTGGGTAGTAGGAAGGGGGAGTAGCCTGCTGCAGAGCAGAGCCTCATGGAAAACCCCTACTAGGGCAGTGCACCTGTGGCTTTGCAGGTTTGAGACCCATGGCTGCTCTCATGGACTGGACTAGTGTTGAGTGACTGTAGATTTTCCACACAGAGAGTGCAAGCTGTTGGTGGGTCTATGAGTCTGGGGTCTGGAGGGTGGTAGTCCCCTGTGTGGGGGCTCCAAGTCCATATTTTCCTAAAGCACTGCCCTAGTAGAGGTTTTCCAAGAACTCTGCGTCTGCAGCAGGCTTCTGCCTGGAAACATTGGGAGGTGGGGGTGGGAGGCAGATCCTTCACCAATGGTTAGGCAGCATCTTCTTGGCGCTGTCCTCATGATAGTGTGTTCTCATGAGATCTGGTTATATAACAGGGTGTGGCACCTCTTTCCTCTCTCAGTCTTGCTTCTACTCCTGCCATATGAAACATCTCCTTGCCCCTTGGCCTTCTGGTATGATTGGGAGGCTTCCTGATCCTCCCAGAAGCAGAAGCCACTATGCTTCCTTTACAGCCTGCTGAACCATAAGCCAATTAAACCTCTTTTCTTTATGATCATACAGAAAATTAGTGCTGTGAAGTGGAGCCATGAAATGCCTTCAAGGCCCTTTCCCCTTTTTCTTGGCAACCAGCACTCAGCTTCTTTTCATGGAAATATCTGAAGCCTTTGTGAATTTTCCCCCTGAAAATGGACTTTTCTCTTTTACCACATTGCCAGGCTGTGATAAAGATTGCTGACAATGTAGAACCAGGTTCAGAAGTGGGTAAAGGACAGAGGTAGGAAGACTTGGGAAAGCTTAGAAGACAACAAGATGAGGAAAATATTGGACCACTATAGAGAACTGTTAAATACTTGTGATCAGAAGGCTGAGAAAAGGGTAAACACTGAAGTCCAGACTTAGAAGTTCTCAGATGAAAATGAGGAATTTCCTATAAACAGGGGCCAAGATTACATTTGATTGGCCTTAGCAAAGGACGTGGCAGCACAGGGACCCTGCCCTGGAGATCTGTGAAACTATGAACTTGGGGGTGATGATTTAGGATGTATCTGGTGAAATGAACATCTAGGCAGCATAGCACAAGAGGTGTCCTGTCTGCATTGAACAGCCTGTGTTCTTATGTGTGACCTAAGAAATAACTTCAAGTTGGAACTTCAAGTGGAGATCTAAAATTTGGAAAATTTGGAGCCTGGCCAAGTGGTCAAAAAGAAAAGCCGATTTTGAGGGGGAAAATTCAAGAAGGCTTAGGTTATTTCCATAAAAAGGAACGCAGTGCAAACAGCCAAGACAGTGGGAAACTGGCCTTGAAAGTATTTTAGAGACCTCTGCAGCAGCCCTTGCTGTCACAGACCATGGGGTCTAGGAGAGAAGAATGGTTTCCTGGGCCAGTCCCATGGTCCTGCTGCTGTGCTCAACCACAGGACACTGCTGCCTGCATCCCTGCAGCTCCAGCACCAGCCGTGGCTGAAAGATGCACAGGTACAGCTTGGGTCATTGCTTCAGAGGTGGCTCAAAGCCTTGATGGTTTCCACATAGTGTTAAGCCAGTAGGTGCACAGAGAAAGAGACTAGAGGCTTGGGAGCTCCTGTCTAGACTCCAGAAGATGTACAGAAAATCCTGGATGTCCAGGAAGAAGCTTTTCCAAGAGGCATAACCTCATGGGGAACCTCTACTAGGGGAGCAAAGAAGAGACTTATAGGGTTAAAGCCCCCACAGAGGGAGGCATCATTCTCCAAACCCCAGATTCATAGACCCACAAACAGCTTGCACCCTCAGTGTGGAAAAGCTATGGGCACTCAACAAGAGCCCTGTCCATGAGAGACAGCCGTGGAGGCTGAACGCTGCCAAGCCACAGGTCAGATCTGCCCAAGGCCTTGGGAGCTCAGCCCTCACAGCCCTGTGCCATGGATGTGGGACAAGGATTCAAAAACGATGATTTTGGAGCTGTAGGATTGAGTCACTGGTCTGCTGGGTTTTGGACATTTATGTATCCTATGAGTCCCATCTGTGTTTTGGGCTTCTTTCTAGCAATTTTTTTTTCTGATGCCTGGGAATGCTTACCCATTGCCTGTACAATCATTTACCTTGGAAGTAGTAAACGTGCTTTATAACTCAGTGGCTCATGGGCAGAAGGGAGTGTAGACTTGTCTCAGATGAGACTCTGGGCTTTGGGCATTTGAGCAAATGCTGGAATGAGTTAAGATTTGAGAGACTCTAGGGAAGGCATCATTGCATTTTGCAATGTGAGAAAGACATGAACATTGGGGGACCAGGGACAGAATAATATGTTTTGGCTCTCTGTCTCTACCAAAGCTCATGTGGAATGTTAATGGGAAATGTTAAATGTGGGGGCTGGTGGAAGGTGATTTAATCATGATGGAGAGAGGAGGTTGGATGGTGGGGGTCGGGGAGGGTTGGGGGTGATTGGGTGGTGAGGAGGGTTGGAGGGGATTGTGGTGGGGTTGGGGGTATAAGGCGGGCTGGGGTGCATCCTTCACAAACGGTTAAACACCATCTCCTTAATGCCGTCCTTCTGATAGTGAGTTCTCTTCATGATTTTGGAGCTGTGAGATTGAACGAACACTGACCTGTGGGATTTTGGATGTCCATTGGGCCTGTGGTCCCATTTGTGTTATTTTTCTTGGAAATTTCTTCCCTTTGGATTGAGAAAGGTTACCCAATACGTGTACCATCATTGTACCTTGAAAGAAACGAACACCCTTTTAACTTCAGGGACTCATAGGCAGAAGAGACTGTGGCCTTGTCTCAGATGAGACTTTGAACTTTTTACATTTGAGTTAATGCGGGAATGAGTTAAGGCTTTTGGAAACTTTGAAAAGGCACAATTGTATTTTCTTCTGTGAGAAGGATATGAGATTTGGGGGGGTCAAGGTCAGCATAATATGATTTGGCTGTGTGTCCCTGGAAAATCTCATGTGGAATTGTAATCCCAAATGTTGGAGGTGGGGCCTGGTGGGAGATTATTTAATCATGGGTGGGAGGGTTAGCGGTGGAAGAAAAAAGGGGTGGGTAGGGTGGGGAAGAGTAGGCTGGCTGTAGGGTGGTGGGAGGGTGGTGGGTAGTAGGAAGGGGGAGTAGCCTGCTGCAGAGGCAGCGGCTCATGGAAAACCTCTACCAGGGCAGTGCGCCTGTGGCTTTGCAGGCTTTAGCCCCCATGGCTGCTCTCATGGGCTGGGCTGCTGTTGAGTGCCTATCACTTTTCCATACTGAGGGTGTGAACTTTTGGTAGGTCTATGAATCAGGGATCTAGAGGATGGTGGCCTCCTGCATAGTCACTCAAAGCCCTTATTTTCCTTGTGCACTGCCATAGTACAGGATTTCCAAGAGCCTCTGCCTCTGCAGCAGGTTTCTGTCTGGAAAGGTAGGGGGTGGAGATGTGTTGGGGGGCGGATCCTTCACCAATGGTTAAGCACCATCTTCTTGATGCTGACCTAGTGATAGTGAGTTCTCATGAGATCTGGTTATAGGATGGTGTGGCACCTCTTTCCTCTCTCAGCCTTGCTCCTACTCCTGCTTAATGAAACATTTCATTGCTGTTTTCCTACTGGTATGACATTTCCCCATCGTCTTGGCTATTAGCACTCACTTCTTTTTAATGCAAATATCTGAAGGCTTCTTGAAGTTTCCCTCTGAAAATGGACTTCTTTTTCTTCTGCATTGCCAGGCTGCAACAAAGATAGCTGAAAATGTAAAGCAGGTTCAGAAGTGGGTAACAGCCAGAGGTTGGAGAGTCTGGAGATCTTGAAAGAAGACAGGAAGATGAAGGAAAGTTTGGACCATTGTAGGCACTTGTCAAATAGTTGTGATTAAAAGGCTGGCAGAAGGATGGAAGTGAAGGCCAGGCTTACAAGGTCTCAGATGAAAATGAGGAACTTACTGGGAACGGGAGCCAAGGTTACCTTTTGTTTTGCTGTAGCGAAGAACATGGCTGCAGGACGACCTTGCCCTCAAGATCTGTGAAACTTTGAACTAAAGGGTGACGATTTAGTGCATATCTGGTGGAATGAACTTCTAGGCAGCATAGCACAAGGGGGGGTCCTGTCTGCATCAAACAGCCTGTGCTCTTACGTGTGACCGAGGTTATGTGTGACCGAGGAAATGACCTCAAGTTGGAACTTATATTTAAATGACAAGCAGAGCTCAAAAGTTTGGAACATCTGCAACCTGGCCAAGTGGTCAAAAAGAAAAGCTGATTTTCAGGGGGAAAACTCATGAAGGCTCCAGAAACTTGCATAAAATGGAGGCCAGTGCTAATAGCCAAGACAATGGGGGAAAAAGCCTTGGAGACATTTCAGAGATGTCTGCAGCAGCCCTTGCTGTCAGGCCCTGGGTCCTAGGAGAGAAGAATGGTTTCTTGGGCGAGCCCCATGACCCTGCTGCTGTTTGCAGCCTCAGGACACTGCTGCCTGCATCCCTGCAGCCCCAGCTCCTGCTCTGACCTTGGCTGAAAGATGCACAGGTACAGATTGCATCACTGCTTCAGAGGGAACAGGCTATAAGGCTTCATGGCTTTCACATAGTGTTAAGCCCGCGAGCGCACAGAGCACTAGCCCAGAGGCTTCTGAGCCTTCATATAGATTTCGGAAGACGTATGAAAATGCCTGGGTGTCCAGACAGAAGGCTGCCAAAAAGCAGAGCCTCCTGGGAAACCTCTACTAGGGCAGTGCAGAAGGAAAATATGGGGTTGGAGCCCCACAATGGAGGCCAGCATCATGCAGACCCCAGATTCATAGACCCACCAAGAACTTTGTACCCTCTGTGGGTAAAAACTACAGGCAGTCAACACCAGCACAGCCCATGAGGGCAGCTGTGGGGATGGAACACTGCGAAGCCACAGGTAGAGAAATGCCCAAGGCCTTGGGAACCCCGCCCTCATACCCTTGTGTCCTGGATGTGGGACAAGGATTAAAAAAGGATGACTTTGGAGCTGTAGGTTTGAATAACTGGCCGGCTGGGTTTTAGATTTTCATGGGACCTGTAAGTCCCTTTTCTGTTTTGTTCTTCTCTCTGGCAAAAATCTTCCTTTTGGTTGGGAATTCTTACTCAATGTCTGGACAATCATACCTTGGAAGTAGTTAACTTGCTTTGTATTTCAGAGGCTCAGGAGCAGAAGGGACTGCATCTTTGTCTCAGATGTGACTTTGGCCTTCAGACATTTGAGTAAATGCTGGAATGAGTTAAGACCTTGGGGTTCTTAGCCAAGATGATGGGGAAAAGTCATTGAAGGCATTTCATAGCTTCACTTCACAATACTAATTTTCTATATGATCATAACAAAAAGGGGTTTAATGGGCTCATGGTTCTGCAGGCTGTAAAAAAAAAAGCACAATGGCTTGGGGAATGGTAAGTAAGGCATCATTGTATTTTGCAAAGTGAGAAGGACATGAGATTTGTGGGGCAGGGACAGAATAATAAGATTTGGCTGTGTGTCCCTATGGAAACTCATGTGGAATTGTAATCAGAAATGTTTAAATTGGGGCCAGGTGGAAGGTGATTTAATCATGGAGGGCAGTTGGTATTGGAAGGTGGGGATTGGGGAAAATGGGTGGATTATGGTGGGGGTGAGTGGTGAAACGTGGGAGTGGGTGGAGGATCCTTCACAAATGGTTAAACACCATCTCCTTAATTCTTTCTTCATGGAGGTGAGTTCTCGTGATGTTTTGGAGCCGTGAAATTGAATGGGGATAGTGGCCTCCTGGGTTTTGGACTTGCATTGGCCCTGTCATCCCATTTGTGTTATTTTCCTGGCAGACCTCTCCCCTTTGGATTGAGAAAACTTACCCAATGCCTATACCATCTTTGTACCTTGAAAGAAAAGAAATCCCTTTTAAATTCAGGAACTTATAGGCAAAAGGGACTGTGGCCTTTTCTCAGGTGAGACATTGAACTTTTTACATTTGAGTTAATGCTGAAATGACTTAAGACTTTCCGCAACTTTTGAAAAGGCCTGATTGTATTTTACTGTGTGAGAAGGATACGATATTTGGGAGATCAGGGTCAGAATAATATGGTTTAGCTGTGTGTCCCTACCTAAACTCACATGTAATTGTAATCCCGAATGTTGCAGGTGGGGCCTGGTGGGAGGTGATTTATTCATGGATGGGAGAGGGGTGGGATTGGACGTAAAAACAGGTGGGTAAAGTGTTGAGGAGTAGGCTGGCTGTAGGGTGGTGTATAGCAGGAGGGGAGTAGCCTGCCGCAGAGGCAGAGGCTCATAGAAAAACTCTACTGATGCAGTGCACCTGTGGCTTTGCAGGGTTCAGCACATGTAGGTGCTCTCATGGGCTGGGCTGGTGTTAAGTGCCTGTAGCTTTTCCGTACTTGTGGTGTGAGCTGTTGATGGGTCTATGGGTCTGGTGTCTGGAGGATGGTGGTATTCTCCATGGGGGCTCCAAGCCCGTAGTTTTCCTCTAAACAGCCATAGTAGAGGTTTTCCAAGAGGATCTGCCTCTGCCTCAGGCTTCTGCTTGGAGACAGTGGGTGGTGGATATGAGGTGGTGGGCGGATCCTTCACCAACAGTGAAGCACCATCTTCTTGATGCTGATCTCCTGATACTGAGCTCTCATGAGATCTAGTTGTATAACAGGATGTTGCACCTCTTTCCTCTCTCTGTCTTGCTTCTACTCCTGCCATATGAAACATTTCATTGCCGCTTGGCCTTCTGGTATGACTGGGAGGCTTCCTGAGTCCTCCTACAAGCAGAAACCACTATGCTTTCTTTACAGCCTGAAGAACTGTGAGTCAACTAAACCTCTTTTCTTTATGTACATACAGAAAATTAATGCTGCGAAGTGAAGCTATGAAATGTCTTCTAGGCCTTCCCCCAATCTCTTGGCTATTAGCACTGAGCTTTTTCAATGCAGATATTGGAGGCCTTCTTGATGATTCCCCCTGATAATGGAATTTTCTTCTTTTACCACATTGCCAGGCTGCGAAAAAGATAGCTGACAGTGTAGAAGCAGGTTCTGAATTAGGTAATGGCCAGAGGTTATAGAGTTCGGAGGGCTTGGAAGAAGACAGGAAGATGAGGGAAACTTTGGACCATTGCAGAGACTTGTTAAATAGTTGTGATTGAAAGGCTGACAGAAGGATGGACAGTGAAGGCCAGGCTTATAAGATCTCAGGTGAAAATGAAGGACTTACTGGGAAGAGGAGCCAAGGTTTTTTTGTTTTGCCTTAGCAAAGTAATTGACTACACAGTGACCCTTCCCGGGAGATCTGTGAAACTGAACTTGAGGGTGATGATTTAGAGTGTATCTGGTGGAATGAACTTCTAAGCAACAATGCTCAAGAGTTCTCTTACCTACATTGAACAGCCTGTGCACCTATCTGTGATCAAAGAAATGACTATAAGTTGGAACTTATATTTAAATGAGAAGCAGAGCTTAAACATATGGAAAATTTGTAATCTGCACAAGTGGTCAAAAAGAAAAGCTGATTTTCAGGGGGAAAGTCAAGAAGGCTTCAGATATTTGCATAAAAAGGAGCCTAGTGCTAATAATTCAAGACAATGGGAAAAAGGCCTTGAAGGCATTTCAGAGACCTTTGTAACAGCCCTTGCTGTCACTGGCCCTGGGGCCTAGGAGAAAAGAATAGTTTCCTGGCCCAGCCCCATGGCTCCACTGCTGTGTGCAGCCTCAGGACACTGCTGCCTGCATCCCTGCAGCTCCATCTCCAGCTCCAGCCATGGATGAAAGGTGCACAGATCCAGCTTGCCTCACTGCTTCAGAGGATGCAAGCTCATAGACGTGGTGGCCTCCACTTGGTATTAAGCCAGCAGGTGCATAAAGCAAGTGCTAGAAGCTTCAGAGCCTTCACCTAGACTCCAGAGGATGTATCAGACAGCCAGAGTGTCCAGCCAAAAGCTTTTCCAAGAGGCAGAGCCTCATGGTAAACCTCTACTCAGGCAGTACACAGGAGAGTATAGGGTTGGAGTCCCCATACAGGGAGGCACCATTTTCCATTCCCCAGTTTCATAGACCCACCAGCTGCTTGCACCGTTAGTGTTGAAAAGCTACAGGCACTCAACACCAGCCTAGTCAATGAGGGCAGCTGTAGGTGAAAGATTCTGCAATGCCACAGGTGCAGAGCTGCCCAAGGCCTTGGGATCCCAGCTGTCACACCACCCTGTGCTCTGGATGTGGACATAGATTCCAAAAAGATGATTTGGTGGTGTATGATGGATGACTGGCCTGCTGGGCTTTTGACTTGCAGGGAGTTTCTAAATCCCATCTGTATTTTGTGCTTCTTTCTAGCAAATGTCTTCTTTTTGGCCGTAAATGCTTACCCAATGCCTGTACAATCATTGTACCTTGGAAGTAGTTAATTTGCTGTGTATTTCAGAGTCTCAGGGTAGAAGGGACTGCAGCCTTGTCTCAGAAGAGACTTTGGGCTTTGGATATTTGAGTAAATGCTGGAATGAGTTAAGATTTGGGGACTCTAGGGAATGCATCATTGCATTTTGCAGTATGAAAAACACATGAGATTTGGGGGACCAGGGACAGAATAATATGTTTTGGCTGTGTGTCTCTACCAAAACTCATGTGGGATTTTAATGTGAAACGTTAAAGGTGGGGGCTGGTGGAAGGTGATTTAATCATGGTGGAGCTTGGAGGGTGGATGCTGGGGGTGGTGGGGAGGGTTGGGGCTACAGGCGGGTGAGGAGGGTTGGGGGATTGTGGTGCAGTTGGGGCTGAAAGCCAGGGGTGGGGGGTGGATCCTTCACAAATGGACATTTGAGTAAATGCTGGAATGAGTTCAGACATTGGGGGACTATAAGAATGCATCATTGTATTTTGCAGTATAAGACGGACATGAGATTGGGGACCAAGGGGAGAATAATATGATTTGGCTCTGTGTCCCTACCAAAACTCATGTGGAATTGTAATGGGGAATGTTAAATTGGGGCTTGGTAGAAGGTGATTTAATCATGGTAGAGATTGGGGGTTGGAAGGTGGATGTGGGAGAATGGGGGTGCAAGGTATGAGTGGGGGCGAAACGTGGGGATGGGTGGCAGATCCTTCACAAATGTTTAAATACTATCTCCTTAATGCAGTCTGTGCGATAGTGAGTTCTCATGATAAATGAATGCTGTCCTGCTGAGTTTTGGACTCGGATTTGGCCTGTGTCCCAATGTGTTATTTTTCAGGGAAAATCTTCCCTTTGGATTGAGAAAGCTTACCCAGTGCCTGTGCCATCGTTGTAACTGGAAAGAAAAGAATTGTCTTTTACATTCAGGGACTCATAGGCAGAAGGGATTCCAACCTTGTCTTGGATGAGACTTGAACTTACTACATTTGAATTACTGCTGGAATGAGTTAAGACTTTTGGAAACTTTTGAAAAGGTATGTTTGTATTTTTCTGTGTGAGAAGGACATGAGATTTGGGGGTGTCAGGGTGAGAACAATATGGTTTGACTCTGTTTCCCTACAAAAACTCAAGGGGTATTGTATTCCTGACTGTTGTAGGTGGGGCCTGGTGGGAGGAGAAATTAATTGGTAGAGGTGGAAGTGAAAACAAGTGGGTAGGGTGAGGAGGAGTAGGCTGGCAGTAGGGTGGTGAGAGGGTGGTGGGCAGTAGGAAGAGGGAGTAGCCTGCTGCAGAGGCAGAGCCTCATGGAAAACCTCTACCAGGGCAGTGCACCTGTGGCTTTGCAGGGTGTAGCCCCCATGGCTGCCCTCGTGGGCTGGGCTGGTGTTGAGTGCCTGTAGCTTTTCCATACTGAGAATGCAAGCTGTTGGTGGGTCTATGAATCTGGGGTCTGGAGGATGGTAACCTCCTGCTTTGGGCTTCCAAGCCCATATATTTTTTCTGCACTGCCGTAGTAGAGGTTTTCCAAGAGGCTCTGCCTCTGCCTGAGGCTTCTGCCTGGAAACAGTGGGTTGTGGGGGTGGTAGGGGGCAGATCTTTCACCAATGGTTAAGCAACATCTTCTTGATGCTGACGTTGTAATACGGAGTTCTCAGGAAATCTGTTTGTATAACAGGGTTATACAACGTGTGGCACATTTTTCCTCTCTCTGTCTTGTTTCTACTTCTGCCGTATAAAACTTCCCATTGCTGCTTGCTCTTCTGGTATGATTGGGAGGCTTCCTGAGTCCTCCCAGAGGCAGAAGCCTCTAGGATTTATTTAAAGCTTGCAGAACCATGAACCAGTTCAACCTCTTTTCTTTCTGATTATACAGAAAATTAATGCTGTAAAGTGGAGCTATGGAATGCCTTCAAGACCTTTTCCCTATTGTCTTGGCAATCAGCACTCAGCTTCTTTTCAGGCAAATGTCTGAAGCCTGCATTAATTTTTCTCCTGAAATGGACTTTTCTTCTGTTACCACATTGCCAGGCTGTGACACATGTAGCTGAAAATGTAGAAGCAGGTTGAGAAGTGTGTAATGGCCAGAGGTTGGAGAGTTTGGAGGTCTTGGAAGAAGACAGGAAGATGAGGAAAAGTTTGGATCAGTGTAGAGACTTGTTAAATAGTTATAAATAAAAAGGTGACATAATGATGGACAGTGGCCACCAGGCTTACAAGGTCTCACATGAAAATATGTGACCAAAGAAATGACCTCAATGTGAAACATATTTAAATGACAAGGAGAGCTTAAAAGTTTGGAAAATTTGCAGCCTGGACAAGTGGTCAAAAAGAAAAGCTTATTATCAGTGGGAAAGTTCAAGAAGGCTTCAGAAATGTGCATAAAATGGAGTTCAGTGCTAATAGCCAATACAATGTTAAAAAGGCCTTGAAGGCATTTCAGAGACTTTTGTAGCAGCCCTTGCTATCGCAGGCCCTGAGGCCTGGGAGAAAAGAATGGTTTCCTTCTCCAGCCCCATGGCCCCACTGCTATGTCCATCCTCAGGACACTGCTGGCTGGATTCCTGAAGCTCCAGCTCCAGCCATGGTTGAAAGATGCACAGGAACAGCTTGGGTCACTGCTTCAGAGGGTGCAAGCTGCAAGCCTTGGTGGCTTCCACATAGTGTTAAGCCAGCAGGTGCGCAGAGCACAAAACTGGAGGCTGGGAATCCTTTGTCTGGACTCCAGAGTATGTATGGAAAAACCTGGGTGTCCAGGTCGAAACTTTTCCAAGAGGCAGAGCCTCCTTTACTAGGGCAGTACAGAAGGAACATATAGGGTTGGGACCGCATACAGGGAGGCACCATTCTGCAAACCCCAGATTCATAGACTCACTAGCAGCTTGCACCTTCATTGTGGAAAAGCTATAGGTACTCAACACCAGCCTAGCCCATCAGGGCAACTGTGGAGGTTAGACCCTGCAACGTCACAGGTGCAGAGCTGCCCAAGACCTTGGGAGCCCAGGCCTCATACCCTTGTGCTCTGGATGTGGGATCTGGATTCAAAAAAAGGGATTTGGAACTGTGGGATTCAATGACTGGCTGTTGGATTTTTGACTCCTATGGGGTTTGTAAGTCCCATCTGTGTTTTGTGCTTCTTTCTGGCAAATTTCTTCCTTTTGGCTGGGAATACTTACCCAATGCCTGTACAATCATTGTACTTTGGAAGTAGTTAACTTGCTTTGTATTTCAGAAGCTCAGGTAGAACGTATGGCAGCCTTGTCTCAGAAGAGACTTTGGGCTTTGGACATTTCAGTAAATGCTGGAATGAGTGAAGACATTGGGAAACTGTAGAGAAGTCATCATTGTATTTTGCAGTGTGAGAACAACATGAGATATGGGGGCCAGGGTCAGAATAATATGATTTGGCTCTGCATCCCTACCAAACTCATGTGGAATTGTTATGCGGAATGTTAAAGGTGGGGCCTGGTGGGAGGTGATTTAATCATGGAGAAGCATGGGGGTTGGAGGTAACGGTGTGGAGAGAATGGGGAGATTATTTCGTGGGTGGGAGTGAAAGATGAGGGTGGGGGGCAGATCCTTCACAAATGGTTAAGCACTCTCTCCTTAATGCTGTTCGCATGATAGTGAGTCCTCTTGATGATTTTGGAGCTGAGAGATTGAGTGAGTACTCTCCTGCTGGGTTATGGACTTGCATTGGGCCTGTGGGCCCATTTGTGTTATTTTTCTGGGAAATTTCTTCCCTTTGGACTGAGAAAGTTTACACAATGCCTGTACCATCATTGTACCTTGAAAGAAAAGAACTCCGTTTTAAATTCAGGGACTCATAGGCAGAAGGGACTGTGGCCTTATCTCAGATGAGACTTTGAATTTTTTACATTTGGAATGAGTTAAGACTTTTCAAACTTTTGAAAAGTCATGATGGTATTTTGCTCTGTGATAAAGACATGAAATTCTGGAATATCAGGGTCAGAGTTATATGGTTTGCCTGTGTGTCCCTATGAAACTCATGTGGAATTGTAATCCCTAATGTTGAAGCAGGTGACTTAATTATGGACAGGAGGTTGGTGCTGCTGGAAGGTAAAAGGGATGGGTAGGATTGGGAGGAGTGGGTTAGCAGTAGGGTGGTGGGAGGGTGGGGGTTAGTAGGAAGGAGGAGTAGCCTGCTGCAGAGGTAAAGCCTCATGGAAAACCTCCACTAAGGAAGTGCACCTGTGGCTTTGCAGGTTTTTGCCCCTCAGCTGTTCTTGTGGGCTGGGCTGGTATTGAGGGCCTATAGCTTTTCCACACTAAGGGCGTGAGTTGTTGGTGGGTCTATGAATCTGGGAACTGGAGGTTGGTGGTCACTTGTGTGGGGGCTCAAAGCCCATATTTTCTTTCTGCACTTCCATAATACATGTTTTCCAAGAGGCTCTGCGTCTGAAGGAGGCTTCTGCCTGGAAACAGTGGGAGTCGGGGGTGGGGGGTGGATCCTTCACCAATGTTTAAGCACCATCTTCTAGATGCTGACCCTGTGATAGTGACTTCTCATGAGATCTGCTTGTTTAATGGGGCATGACACCTGTTTCCTTTCTCTGTCTTGCTCCTACTCTTCCCATATGAGACATCTCCTTGCCCCTTGACATTCTGGTATGATTGGGAGGCTTCCTGAGTCCTGTCAGATGCAGAAGCCACTATGCTTCCTTACAGTCTGCAGAATCATTAACCTATTAAACCTCTTTTCTTTATGATCATGGAGAAAATAATTACTGCAAAGTGGAACTGTTAAATGTCTTCAAGGCCTTCTCCCTAATGTCTTGGCAATCAGCAATGGGCTTCTTTTTATTCAAGTATCTGAAGCCTCCTTGAATTTTTCCCCAGAAAATGGGCTTGTCTTCCATTACCACACTGCCAGCCTGTGACAAAAATAGCTGATAATGTAGAAGCAGGTTCAGAAGGGGGTAGCAGATGGAGTTCAGGAGAGTTTGGAGGACTTCAAAGACAGGGAGATGAGGGAAAGTTTGGATCTTTGTAAAGAGTTGTTAAATACTTGTGATCAGAAGACTCACAGGAAAATGGACAGTAAGGATCAGATTGAGAAGCTCTCAGATGAAAATGAGGAACTTACTGCAAACAGGAGCCAAGGTTACTTTTGTTTTGCTGTAGCAAAGAACGTGGATGTACAGTGACCCTGCCCTGGAGATCTGTGAAACTTTGAACTTGAGGGTGATGACTTACTGCGTATCTGATGGAATGAACTTCTGGGTCGCAAAGCTGAAGGGGTGTCCTGTCTGTATCAAACAGCCTGTGCCCTTATGTGTGACCGAGGAAATGACATCTGGATGGGTCTTACATTAAATGAGTCCGAACTCTTATATTAAATGAGAAACAGAACTCAACAATTTGCAGCCTGGCCAAATGGTCAAAAAGAAAAGCTGATTTTCAGGGGAAAACTGAGGAAGGCTTCAGAAATTTGCATGAAAAGGAGCCCAGTGCTAATAGCCAAGACAATAGGGAAAAGGCCTTGAAGCCATTTCAGAAACCTTTGTAGCAGCCCTTGCTAATATAGGCCCTGGGGCCTAGGAGAGAAGAATGGTTTCCTAGGCCAGTTCCATGACCCCCCTCTATATGCAGCCACAGGACACTGCTGCCTGCATCCCTGCAGCTCTGGTTCCAGCCGTGGCTGAAAGATGCACAGGTACAGCTTGCATCACACTTCAGGGGTGCAAGCTTCAAGCTTTGGTAGCTTCCACATAGTGTTAAGCCAGCAGGTGCACAGAGCACAAAACAAGAGGCTTGGGAGCCTTTGTCTAGACTCCATAGTATGTACGGAAAAACCTGGGTGTTCAGGCAGCAGCTTTTCCAAGAGGCAGAGCCTCATGGGAAACCTTTACTAGGACAGTACAGAAGGACAATATAGGGCTGGAGTCCCTAAATATGGAGGCACCATTCTCCAGACCCCAGATTCATATACCCACCAACAGCTGGCACACTGAGTGTGAAAAGCTACAGGCACTCAACACCAGCCCAGCCCATGAGGGCAGCTGTGGGGGATAGACCCTGCACAGCCACAGGTGCAGAGCTGCCCAATGCCTTGGGAGCCCAGGCATCACACACCTGTGCTCCAGATGTGAGATGTAGATTCAGAAAAGATGATTTGGAGCTGTAGGATTCAATGACTGGCCTGCTGGGTTTTTGACTTGTATGGGGTCTGTAAGTCCTTGTACATTTTAGTAAATGCTGGAATGAGATAAGTCATTGGGGGACAGTAGAGAAGTCATCATTGTATTTTGCAGTGTGACAAGGATACAAGATTTGGGGAGCAAGAGCCAGAATAATATGATTTGATTCTGTGTCCCTACCAACACTCATGTGGAATTGTAATAGGGAATGTTAAAGGTGGGACCTGGTGGGAGGTGATTTAATCATGGAGAAGAGTGGGTGTTGGAGATAGTGGTGTGGGGAGAATGGGAGAGATCATCTTGTGGGAGTGAAAGATGAGGGCAGGGGGCAGATTTTTCACAAAGGGGTAAACACTGTCTCCTTAATGCTGTCCGCATGACAGTGAGTTCTCTTGATGATTTTTGAGCTGTGAGATTGAGTGAATACTGTCCTGCTGGGTTATGGATTTGCATTTGGCCTGTGGGCCCGTTTGTGTTATTTTTCTGGGAAATTTCTTCCCTTTGGATTGAGAAAGCTTACACAACGCCTGTACCATCATTGTACCTTGAAAGAAAAGAAATCTCCTTTAAATTCAGGGGCTCATAGGCAGAAGGGACAGTAGCCTTGTCTCAGATGAGACTTTGAACTTTTTACACTTGGAATGAGTTAAGGCTACTGGAGCTTTTGAAAAGGCATGATTGTATTTTGCTCTGTGATAAGGACATGAGATTCTGGGATATCAGGGTCAGAATAATATGATTTGGCTGTGTGTTCCTATAAAAATAAATGTGGAATTGTAATTCCAAATGTTGAAGGTGGGGCCTGGGGGAGGTGATTTAATCATGGATCGGAGGTGGTTGGGGGTGGAAGGAAAAGGGTTGTAACCAAGCGAGTGGTAGAGAAACCCCACACTATGAGACGAATTCAGGAGTCCTTTATTGCTGGCGACTGAGAGAGCGCTAGTGCTCAAACTTCTCTCGGCCCCTAAGAAGGGGCTAGATTTTCTTTTATACTTTGGTTTAGAAAGGGGAGGGGGAGCCTAGCTGAAGGAATCTCACAGCAGCAAAACAGGCAAAAAAGTTAAAAAGATAAATGGCTACAGGAAAACAAACAGTTCCAGGTGCAGGGGCTTTAAATCCATCCAAAGGTGATAGATGTGGGGGCTTTGGGTGCTATCAACTGGACACAAATGTGGGGGCTTTAGGTACCATCAACAGGGTGAATTCCTGGGAATTGTGGATATAGCTTGCCAGAGTATCTTATCAGTAATTGCATTCTTTGATGTGCTGGGAGTCAGCTTGCACAAGTTAAGTCCTTGAGGAAGGGGTGTGCGTAAAGGAGCTGCAAATGAAGGTGCGAAGATGGAGTCTGTCTGGCTCTCTCAGCTAAGGGAGAGTCGACCAGGTTAAAACAAGGTAGGGTATCACAAAAGGGTTGGTTAGGGTGGGGAGGAGTAGGCTGGCAGTAGAATGGTGGGCAGGTGGAGGGTAGTAGGAAGGGGGAGTAGCCTGCTGCAGAGGCACAGACACATGGAAAACCTCTACTAGGGCACCGCACATGTGGCTTTGCAGGGTTGAGCCCCTGCAGCTGCTTTCATGGGCTGGGTTGGTGTTCAGGTTTGGAAAAGCCTGTAGTTTTTCCACAGAGGGTGTGAGCTGTTGGTGGGTCTATGAATCTAGGGTCTGGAGGTTGGTGGCCATCTGCATGGGGGCTTCAAGCCCATATTTTCCTTCCACACTTCCCTGGTAGAGGTTTTCCAAGAGGCTCTGCCTGTCCAGCAGGCTTCTGTTTGGAAACAGTGGGAGTTGGGGGTGGGTGGTTTTTCCTTCCTCAATGTTTAAGCACCATCTTCATGATGCTGGCCTTGTGATAGTGAGTTCTCAGGAGATCTGGTTGTATAATAGGGTGTGGTCTTCTCTCCTCTCTCGGTCTTGTGCCTACTCCTGCCACATGAATCATCTCATTGCCCCTGGACATTCTGATATGATTGGGAGGCTTCCTGAGTCCTCCCAGATTCAGAAGCCATTATGTTTCCTTATGGCCTGCAGAACCATGAGCCAATTAAACCTCTTTTCTTTATGATCATAGAGAAAACTAGTGGTGCAAAGTGGAACCATTAAATGTCAATGTCTTGGCAATCAGCACTCAGCTTCTTTTCATTCAAGTATGTGAAGGCTTCATGAATTTTCCCCCTGAAAATGGACTTGTTTTCCTTTACCACATTGCCAGGCTGTGGCAAAGATAGTGATAATGTAGAAGCAGGTTCAAAAGGGAGTAGCGGACAGAGGTCGGGAGAGTTTGGAGGGCTTCAAAGACAAGAAAATGAAAGAAAGTTTGGATCTTTGTAAAGAATTGTTAAACACTTGTGATCAGAAGGCTCACAGGAAAATGGTCAGTGAAAGCCCAACTTAGAATGTCTCAGATGAAAATGAAGCACTTACTGGGAACAGAAGTCAAAGTTACTTTTGTTTTCTTAGCAAAGAACGTGACTGCACGGTGACCTCGCCGTGGAGATCTATGAAACTTTGAACTTGAGGGTGATGATTTACTGAGTATCTGGTGGAATGAACTGGGCAGCAAAGCTCAAGAGGTGTCCTGTCTCCATCGAACAGCCTGTGCTCTTATGTGTGATGGAGAAAATGACCTCTGGATGAGACTTACAGTAAATGAGTCCCGACTCTTACATTACATGAGAAACAGAACTCAAAAGTTTGGAAAATTTGTAGCCTGGCCATGTGGTCAAAAAGAAAAGCTGATTTTCAGGGGGAAAATTGAGGAAGGCTTCAGAAACTTGCATGAAAAGGAGCCCAGTGCTATTAGACAAGACAATAGGGAAAAGGCCTTGAAGGAATTTCAGAGACCTTTCCAGCAGCCCTTGCTGTTAGAGGCCCTGGGGCCTAGGAGAGAAGAATGGTTTCCTGGGCGAGTTCCATGAACCCCCTCTGTGTGCAGCCTCAGGACGCTGCTGCCTGCATCCCTGCAGCTCCAGCTCCAGCTCCAGCTCCAGCCATGACTGAAAGATGCACAGGTACAACTTGGGTCACTGATACAGAGGGTGCCGGCTAGAAGCCTTGGTAATTTCCTCATAGTGTTAAGCCACTGGTGGACGGAGCATGAGACTAGAGGCTTGGGAACCTCTCTACAGATTTTGGAAGATGTATGGAAATGCATGGGTGTCCAGGCAAAAGCATCCCAAAAAGGCAGAGCATTATATGAAACTTCTACTAGGGCAGTGCAGAAGGAAAACATGGGGTTGGAGCCTCCACACTGGAGGCAACCATCATGCAGACCCCAGATTCATAGACCCCCAACAACTTGTATCCTTAGTGGGGAAAAGTCACAGGCACTCAACACCAGCCGAGCCCATGAGGGCACCCATGGGCATAAAACCTGCAATGCCGCAGGTGCCAAGCTGCCCAAGGCCTTGTGAGCCCAGCCCTCACACCACTGTGCCCTGGATGTGGGACAGGGTTTCAAAAAGGGTGATTTTGGAGCAGTAGGATTGAATGAATGGCCTTCTGGGTTTGGAGTTTCATGGGGCCGATAAGTCCTGTCTGTGTTTTATTTTTTTCTGGCAAAATTTTTCCTTTTGGCCGGGAATGCTTACCCAGTGCCTCTACAAACATTGTACCTTGGAAGTAGTTAACTTGCTTTATATTTCAGAGGCTCATGGGCCTAAGCAACTGTAGCCTTGTGCCAGATGAGACTTTAAGCTTTGAACATTTGAATAAATGCTGTAATGATATAAGATTTTGGGGGATTGTAGGGAAGACATCACTATATTTTGCAATGTGAGAAGGACATGAGATTTGGGGAGCCAGGGACAGAATAATAAAATTCAGCTCTGTGTCTCTACCAAAACTCATGTGGAATTGTCATCGGAATGTTAAAGGTGGGGCCTGGTGGAAGGTGATTTAATCACGGTGGAGAGTGGAGGTTGGAAGATGGGGTGTAGGGAGAATGGGGGATTTATGGTGCAGGTGAGGAGTGAAAAATGGGAGTTGGGGGGTGGATGCTTCACAAATGATTAAACACTCTCCTAATTGCTGTCCTTGTGATAGTGAGTTCTCTTCATGATTTTGGAGCTGTAAGATTGAATGGATACTGGCCTTCTGGGTTTTGGAGTTGTATTGGGTCTGTGGTCCCACTTGTGTTTCCTTCCTGGGAAATTTCTTCCCTTTGGATTGAAAGTGCTTACCCAAAGCCTCTACCATTATTGTACCTTGAAAGAAAAGAACATCCTTTTAAATTCAGAGACTCATAGGGAAAACGTACTGTAGAACTGTCTCAGATGAGATGTTGACTTTTTTATATTTGAGTTGATGTTGGAATGATTTAAGACTTTTGGAAACTTATGAAAAGGCATGAATATATTTTGATCTGTGAGAAGGACATGAGACTGTGGGGATCAGGGTCAGAATAATATGATTTGGCTGTGTTTCTTTACCAAAACTCATGTGAATTGTAATCCTTAATGTTGGAGGTGGGGCCTGGCTGGAGGTGATTTAATCATGGATGGGAGGGGGCTGGGGGTGGAAGGAAAAGGGGGTGGGTAGGTTGTTAGTAGGGTGGTGAGAGGGTGGTGGGTAGCAGGAAGGGGGAGTAGCCTGCTGCAGAGGCAGAGGCTCAAGGAAAGTCTCTACTAGGACAGTGCACCTGTGGCTTTGCAGGTTGTGGCCCCCATGGCTGCTCTCTTGGGCTGGGCTGGTGTGGAGTGCTTGTAGCTGTTCCATGCAGAGAGTGCAAGCTGTTGGTGGGTCTATGAATCTGCAGTCTGGAGGATGGTGGCCTCCTGTGTGTGGGCTCCAAGCCCATATTTTCCTTCTGCACTGCACTCGTGGAGGTTCTCCAAGAGGTTCTGCCTCTGCAGGAGGCTACTGACTGGAAACAGTAGGTGGTGGTGTGGGTGGATCCTTCACCATTGGTTAGTCTTCCTGATGCTGATCTCCTGATAGTGAGTTCTCATGAGATCTGGTTGTATAACCTGGTGTGGCACCTCTTTCCTCTCTGTGTCTTCTTCCTACTGCTGCCATATGGAACATCTCATTGTCACTTGGCCTTTTGCTATATTGGGAGGCTCCCTGAGTCCTCCCAGAAGCAGAAACCACTTGCTGCCTTTACAGCCTGCTAAACCATGAGGCAATTAAACCTCTTTTAAAAATAATATTACAGAAAATTTGTACTGTAGAGTGGAGCTATGAAATGCCATCAAGGTTTTTTCCTCTTTTTTTTTTTTTTTTTACTATTAGCATTTGGCTTCTTTTATATGGAAATATCTGAAGCCTTCTTGAATTTTCCACCTGAAAATGGACTTTTCTTCTTTTACCACATTGCCAGGCTGCCACAACGGTAGCTGAAAATGTAGAAGCAGATTCAGAAGTGGGTAACGACCGGAGGCTGCACAGTTTGGGGGGCTTGGAAGAAGACAGAAAGATGAGGGAAAATTTGGACTCTTGTAGAGACGTGTTAAATTAAAAGGGTGAGAATAGAGACTTGTTACATAGCCATAATTAAAAGAGTGACTGAAGGATGGACAGTGAAGGCCAGGCTTAGAAAGTCTCAGATGAAAATGAGCAACTTACTGGGAACAGGAGTCAAGGTTACTTTTGTTTTGCCTTAGCAAAGAACTTGGCTGGATGGTGTCCCTGCCCTGGAGACCTCTGAAACTTTGAACTTGAGTGTGATGATTTAGGGTATATCTGGTGAAATGAAGTAGGCAGCAAAGCTCAAGAGGTGTCTTGTCTGTTTTGAACAGCCTGTGGTCTTCTCTGTGACTGAATAAATGACCTCAAATTGAAAGTTATATTTAAATGAGAAGCAGGGCTTAAAAGTTTGGAAAATTTGCAGCCTGGCCAAGTGGTCAAAAAGAAAAGCTGATTTTCAGTGGGAAAATTCAAGAAGGCTTCAGAAATTTTCATAAAATGGAGCCCAGTGCTAATAGCTAAGACAATGTTTAAAAGGCCTTGAAGCCATTTCAGAGACCTTTGCAGCAGAGCTTGCTGTCAAGGCCCTGAGTTCTAGGACCGAAGAATGTTTTTCTCGGTGAGTCCCATGGTCACGTTGCTGTTTCCATCCTCAGGACACTGCTGCCTGCATCCCTGAAGCTCCAGCTCCAGCTCCAGCCATGGCTGAAAGATGCACAGGTACAGCTTGCATCACTGCTTCAGGGGTGCAAGCTTCAAACCTTGGTGGCTTCCACATAGTACTAAGCCAGCAGGTGCACAGAGCACAAAACTAGAGGCTTGGGAGCCTTTGTCTAGATGCCAGAGTATGTACGGGAAAACCTGAGTGTTGAGGCAGAAGCTTTTCCAAGAGGCAGAGCCTCATGGGAAAATTTTACTAGAGCAGTACAGAAGGAACATATAGGGTTGCAGCCCCCAAACAGGAATGCACTATTTTCCAGACCCCAGATTCATAGACCCGCCAACTGCTGGCATCCTGAGTGTGGAAAAGCCAAAGGCACTCAACACCAGCCCAGCCCATGAGGGCACCTGTGGGGGATAGACCCTTCACAGCCACAGATCCTGAGCTGCCCAAGGCCTTGGGAGCTCAGCCATCCACCCCTGTGCTCCAGATGTGGGATATAGATTCAGAAAAGATGACTTGGGAGCTGTAGGAATCAATGACTGGCTTGCTGGGTTTTTGACTTGCATGGGGTGTGAAAGTCCCATCTGTGTTTTGTGTTTCTTTCTGGCAAATTTTTTCCCTTTGGGTGGGAATGCTTACCCAACTCCTGTGTAATCATTGCACCTTGGAAGTAGTAAACTTGCTTTATATACAATTCAGTGGCTCATGGTCAGAAGGGACTGTAGACTTGTCTCAGATGAGACTCTGGGCTTTGAGCATTTGAGTAAATGCTGGAATGAGTTAAGATATGAGAGACTCTAGGGAAGGCATCATTGCATTTTGCAATGTGAGAAAGACATGAACATCGGGGGACCAGGGACAGAATAATATGTTTTGGCTCTCTGTCTCTACCAAAGCTCATGTGGAATGTTAATGGGAAATGTTAAAGGCGGGGGCTCGTGGAAGGTGATTTAATCATGATGGAGAGAGGAGGTTGGATGGTTGGGGGTTGGGGAGGGTTGGGGGTGATTGGGTGGTGAGGAGGGTTGGAGGGGATTGTGGTGGGGTTGGGGAGTGTTGGGGGTGATTGGGTGGTGAGGAGGGTTGGAGGAGATTGTGGTGCAGTTGGGGGTGTAAGGCAGGGGTGGGGGTGCATCCTTCACAAGTGGTTAAACATCATCTCCTTAATGCTGTCCTTCTGATAGTGAGTTCTCTTCATGATTTTGGAGCTGTGAGATTGAATGAACACTGACCTGTGGGATTCTGGATGTCTATTGGGCCTGTGGTCCCATTTGTGTTATTGTTCTTGGAAATTTCTTCCCTTTGGATTGAGAAAGCTTACCCAATACGTGTACCATCATTGTACCTTGAAAGAAACGAACACCCTTTTAACTTCAGGGACTCATAGGCAGAAGAGACTGTAGCCTTGTCTCAGATGAGACTTTCAACTTTTTACATTTGAGTTAATGTGGGAATGAGTTAAGGCTTTTGGAAACTTTGAAAAGGCACGATTGTATTTTCTTCTGTGAGAAGGATATGACATTTGGGGGGGGTCAAGGTTCGCATAATAAAATTTGGCTGTGTGCCCCTGGAAAATCTCATGTGGAATTGTAATCCCAAATGTTGGAGGTGGGGCCTGGTGGGAGATTATTTAATCATGGATGGGAGGGGTAGCGGTGGAAGAAAAAAGGGGTGGGTAGGGTGGGGAAGAGTAGGCTGGCTGTAGGGTGGTGGGAGGGTGGTGGGTAGTAGGAAGGGAGAGTAGCCTGCTGCAGAGGCAGCGGCTCATGGAAAACCTCTACCAGGGCAGTGCGCCTGTGGCTTTGCAGGCTTTAGCCCCCATGGCTGCTCTCATGGGCTGGGCTGCTGTTGAGTGCCTATCACTTTTCCATACTGAGGGTGTGAACTTTTGGTAGGTCTATGAATCCGGGGTCTAGAGGAAGGTGGCCTCCTGCATAGTCACTCAAAGCCCTTATTTTCCGTCTGCACTGCCATAGTACAGGATTTCCAAGAGCCTCTGCCTCTGCAGCAGGCTTATGTTTGGAATGGTAGGGGTTGGAGCTGTGCTGGGGGGGCGAATCCTTTACCAATGGTTAAGCACCATCTTCTTGATACTGACGTGTAGTGATAGTGAGTTCTCATGAGATCTGGTTATAGGACGGTGTGGCACCTCTTTCCTCTCTCAGCCTTGCTGCTACTCCTGCTGTATGAAACATTTCATTGCTGTTTTCCTACTGGTATGATTGGGAGGCTTCCTGAGTCCTCCCAGAAGCAGAAGCCACTGTGCTTTCTTTACAGCCTGCAGAACCATGAGCCAATTAAACCCCTTTTCATTATGATCATACAGAAAATAAAGTACTGCGAAGTGGAGCTATGAAATATCTTCAATTACATTTCCCCATCGTCTTGGCTATTAACATTGGACTTCTTTTAATGCAAATATCTGAAGGCTTCTTGAAGTTTCCCCCTGAAAATGGACTTCTTTTTCTTCTGCATTGCCAGGCTGCAACAAAGATAGCTGAAAATGTAAAGCAGGTTCAGAAGTGGGTAACAGCCAGAGGTTGGAGAGTTTGGAGATCTTGAAAGAAGACAGGAAGATGAAGGAAAGTTTGGACCATTGTGGGCGCTTGTTAAATAGTTGTGATTAAAAGGGTGAAAGAAGGATGGAAGTGAAGGCCAGGCTTACAAGGTCTCAGATGAAAATGAGGAACTTACTGGGAATGGGAGCCAAGGATATGTTTTGTTTTGCTGTAGCAAAGAACATGGCTGCAGGGCGACCTTGCCCTCAAGATCTGCGAAACTTTGAACTCGAGGGTGATGATTTAGTGCATATCTGGTGGAATGAACTTCTAGGCAGCATAGCACAAGGGGGGGTCCTGTCTGCATCAAACGGCCTGTGCTCTCATGTGTGACTGAGGTTATGTGTGACTGAGGAAATGACCTCAAGTTGGAACTTATCTTTAAATGACAAGCAGAGCTCAGAAGTTTGGAACATCTGTAGCCTGGCCAAGTGGTCAAAAAGAAAAGCTGATATTCAGGGGGAAAATTCATGAAGGCTCCAGAAACTTGCATAAAATGGAGGCCAGTGCTAATAGCCAAGACAATGGGGGAAAAAGCCTTGGAGGCATTTCAGAGATGTCTGCAGCAGCACTTGCTGTCAGGCCCTGGGTCCTAGGAGAGAAGAATGGTTTCCTGGGCAAGCCCCAAGACCCTGCTGCTGTGTGCATCCCCAGGACACTGCTGCCTGCATCCCAGCAGCCCCAGCTCCTGCTCCGACCTTGGCTGAAAGATGCACAGGTACAGATTGCATCACTGCTTCAGAGGGTACAGGCTATAAGGCTTCATGTCTTCCACATAGTGTTAAGCCAGTGAATGCACAGAGCACTAGTCCAGAGGCTTTGGAGCCTTCATATGGATTTCGGAAGATGTATGAAAATGCCCGGGTGTCCAGACAGAAGGCTGCCAAAAAGCAGAGCCTCCTGGGAAACCTCTACTAGGGCAATGCAGAAGGAAAATATGGGGTTGGAGCCCCCACACTGGATGCCAGCATCATGCAGACCCCAGATTTATAGACCCACCAAGAACTATGTACCCTCTGTGGGTAAAAACTACAGGCAGTCAACACCAGCACAGCCCATGAGGGCAGCTGTGGGGACTGAACACTGCAAAGCCACAGGTAGAGAAATGCCCAAGGCCTTGGGAACCCCGCCCTCATACCCTTGTGTCCTGGATGTCGAACAAGGATTAAAAAAGGATGACTTTGGAGCTGTAGGTTTGAATAACTGGCCGGCTGGGTTTTGGATTTTCATGGGACCTGTAAGTCCCGTTTGTGTTTTGTTCTTCTCTCGGCAAAAATCTTCCTTTTGGTTGGGAATTCTTACTCAATGTCTGGACAATCATACCTTGGAAGTAGTTAACTTGCTTTGTATATCAGAGGCTCAGGAGCAGAAGGGACTGCATCTTTGTCTCAGATGAGACTTTGGGCTCCAGACATTTAAGTGAATGCTGGAATGAGTTACGGCCTTGGGGGTCTTAGCCAAGACGATTGGGAAAAGTCATTGAAGGCATTTCATAGCTTCACTTCACAGTACTAATTTTCTGTATGATCATAACAAAAAGGGGTTTGATTGGCTCATGGTTCTGCAGGCTGTAAAAAAAAAGCATAGTGGTTGATGAATAGTAAGTAAGGCATCATTGTATTTTGCAAAGTGAGAAGGACATGAGATTTGTGGGGCAGGGACAGAATAATAAGATTTGGCTGTGTGTCCCTGTGGAAACTCATGTGGCATTGTAATCAGAAATGTTAAAAGTGGGACCAGGTGGAAGGTGATTTAATCGTGGAGGGCACTGGGTGTTGGAAAGTGGGGATTTTGGAGAATGGGTGGTTTATGGTGGGGGTGAGGGGTGAAAAGTGGGGGTGGGGGGAGGATCCCTCACAGATAGTTAAACACCATCTCCTTAATCCTTTCCTCATGATGGTGAGTTCTCGTGATGATTTTGGAGCCATGAGAGTGAATGGATACTGGCCTCCTGGGTTTTGGACTTGCATTGGCCCTGTGATCCCATTTGTGTTGTTTTCCTGGCAAACATCTCACCTTTGGATTGAGAAAGCTTACACAATGCCTGTACCATCATTGTACCTTGAAAGAAAAGAACTCCCTTTTAAATTCAGGAACTTATAGGCAAAAGGAACTGTAGCCTTTTCTCACGTGAGATGTTGAACTTTTTACATTTGAATTAATGCTGAAATGACTTAAGACTTTCAGCAGCTTTTGCAAAGGCATGACTGTATTTTACTCTGTGAGAAGGATGTGATATTCGGGGGATCAGGGTCAGAATAATATGGTTTAGCTGTGTGTCCCTACCTAAACTCACATGTAATTGTAATCCCGAATGTTGCAGGTGGGGCGTGGTGGGAGGTGATTTATTCATGGATGGGAGACGGGTGGGGTTGGAATTAAAAACTGGTGGGTAAGGTGGGGAGGGTAAGCTGGCTGTAGGGTGGCGTGTAGCAGAAGGGGAGTAGCATGCCGCAGAGGCAGAGGCTCATGGAAAAACTCTACTGAGGCAGTGCACCTGTGGCTTTGCAGGGTTTAGCACCTGTAGCTGCTCTCATGAGCTGGGCTGATGTTGAGTGCCTGTAGCTTTTCCATATTGGGGGTGTGAGCTGTTGGTGGGTCTATGACTCTTGGGTCTGGAGGATGGTGGCATGGGGGCTCCAAGCCCACATTTTCCTGCTGCACTGTCCTAGTAGAGGTTTTCCAAGAGGATCTGCCTCTGCCTCAGGCTTCTGCTTGGAAACAGTGGGTGGTGGATATGGGATAGTGGGCGGATCCTTCACCAACAGTGAAGCACCATCTTCTTGATGCTGATCTCCTGATACTGAGCTCTCATGAGATCTAGTTGTATAACAGGATGTCGCACCTCTTTCCTCTCTCTGTCTTGCTTCTACTCCTGCCATATGAAACATTTCACTGCTGCTTGGCCTTCTGGTATAATTGGGAGGCTTCCTGAGTCCTCCTATAAGCAAAAACCACTATGCTTTCTTTACAGCCTGAAGAACTGTGAGTCAATTACACCTCTTTTCTTTATGTAGATACAGAAAATTAATGCTGTGAAGTAAAGCTATGAAATGAATTCTAGGCCTTTCCCCCAATCTCTTGGCTATTAGCACTGAGCTTTTTTCAATGCAGATATTGGAGGCCATCTTGATGTTTCCCCCTGATAATGGACTTTTCTTCTTTTACCACATTGCCAGGCTGCAACAAAGATAGCTGACAGTGTAGAAGCAGATTCCAAATTGGGTAATGGCCAGAGGTTCGAGAGTTTGGAGAGCTTGGAAGAAGACAGGAAGATGAGGGAAAGTTTGGACCGTTGCAGAGACTTGTTAAATAGTTGTGATTAAAAGGCTGACAGAAGGATGGACAGTGAAGGCCAGGTTTGTAAGGTCTCAGATGAAAATGAGGAACTTACTGGGAAGAGGAGCCAAGGTTTTTTTGTTTTGCCTTAGCAAAGTAATTGGCTACACAGTGACCCTTCCCAGGAGATCTGTGAAACTGAACTTGAGGATGATGATTTAGGGTGTATCTGGTGGAATGAACTTCTAAGCAGCAAACCTCAAGAGCTGTGCTGCCTACATCGAACAGCCTGTGCTCCTATGTGTGATCAAAGAAATGACCATAAGTTGGAACTTATATTTAAATGAGAAGCAGAGATTCAACATTTGGGAAATTTGTAATCTGGTCAAAAAGAAAAGCTGATTTTCAGGGGAAAATCAAGAAGGCCTCGGATATTTGCATAAAAAGGATCCCAGTGCTAATGATTCAAAACAATGGGAAAAAGGCCTTGAAGGCATTTCAGAGACCTTTGTAGAAGACCTTGTTGTCAAGGGCCCTAGGGCTTAGGAGAAAAGAATAGTTTCCTGGCCCAGCCCCATGGCTCCACTGCTGTGTACAGCCTCAGGACACTGCTGCCTGCATCCCTGCAGCTCCATCTCCAGCTCCAGCTATGGATGAAAGATGCACAGGTACAGCTTGTGTCACTGCTTCAGAGGATGCAAGCTCCAAGCCTTGGTGGCTTCCACATAGTGTCAAGCCAGCAGGTGCATAAAGCAGGGACTAGAAGCTTCAGAGCCTTCATCTAGACTGCAGAGGATATATTGGAAAGCCTGAGTGTCCAGCCAGAAGCTTTTCCAAGAGGCAGAGCCTCATGGTAAAACTCTACTGGGGCAGTACAGAAGAATATAGGGTTGGAGTCCCCATACAGGGAGGCACCATTTTCCAGACCCCAGTTTCATAGACCCACCAACTGCTTGCACCCTCAGTGTTGAAAAGCTACAGGCATTCAACACCAGGCTAGCCAATGAGGGCAGCTGTGGGGGAAAGATTCTGCAATGCCACAGGGGCAGAGCTGCCCAAGGCCTTGGGATCCCAGCTGTCACACCACCCTGTGCTCTGGATGTGGACATAGATTCCAAAAAGATGATTTGGAGCTATATGATGGAATGACTGGCCTGCTGGGTGTTTGACTTGCAGGGAGTTTCTAAGTCCCATCTGTGTTTTGTGCTTCTTTCTGGCAAATTTCTTCTTTTTGGCTGGGAATGCTTACCCAATACCTGTACAACCATTGTACCTTGGAAGTGGTTAACTTGCTTTGTATTTCAGAGGCTCGGGGCAAAAGATATGGCAGCCTTGTCTCAGAAGAGACTTTGGGCTTTGGATATTTGAGTAAATGCTGGGATGAGTTAAGACTTGGGGGACTGTAGGGAAGGCATCATTGCATTTTGCAATGTGAGAAAGACATGAACTTTGGGGGACCAGGGACAGAATAATATGTTTTGGCTCTGTGTCTCTACCAAAACTCATGTGGAATTTTAATGGGAAATGCTAAAGGTGGGGGCTGGTGGAAGGTGATTTAATCATGGTGGAGAGTGGAGGTTGGATGGTTGGGAGGGTGGGGAGTGTTGGGGGGATTGTGGGGTGGGGTGGGTTAGGGGGATTGTGGTGGTGGGGAGGTGGGGGATTGGGGGGTGGGAAGGCTTGGGGCAATTGTGGTGGGGTTGGGGGTGAAAGGCAGGGGTGGGGGCCGATCCTTCACAAATGGACATTTGAGTAAATGCTGGAATGAGTTCAGACATTGGGGGACTGTAGAGAATGCATCATTGTATTTTGCAGTATGAGAAGGATATGAGATTGGGGGGCCAAAGGGAGAATAATATGATTTGGCTCTGTGTCCCTACCAAAACACATGTGGGATTGTAATGGGGAATGTTAAATGTGGGGCTTGGTAGAAGGTGATTTAATCATGGTAGAGAATGAGGATTGGAAGGCAGATGTGGGAGAATGGAGGTTCATGGTGTGGGTGAGGGTGAAACATGGGGATGGGTGGTAGATCCTTCACAAATGGTTAAATACTATCTCCTTAATGCAGTCTGTGTGATAGTGAGTTCTCATGATAAATGAATGCTGTCCTGCTGGGTTTTGGACTCGGATTGGGCCTGTGTCCCATTTGTGTTATTTTTCTGGGAAAATCTTCCCTTTGGTTTGAGAAAGCTTACCCAGTGCCTGTGCCATCATTGTAACTTGAAAGAAAAGAATTGTCTTTTACATTCAGGAACTCATAGGCAGAAGAGATTGCAGCCTTCTCTTGGTTGAGACTTGAATTTACTACATTTGAGTTACTGCTGGAGTGAGTTAAGACATTTTGAAACTTTTGAAAATGCATGTTTGTATTTTTTTGTGTGAGAAGGACATGAGATGTGGGGGTGTCAGGGTCAGAGTAATATGGTTTGGCTGTGTTTCCCTACAAATCTCATGGGGAATTGTAATCCTGACTGTTGTAGGTGGGGCCTAGTGGGAGGCGATTTAACCACAAAGGGCAGAGTGGTAGGGGTGAAGAGAAAACAAGTGGGTAGGGTGGGGAGGAATAGGCTGGCAGTAGCGTGGTGAGAGGGTGGTGGACCGTAGGAAGGGGGAGTAGCCTGCTGCCGAGGCAGAGCTCATGGAAAACCTCTAAACAAGGGCAGTGCACCTGTGGCTTTGAAGGCTTTAGCCCCCATGTTTGCTCTCATGGGTTGGGCTGGTGTTGAGTGCCTGTAGCTTTTCCATACTGAGAGTACAAGCTGCTGGTGGGTCTATGAATCTGGGGTCTGGAGGTTGGTGACCTCCTGTGTGGGGCCTCCAGGCCCATATATTTTTTCTGCACTGCCGTAGCAGAGGTTTTCCTAGTGGCTCTGCCTCTGCCTGAGGCTTCTGCCTGGAAACAGTGGGGGGTGGGGATGGTAGGGGGCAGATCTTTCACCAATGGTTAAGCAACATCTTCTTGATGCTGACCTTGTGATAGTGAGTTCTCAGGAAATCTGGTTGTATAACAGGTTTATACAACATGTGGCACCTTTTTCCTCTCTCTGTCTTGTTTCTACTTCTGCCATATAAAACATCCCATTACTGCTTGGTCTTCTGGTATGATTGGGAGGCTTCCTGAGTCCTCCCAGAGGCAGAAGCCTCTAGGAATTATTTAAAGCTTACAGAACCATGATCTAGTCCAACCTTTTTTCTTTCTGATTATACAGAAATTTAGTGCTGTGAAGTGGAGCTATGAAATGCCTTCAAGGCCTTTTCCTTATTGTCTTGGTAATCAGCACTCAGCTTCTTTTCACAGAAATGTCTGAAGTCTGCATTAGTTTTTCTCCTGAAATGGACTTTTCTTCTTTTACCACATTGCCAGGCTGTGACAAATGTAGCTGAAAATGTAGAAGCAGGTTGAGAAGTGTGTAATGGCCAGAGGTTGGAGGGTTTGGAGGTCTTGGAAGAAGACAGGAAGATGAGGAAAAGTTTGGATCAGTGTAGAGACTTGTCAAATAGTTGTAATTAAAAAGGTGACAGAAGGATGGACAGTGATCACCAGGCTTAGAAGGTCTCACATGAAAATGAGGAGCTTGCTGGGAACTGGAGCCAAGGTCACTTTTGTTTTTTCCTTAGCAAAGAACGTTGCTGCACGATGCCCTTAACGTGGAGACGTGTGAAATTTTGAACATCAGGGTGATAATTTAGAGTGTATCTGGTGGAAGGAAATTTTAGGCAGCAAAGCTTAAGAGGTGTCCTGTCTGTGTCGAACAGCCTGTGGTCGTATATGTGACCAGAGAAATGACCTCATGGTGAAACATATTTAAAAGTTTGGAAAATTTGCAGCCTGGACAAGTGGTCAAAAAAAAAGAAAAGCTGATTGTCAGTGAGAAAGTTCAAGAAGTCTTCAGAAATTTGCATAAAATGGAGTTCAGTGCTAATAGCCAATACAGTGTTAAAAAGGCCCTGAAGGCATTTCAGAGACTTTTGTAGCAGCCCTTGCTATCACAGGCCCTGAGGCCTGGGAGAAAAGAATGGTTTCCTTCTCCAGCACCATGGCCCAGCTGCTGTGTCCATCCTCAGGACACTGCTGGCTGAATTCCTGAAGCTCCAGCTCCAGCCATGGCTGAAAGATGCACAGGTACAGCTTGGGTCACAGCTTCAGAGGGAGCAAGTTGCAGGCTTTGGTGCTTCCACGTAGTGTTAAGCCAGTAGGTGTGCAGAGCACAAAACTGGAGGCTGGGGATCCTTTGTCTAGACTCCAGAGTACATATGGAAAAACCTGGGTGTCCAGGTCAAAATTTTCCAAGACGCAGAGCCTCCTTTACTAGGGCAGTACAGAAGGAACATATAGGGTTGGAACTCCCATACAGGGAGGCACCATTCTGCAAATGCCAGATTCAGACTCTCTAACAGCTTGCACCCTCATTGTGGAAAAGCTGCAGGTACTCAACACCAGCCCAGCCCATGAGAGCCACTGTGGAGGTTAGACCTTGCAAAGCCACAGGTGCAGAGCTGCCCAAGGCCTTGGGAGCCCAGGCCTCATACCCTTGTGCTCTGGATGTGGGATCTGGATTAAAAAAAATGATTTGGAGCTGTAAGATTCAATGACTCTCCTGCTGGGTTTTTGACTTGCATGGTGTCTGTAAGTCTCAACTGTGTTTTGTGCTTCTTTCTGGCAATTTTTTTCCTTTTGGCTGGGAATATTTACCCAATGCCTGTACAATCATTGTACCTTGGAAGTAGTTAACTTGCTTTGTATTTCAGAGGCTCATGGGCAGAAGGGACTGCAGCCTTGTCTCAGAAGAGACTTTGGGCTTTGGACATTTCAGTAAATGCTGGAATGAGTGAAGACATTGGGAAAGTGTAGAGAAGGCATCATTGTATTTTGTAGTGTGAGAAGATCGTGAGATATGGGGGCCAGGGTCATAATAATATGATTTGGTTCTGCATCCCTACCAAAATCATGTGGAATTATAATGGGGAATGTTAAAAATGGGACCTGGTGTGAGGTGATTTAATCATGGAGAAGCATGGGGTTTGGAGGTAGGGGAGTGGGGTGAATAGGGGAGATTATTTTGTGGGTGGGAGTGAAAGATGAGGGTGGGGGGCAGATCTTTCACAAATGGATAAACACACTCTCCTTAATGCTGTTCACCTGATAGTGAGTTCTCTTGATGATTTTGGAGCTGAGAGATTGAGTGAATACTGTCCTGCTGGGTTATGGATTTGCATTGGGCCTGTGGGCCCATTTGTGTTATTTTTCTGGGAAATTTCTTCCCTTTGGACTGAGAAAGCTTACACAACGCCTGTACCATCATTGTACCTTGTAAGAAAATAACTCCGTTTTAAATTCAGGGACTCATAAACAGAAAAGACTGTGGCGTGGTCTCAGATGAGACTGAATTTTTTACATTTGGAATGAGTTAAGATTTTGCAAACTTTTGAAAAGTCATGATGGTATTTTGCTCTGTGATAAGGACATGAGATTCTGGAATATCGGGGTCAGAATTACATGGTTTGCCTGAGTGTCCCTATGAAACTCATGTGGAATTGTAATCCCTAATGTTGAAGCAGGTGACTTAATTATGGACAGGAGGTTGTTGGCAGTGAAAGGTAAAAAGGATGGGTAGGATTGGGAGGAGTGGGTTAGCAGTAGGGTGGTGGGAGGGTGGGGGGTAGTAGGAAGGGGGAGTAGACTGCTGCAGAGGCAAAGCCTCGTGGGAAACCTCTACTAGGGCAGTGCACCTGTGGCTTTGCAGGTTTTAACCCCTCCGCTGTTCTCGTGGGCTGGGCTGGTACTGAGGGCCTGTAGCTTTTCCACACTAAGGGTGTGAGTTGTTGGTGGGTCTATGAATCTGGGATCTGGAAGTTGGTGGCCACATATGTGGGGGCTCCAAGCCCATATTTTCTTTCTGCACTTCCATAATAGAGGTTTTCCAAGAGGCTCTGCATCTGAAGGAGGCTTCTGCCTGGAAACAGTGGGAGCTGGGGGTGGGGGGCCGATCCTTCACCAATGTTTAAGCACCATCTTCTAGATGCTGACCTTGTGATAATGAGTTCTCATGAGATCTGCTTGTAAAATGGGGCATGACAACTTTTTCCTTTCTCTGTCTTGCTCCTACTCTTCCCGTATGAGACATCTCCTTGCCCCTTGACATTCTGGTATGATTGGGAGGCTTCCTGAGTCCTGTCAGATGCAGAAGCCACTATGCTTCCTTACAGCCTGCAGAATCATTACCCTATTAAACCTCTTTTCTTTATGATCATGGAGAAAATTATTACTGCAAAGTGGAACTGTTAAATGTCTTCAAGGCCTTCTCCCTAATGTCTTGGCAATCAGCAATGGGCTTCTTTTTATTCAAGTATCTGAAGCCTCCTTGAATTTTTCCCTGAAAATGGGCTTGTCTTCCTTTACCACATTGCCAGGGCAGGGAAAAGATAGCTGATAATGTAGAAGCAGGTTCAGAAGGGGGTAGCAGATGGAGTTCGGGAGAGTTTGGAGGACTTCAAAGACAGGGAGATGAGGGAAAGTTTGGATCTTTGTAAAGAGTTGTTAAATACTTGTGATCAGAAGGCTCACAGGAAAATAGACAGTAAGGATCAGATTCAGAAGCTCTCGGATGAAAATGAGGAACTTACTGCAAACAGGAGCCAAGGTTACTTTTGTTTTGCTGTAGCAAAGAACGTGGATGCACAGTGACCCTGCCCTGGAGATCTGTGAAACTTTGAACTTGAGGGTGATGACCTACTGCGTATCTGATGGAATGAACTTCTGGGTCGCAAAGCTGAAAGGGTGTCCTGTCTGTATCAAAAAGCCCGTGCCCTTATGTGTGACCGAGGAAATGACATCTGGATGGGTCTTACATTAAATCACTCCCAACTCTTATATTAAATGAGAAACAGAACTCAACAATTTGCAGCCTGGCCAAATGGTCAAAAAGAAAAGCTGATTTCCAGGGGAAAACTGAGGAAGGCTTCAGAAATTTGCATGAAAAGGAGCCCAGTGCTAATAGCCAAGACAATAGGGAAAAGGCCTTGAAGCCATTTCAGAAACCTTTGCAGCAGCCCTTGCTATCATAGGCCCTGGGGCCTCGGAGAGAAGAATGGTTTCCTGGGCCAGTTGCATAACCCCTGTCTGTGTGCAGCCTCAGGACACTGCTGCCTGCATCCCTGCAGATCCAACTCCAGCCATAGCTGAAAGATGCACAGGTACAACTTGCATCACTGCTTCAGGAGTGCAAGCTCCAAGCCTTGGTGGCTTCCACATAGTGTTAAGCCAGCAGCTGCACATAGGACAAAACTAGAGGCTTGGAAGCCTGCATCTAGACTCCAGAGTATGTATGGAAAAACCTGGGTGTTCAGGCAGAACCTTTTCCAAGAGGCAGAGCCTCATGGGAAACCTTTACTAGGGCAGTACAGAAGGAGAATACAAGGCTGGAGTCCCTAAATATGGAGGCACCATTCTCCAGACCCCAGATTCATAGACCCACCAACAGCTGGCCTTTCCAACCTTAGTGTGGAAAAGCTACAGGCACTCAACACCAGCCCAGCCTGTGAGGGCACCCATGGGGGATAGACCCTGCACAGCCACAGGTGCAGAGCTGCCCAAGGCCTTGGGAGCCCAGCCATGACACGCCTGTGCTCTGGATGTGAGATGTCCATTCAGAAAAGATGATTTGGAGCTGTAGGATTCAATGACTGGCCTGCTGGGTTTTTGACTTGTATGGGGTCTGTAAATCCTTGGACATTTCAGTAAATGCTGGAATGAGTTAAGTCATTGGGGGACAGTAGAGAAGTCATCATTGTATTTTGCAGTGTGACAAGAATAGAAGATTTGGGGAGCAAGAGCCAGAATAATATGATTTGATTCTGTGTCTCTACCAATATTCATGTGGAATTGTAGTAGGGAATGTTAAAGGTGGGACCTGGTGGGAGGTGATTTAATCACGGAGAAGAGCGGGTGTTGGAGGTAGGGGTGTGGGGATAATGGGAGAGATTATTTTGTGGGTGGGAGTGAAAGATGAGGGTGGGAGGGCAGATCCTTCACAAACGGGTAAACGCTATGTCCTTAATGCTGTCCGCATGATAGTGAGTTCCCTTGATGATTTTTGAGCTGTGAGATTGAGTGAATACTGTCCTGCTGGGTTTTGGACTTGCATTTGGCCTGTGGTCCCAGTTGTGTTTTCTGCGAAATTTCTTCCCTTTGGATTGAGAAAGATTACACAACGCCTGTACCATCATTGTACCTTGAAAGAAAAGAAATCTCTTTTAAATTCAGGAACTCATAGGCAGAAGGGACAGTAGCCTTGTCTCAGATGAGACTTTGAACTTTTTACACTTGGAATGAGTTAAGGCTGTTGGAACTTTTGAAAAGGCATGATTGTATTTTGCTCTGAGTTAAGGACATGAGATTCTGGAATATCAGGGTCAGAATAATATGGTTTGGCTGTGTGTCCCTATAAAAATTCAGGTGGAATTGTAATTCCAAATGTTGAAGGTGGGGCCTGGGGGAGATGATTTAATCATGGATTGGAGGTGGTTGGGGGTGGAAAGAAAAGGGTTGTGACCGCATGAGTTGTAGAGAAACGCCACACTATGAGACGACTTCAGGAGACCTTTATTGAGAGCAACTGAGAGACTGCTAGTGCTCAAAATTCTCTTGGCCCAGAAGAAGGGGCTAGATTTTCTTTTATACTTTGGTTTAGAGAGGGGAGGGGGAGCCTAGCTGAAGGAATCTCACAGCAGCAAAACAGGCAAAAAAGTTAAAAAGATAAATGGCTACAGGAAAACAAACCGTTCCAGGTGCAGGGGCTTTAAATCCATCCAAAGGTGATAGATGTGGGGGCTTTGGGTGCTATCAACTGGACACAAATGCAGGGCTTTTGGGTACTATCAACCGGGTGAATTCCTGGGAACTGTGGATATAGCTTGCCAGAGTATCTTATCAGTAATTGAATTCTTTGATGTGCTGGGAGTCAGCTTGCACAAGTTAAGTCCTTGAGGAAGAGGGGTGGGTAAGGGGCTGCAAGTGAAGGAGCCAAGATGGAGTCTGTCTGGCTCTCTCAGCTAAGGGAGAGTCGACCAGGTTAAAACAAGGTAGGGTATCACAAAAGGGTTGGTTAGGGTGGGGAGGAGTAGGCTGGCAGTAGAATGGTGGGAGGGTGGGGGATAGTAGGAATCGGGAGTAGCCTGCTGCAGAGGCAAAGCCTCATGGAAAACCTCTACTAGGGCAGTGCACCTGTGGCTTTGCAGGATTTAGCCCCTGCAGCTGCTCTCACGGGCTGGGCTGTTGTTGAGTGCCTGTCGCTTTTCCACAGAGAGTGTGAGCTGTTGGTAGGTCTATGAATCTGGGGTCTGGAGGTTGGTGGCCATCTGCATGGGGGCTTCAAGCCCATATTTTCCTTCCACACTTCCCTGGTAGAGGTTTTCCAAGAGGCTCTGCCTGTCCAGCAGGTTTCTGTTTGGAAACAGTGGGAGTTGAGGGTGGGTGGTTGTTCCTTCATCAATGTTTAAGCACCATCTTCATGATGCCGACCTTGTGATAGTGAGTTCTCATGAGATCTGGTTGTATAATAGGGTGTGGCCCTCTCTCCTCTGTCTGTCTTGTGCCTACGCCTGCCACATGAATCATCTCATCGCCCCTGGACATTCTGGTATGATTGGGAGGCTTCCTGAGTCCTCCCAGATTCAGAAGCCATTATGTTTCCTTATGGCCTGCAGAATCATGAGCCAATTAAACTTCTTTTCTTTATGATCATAGAGAAAATTATTAGTGCAAAGTGGAACTATTAAATGTCATTGTCTTGCAAATCAGCACTCAGCTTCTTTTCATTCAAGTATGTGAAGGCTTCATGAATTTTCCCCCTGAAAATGGACTTGTTTTCCTTTACCACATTGCCAGGCTGTGGCAAAGATAGTGATAATGTAGAAGCAGGTTCAGAAGGGAGTAGCGGACAGAGGTCGGGAGAGTTTGGAGGGCTTCAAAGACAAGAAGATGAATGAAAGTTTGGATCTTTGTAAAGAATTGTTAAACACTTGTGATCAGAAGGCTCACAGGAAAATGGTCAGTGAAAGCCCGACTTAGAAGGTCTCAGATGAAAATGAAGCACTTCCTGGGAACAGAAGTCAGGGTTACTTTTGTTACCTTAGCAAAGAACGTGGCTGCACGGTGACCTCGCCGTGGAGATCTCTGAAACTTTGAACATGAGGGTGATGATTTACTGAATATCTGGTGGAATGAACTGGGCAGCAAAGCTCAAGAGGTGTCCTGTCTGCATCGAACAGCCTGTGCTCTTATGTGTGATGGAGGAAATGACCTCTGGATGAGACTTACAGTAAATGAGTCCCAACTCTTACATTACATGAGAAACAGAACTCAAAAGTTTGGAAAATTTGTAGCCTGGCCATGTGGTCAAAAAGAAAAGCTGATTTTCAGGGGGAAAATTGAGGAAGGCTTCAGAAACTTGCATGAAAAGGAGCCCAGTGCTATTAGACAAGACAATAGGGAAAAGGCCTTGAAGGAATTTCAGAGACTTTTGCAGCAGCCCTTGCTGTTAGAGGCCCTGGGGCCTAGGAGAGAAGAATGGTTTCCTGGGCGAGTTCCATGACCCACCTCTGTGTGCAGCCTCAGGACACTGCTTCCTGTATCCCTGCAGCTCCAGCTCCAGCTCCAGCTCCAGCTCCAGCCATGACTGAAAGATGCACAGGTACAGCTTGGGTCACTGCTATAGAGGGTGCCACCTAGAAGCCTTGGTAACTTCCTCATAATGTTCAGCCACTGGTGGACGGAGCATGAGAATAGAGGCTTGGGAACCTCTCTATAGATTTTAGATGTATGGAAATGCCTGGGTGTCCAGGCAAAAGCATCCCAAAAAGGCAGAGCCTTATATGAAACTTCTACTAGGGCAGTGCAGAAGGAAAACATGGGGTTGGAGCCTCCACACTGGAGGCCACCATCCTGCAGACCCCAGATTCATAGACCCCCAACAACTAGTATCCTTAGTGGGGAAAAGTCACAGTCACTCAACACCAGCCGAGCCCCTGAGGGCAGCCGTGGGGCATAAACCCTTCAAAGCCACAGGTGCCAAGCTGCCCAAGGCCTTTGGAGCCCAGCCCTCACACCCCTGTGCCCTGGATGTGGGACAGGGTTTCAAAAAGGGTGGTTTTGGAGCTGTAGGATGGAATGACTGGCCTTCTGGGTTTGGAGTTTCATGGGGCAGGTAAGTCCTGTGTGTGTTTTGTTTTTTCTGGCAAAATTCTTCCTTTTGGCTGGGAATGCTTACCCAATGCCTGTACAAGCATTGTACCTTGGAAGTAGTTAGCTTGCTTTATATTTCAGAGGCCCATGGTCCTAAGCAACTGTCGCCTTGTGCCAGATGTGACTTTAAGCTTTGAACATGTGTATAAATGCTGTAATGATATAAGATTTTTGGAGACTGTAGGGAAGGCATCATTATATTTTGCAATGTGAGAAGGACATGAGATTTGGGGAGCCAGGGACAGAATAATAAAATTCAGCTCTGTGTCTCTACCAAAACTTATGTGGAATTGTCATCGGAATGTTAAAAGTGGTGCCTCGTGGAAGGTGATTTAATCAGGGTGGAGAGTGGGGGTTGGAAGATGGGGTGTAGGGAGAATGGGGGATTTATGGTACGGGTAAGGAGTGAAAATTGGGGGTGGGGGGCGGATCCTTCACAAATAATTAAACACTCTCCTTATTGCTGTCTTTGTGATAGTGAGTTCTCTTCATGATTTTGGAGCTGTAAGGTTTAATGGGTACTGGACTTCTGGCTTTCGGACTTGTATTGGGTCTGTGGTCCCATTTGTGTTTTCTTCCTGGGAAATTTCTTCCCTTTGGATTGAAAAAGCTCACCCAAAGCCTGTACCATTATTGTACCTTGAAAGAAAAGAACATCCTTTTAAATTCAGAGACTCATAGGCAAAATGTGCTGTAGACTTGTCTCAGATGAGATGTTGATTTTTTTACATTTGAGTTAATGTTGGAATGAGTTAAGTCTTCGGAAACTTTTGAAAAGGCATGAATATATTTTGCTCTGTGAGAAAGGCATGAGACTGTGGGGATCAGCGTCAGAATAATATGATTTGGCTATGTTTCCTTACCAAAACTCATGTGAATTGTAATCCTTAATGTTGGAGGTGGGGCCTGGCTGGAGGTGATTTAATCATGGATGGGAGGGGGCCGGGGGTGCAAGGAAAAGAGGTGGGTAGGGTGAGAAGTAGGTTGTTAGTAGGGTGGTGAGAGGGTGGTGGGTAGCAGGAAGGGGATTAGCCTGCTGCAGAGGCAGAGGCTCATGGAAATTCTCTACTAGGGTAGAACACCTGTGGCTTTGCAGGGTGTAGCCCCTATGGATGCTCTCGTGGGCTGGGCTGGTGTTGAGTTCCTGTAGGTTTTCCACTCAGAGAGTGCAAGCTGTTGGTGGGTCTATGAATCTGCAGTCTGGAGGATGGTGGCCTCCTGTGTGGGGGCTCCAAGCCCATATTTTCCTTCTGCACTGCACTCGTAGAGTTTCTCCAAGAAGTTCTGCCTCTGCAGGAGGCTTCTGCCTGGAAACAGTAGGCGGTGGTGTGGGAGGATCCTTCACCATTGGTTAATCTTCCTGATGCTGATCTCCTGATAGTGAGTTCTCATGAGATCTGGTTGTATAAACTGGTGTGGCACCTCTTTCCTCTCTGTGTCGTCTTCCTACTCCTGCCATATGGAACATCTCATTGTCACTTGGCCTTTTGCTATGATTGTGAGGCTCCCTGAGTCCTCCCAGAAGCAGAAACCACTTGCTGCCTTTACAGCCTGCAGAAACATGAGCCAATTAAACCTCTTTTAAAAATAATATTACAGAAAATTTGTACTGTAGAGTGGAGCTATGAAATGCCATCAAGGTGTTTTCCTCTTTTTTTTTTACTATTAGCATTTGGCTTCTTTTATATGGAAATATCTGAAGCCTTCTTGAAATTTCCCCCTGAAAATGGACTTTTCTTCTTTTACCACATTGCCAGGCTGCCACAACGGTAGCTGAAAATATAGAAGCAGATTCAGAAGTGGGTAACGACCGGAGGCTGCACAGTTTGGGGGGCTTGGAAGAAGACAGAAAGATAAGGGAAAATTTGGACTCTTGTAGAGACGTGTTAAATTAAAAGGGTGAGCATAGAGACTTGTTACATAGCCATAATTAAAAGAGTGACTGAAGGATGGACAGTGAAGGCCAGGCTTAGAAGGTCTCAGATGAAAATGAGCAACTTACTGGGAACAGGAGTCAAGGTTACTTTTGTTTTGCCTTAGCAAAGAACTTGGCTGGATGGTGTCCCTGCCCTGGAGACCTCTGAAACTTTGAACTTGGGGGTGATGATTTAGGGTATGTCTGGTGAAATGAAGTAGGCAGCAAAGCTCAAGAGGTGTCTTGTCTGTTTTGAACAGCCTGTGGTCTTCTGTGTGACTATATATAAATGACCTCAAGTTGAAAGTTATATTTAAATGAGAAGCAGGGCTTAAAAGTTTGGAAAATTTGCAGCCTGGCCAAGTGGTCAAAAAGAAAAGCTGATTTTCAGTGGGAAAATTCAAGAAGGCTTCAGAAATTTTCATAAAATGGAGCCCAGTGCTAATAGCTAAGACAATGTTTAAAAGGCCTTGAAGTCATTTCAGAGACCTTTGCAGCAGAGCTTGCTGTCACAGGCCCTGAGTTCTAGGACCGAAGAATGCTTTTCTCGGTGAGTCCCATGGTCACGCTGCTGTGTCCATCCTCAGGACACTGCTGCCTGCATCCCTGAAGCTCCAGCTCCAGCTCCAGCCATGGCTGAAAGATGCACAGATACAGCTTGCGTCACTGCTTCAGGGGTGCAAGCTTCAAACCTTGGTGGCTTCCACATAGTACTAAGCCAGCAGGTGCACAGAGCACAAAACTAGAGGCTTGGGAGCCTTTGTCTAGACGCCAGAGTATGTACGGGAAAACCTGAGTGTTGAGGCAGAAGCTTTTCCAAGAGGCAGAGCCTCATGGGAAAACTTTACTAGAGCAGTACAGAAGGAACATATAGGGTTGCAGCCCCCAAAGAGGAATGCACTATTTTCCAGACCCCAGATTCATAGACCCGCCAACTGCTGGCATCCTGAGTGTGGAAAAGCCAAAGGCACTCAACACCAGCCCAGCCCATGAGGGCACCTGTGGGGGATAGACCCTTCACAGCCACAGATCCTGAGCTGCCCAAGGCCTTGGGAGCCCAGCCGTCCACCCCCGTGCTCCAGATGTGGGATATAGATTCAGAAAAGATGACTTGGGAGCTGTAGGAATCAATGACTGGCTTGCTGGGTTTTTGACTTGCATGGGGTCTGTAAGTCCCATCTGTGTTTTGTGTTTCTTTCTGACAAATTTTTTCCTTTTGGGTGGGAATGCTTAACCAACGCCTGTACAATCATTGCGCCTTGGAAGTAGTAAACTTACTTTATATATAATTCAGTGGCTCATGGTCAGAAGGGACTGTAGACTTGTCTCAGATGAGACTCTGGGCTTTGGGCATTTGAGCAAATGCTGGAATGAGTTAAGATTTGAGAGACTCTAGGGAAGGCATCATTGCATTTTGCAATGTGAGAAAGACATGAACATTGGGGGACCAGGGACAGAATAATATGTTTTGGCTCTCTGTCTCTACCAAAGCTCATGTGGAATGTTAATGGGAAATGTTAAATGTGGGGGCTGGTGGAAGGTGATTTAATCATGATGGAGAGAGGAGGTTGGATGGTTGGGGGTCGGGGAGGGTTGGGGGTGATTGGGTGGTGAGGAGGGTTGGAGGGGATTGTGGTGGGGTTGGGGGTATAAGGCAGGGTGGGGTTGCATCCTTCACAAACGGTTAAACACCATCTCCTTAATGCCGTCCTTCTGATAGTGAGTTCTCTTCATGATTTTGGAGCTGTGAGATTGAATGAACACTGACCTGTGGGATTTTGGATGTCCATTGGGCCTGTGGTCCCATTTGTGTTATTTTTCTTGGAAATTTCTTCCCTTTGGATTGAGAGAGCTTACCCAATACCTGTACCATCATTGTACCTTGAAAGAAATGAACACATTTTTAACTTCAGGGACTCATAGGCAGAAGAGACTGTAGCCTTGTCTCAGATGAGACTTTGAACTTTTTACATTTGAGTTAATGCGGGAATGAGTTAAGGCTTTTGGAAACTTTGAAAAGGCACAATTGTATTTTCTTCTGTGAGAAGGATATGAGATTTGGGGGGGGGTCAAGGTCAGCATAATAAGATTTGGCTGTGTGCCCCTGGAAAATCTCATGTGGAATTGTAATCCCAAATGTTGGAGTTGGGGCCTGGTGGGAGATTATTTAATCATGGGTGGGAGGGTTAGGGGTGGAAGAAAAAAGGGGTGGGTAGGGTGGGGAAGAGTAGGCTGGCTGTAGGGTGGTGGGAGGGTGGTGGGTAGTAGGAAGGGGGAGCAGCCTGCTGCAGAGGCAGCGGCTCATGGAAAACCTCTACCAGGGCACTGCGCCTGTGGCTTTGCAGGCTTTAGCCCCCATGGCTGCTCTCATGGGCTGGGCTGCTGTTGAGTGCCTATCACTTTTCCATACTGAGGGTGTGAACTTTTGGTAGGTCTATGAATCAGGGATCTAGAGGATGATGGCCTTCTGCATAGTCACTCAAAGCCCTTATTTTCCTTGTGCACTGCCATAGTACAGGATTTCCAAGAGCCTCTGCCTCTGCAGCAGGTTTCTGTCTGGAACGGTAGGGGGTGGAGATGTGTTGGGGGGTGGATCCTTCACCAATGGTTAAGCACCATCTTCTTGATGCTGTCCTAGTGATAGTGAGTTCTCATGAGATCTGGTTATAGGATGGTGTGGCACCTCTTTCCTCTCTCAGCCTTGCTCCTACTCCTGCTTAATGAAACATTTCATTGCTGTTTTCCTACTGGTATGATTGGGAGGCTTCCTGAGTCCTCCCAGAAGCAGAAGCCACTATGCTTTATTTACAGCCTGCAGAACCGTGAGCCAATTAAACCCCTTTTCATTATGATCATAAAGAAAATAAAGTACTGCGAAATGGAGCTATGAAATATCTTCAATGACATTTCCCCATCGTCTTGGCTATTAGCACTGGACTTCTTTTTAATGCAAATATCTGAAGGCTTCTTGAAGTTTCCCCCTGAAAATGGACTTCTTTTTCTTCTGCATTGCCAGGCTGCAACAAAGATAGCTGAAAATGTAAAGCAGGTTCAGAAGTGGGTAACAGCCAGAGGTTGGAGAGTCTGGAGATCTTGAAAGAAGACAGGAAGATGAAGGAAAGTTTGGATCATTGTGGGCACTTGTCAAATAGTTGTGATTAAAAGGCTGGCAGAAGGATGGAAGTGAAGGCCAGTCTTACAAGGTCCCAGATGAAAATGAGGGACTTACTGGGAATGGGAGCCAAGGTTAAGTTTTGTTTTGCTGTAGCAAAGAACATGGCTGCACGGCGACCTTGCCCTCAAGATCTGTGAAACTTTGAACTCGAGGGTGATGATTTAGTGCATATCTGGTGGAATGAACTTCTAGGCAGCATAGCACAATGGGAGGGGGTGTCTGCATCAAACAGCCTGTGCTCTCATGTGTGACCGAGGTTGTGTGTGACCGAGGAAATGACCTCAAGTTGGAAGTTACATGTAAATGACAAGCAGAGCTCAAAAGTTTGGAACATCTGCAACCTGGCCAAGTGGTCAAAAAGAAAAGCTGATTTTCAGCGGGAAAATTCATGAAGTCTCCAGAAATTTGCTTTAAATGGAGGCCAGTGCTAATAGCCAAGACAATGGGGGAAAAAGCCTTGGAGGCATTTCAGAGATGTTTGCAGCAACACTTGCTGTCAGGCCCTGGGTCCTAGGAGAGATGAGTGGTTTCCTGGGCCAGCCCTGTGACCCTGCTGCTGTGTGCAGCCTCAGGACACTGCTGCCTGCATCCCGGCAGCCCCAGCTCCTGCTCCGATCTTGGCTGAAAGATGCACAGGTACAGATTGCATCACTGCTTCAGAGGGTACAGGCCATAAGGCTTCATGGCTTCCACATAGTGTTAAGCCAGTGAACACACAGAGCACTAGCCCAGAGGCTTCGGAGCCTTTATATAGATTTCAGAAGATGTATGAAAATGCCTGGGTGTCCAGACAGAAGGCTGCCAAAAAAGCAGAGCCTCCTGGGAAACCTCTACTAGGGCAGTGCAGAAAGAAAATACGGGGTTGGAGCCCTCACACTGGATGCCAGCATCATGCAGACCCCAGATTTATAGACCCACCAAGAATTTTGTACCCTCTGTGAGTAGAAACTACAGGCAGTAAACACCAGCACAGCCCATGAGGGCAGCTGTGGGGACTGAACACTGTGAAGCCACAGGTAGAGAAATGCCCAAGGCCTTGGGAACCCCGCCCTCATACCCTTGTGTCCTGGATGTGGGACAAGGATTAAAAAAGGATGACTTTGGAGCTGTAGGTTTGAATAACTGGCCGGCTGGGTTTTGGATTTTCATGGGACCTGTAAGTCGTGTTTGTGTTTTGTGCTTCTCTCTGGCAAAAATCTTCCTTTTGGTTGGGAATTCTTACTTAATGTCTGAACAATCATACCTTGGAAGTAGTTAACTTGCTTTGCTTTTCAGAGGCTCAGGAGCAGAAGGGACTGCATCTTTGTCTCAGATGAGACTTTGGGCTTCAGACATTTAAGTAAATGCTGGAAATGGTTAAGGCCTTGGGGGTCTTAGCCAAGACGATTGGGAAAAGTCATTGAAGGCATTTCATAGCTTCACTTCACAGTACTAATTTTCTGTATGATCATAACAAAAAGGGGTTTGATTGGCTCATGGTTCTGCAGGCTGTAAAAATAAAGCATAGTGGCTTGAGGAATGGTAAGTAAGGCATCATTGTATTTTGCAAAGTGAGAAGGACATGAGATTTGTGGGGCAGGGACAGAATAATAAGATTTGGCTGTGTTTCCCTATGGAAACTCATGTGGAATTGTAATCAGAAATGTTAAAAGTGGGACCAGGTGAAAGGTGATTTAATCGTGGAGGGCACTGGGTGTTGGAAGGTGTAGATTGGGGAGAATGGGTGGATTATGGTGGGGGTGAGGGGTGAAAACTGGGGGTGGGAGGAGGATCCCTCCCAAATAGTTAAACACCATCTCCTTAGTCCTTTCCTCATGATGGTGAGTTCTCGTGATGATTTTGGAGCCGTGAGATTGAGTGGATACTGGCCTCCTGGGTTTTGGACTTGCATTGGCCCTGTGATCCCATTTGTGTTGTTTTCCTGGCAGACCTCTCCCCTTTGGATTGAGAAAACTTACCCAATGCCTGTACCATCATTGTACCTTGAAAGAAAAGAACGCTCTTTTAAATTCAGGAACTTATAGGCAAAAGGAATTGTAGCCTTTTCTCAGGTGAGACGTTGTACTTTTTACGTTTGAGTTAATGCTGAAATGACTTAAGACTTTCGGCAACTTTTGAAAAGGCCTGATTGTATTTTACTCTGTGAGAAGGATATGATATTCAGGGGATCAGGATCAGAATAATATGGTTTAGCTGTGTGTCCCTACCTAAACTCACATGTAATTGTAATCCCGAATGTTGCAGGTGGGGCGTGGTGGGAGGTGATTTATTCATGGATGGGAGACGGGTGGGGTTGGAATTAAAAACTGGTGGGTAAGGTGGGGAGGGGTAAGCTGGCTGTAGGGTGGTGTGTAGCAGAAGGGGAGTAGCATGCCGCAGAGGCAGAGGCTCATGGAAAAACTCTCCTAATGCAGTGCACCTGTGGCTTTGCAGGGTTTAGCACCTGTAGCTGCTCTCATGGGCTGGGCTGATGTTGAATGCCTGTCGCTTTTCCATAATGGGCGTGTGAGCTGTTGGTGGGTCTATGACTCTTGGGTCTGGAGGATGGTGGCATGGGGGCTCCAAGCCCATATTTTCCTTCTGCACTGCCGTAGTAGAGGTTTTCCAAGAGGATCTGCCTCTGCCTCAGGCTTCTGCTTGGAAACAGTGGGTGGTGGATATGGGATAGTGGGCGGATCCTTCACCAACAGTGAAGCACCATCTTCTTGATGCTGATCTCCTGATACTGAGCTCTCATGAGATCTAGTTGTATAACAGGATGTCGCACCTCTTTCCTCTCTCTGTTCTGCTTCTACTCCTGCCATACGAAACATTTCATTGCTGCTTGGCCTTCTGGTATAATTGGGAGGCTTCCTGAGTCCTCCTATAAGCAAAAACCACTGTTCTTTCTTACAGCCTGAAGAACTGTGAGTCAATTACACCTCTTTTCTTTATGTAGATACAGAAAATTAATGTTGTGAAGTAAAGCTATGAAATGACTTCTAGGCCTTTCCCCTAATCTCTTGGCTATTAGCACTGAGCTTTCTTCAATGCAGATATTGGAGGCCATCTTGGTGTTTCCCCCTGATAATGGACTTTTCTTCTTTTACCACATTGCCAGGCTGCAACAAAGATAGCTGACAGTGTAGAAGCAGATTCCAAATTGGGTAATGGCCAGAGGTTCGAGAGTTTGGAGAGCTTGGAAGAAGACAGGAAGATGAGGGAAAGTTTGGACCGTTGCAGAGACTTGTTAAATAGTTGTGATTAAAAGGCTGACAGAAGGATGGACAGTGAAGGCCAGGTTTGTAAGGTCTCAGATGAAAATGAGGAACTTACTGGGAACAGGAGCCAAGGTTTTTTTATTTTGCCTTAGCAAAGTAATTGGCTACACAGTGACCCTTCCCGGGAGATCTGTGAAACTGAACTTGAGGATGATGATTTAAGGTGTATCTGGTGGAATGAACTTATAAGCAGCAAAGCTCAAGAGTTGTCCTGCCTACATCGAACAGCCTGTGCTCCTGTGTGTGATCAAAGAAATGACCATAAGTTGGAACTTATATTTAAGTGAGAAGCAGAGATTCAACATTTGGGAAATTTGTAATCTGGTCAAAAAGAAAAGCTGATTTTCAAGGGGAAAATCAAGAAGGCCTTGGATATTTGCATAAAAAGGATCCTAGTGCTAATAATTCAAGACAATGGGAAAGAGGCCTTGAAGGAATTTCAGAGACCTTTGTAGCAGACCTTGTTGTCACGGGCCCTGGGGCTTAGGAGAAAAGAATAGTTTCCTGGCCCAGCCCCATGGCTCCACTGCTGTGTGCAGCCTCAGGACACTGCTGCCTGCATCCCTGGAGCTCCATCTCCAGCTCCAGCCATGGATGAAAGATGCACAGGTACAGCTTGTGTCACTGCTTCAGAAGATGCAAGCTCCAAGCCTTGGTGGCTTCCACATGGTGTTAAGCCAGCAGGTGCATAAAACACAGGACTAGAAGCTTCAGAGCCTTCATCTAGACTCCAGTGGATATATTGGAAAGCCTGAGTGTCCAGCCAGAAGCTTTTCCAAGAGGCAGAGCCTCATGGTAAACCTCTACTGGGGCAGTACAGAAGGAGAGTATAGGGTTGAAGTCCCTATACAGGGAGCCACCATTTTCCAGACCCCAGTTTCATAGACCCACCAACTGCTTGCACCCTCAGTGTTGAAAAGCTACAGGCACTCAACACCAGCCTAGCCAATGAGGGCAGCTGTGGGGGAAAGATTCTGCAATGCCACAGGTGCAGAGCTGCCCAAGGCCTTGGGATCCCAGCTGTCACACCACCCTGTGCTCTGGATGTGGACATAGATGCCAAAAAATTGATTTGGAGCTGTATGATGGAATGACTGCCCTGCTGGGTTTTTGACTTGTGGGGGGTTTGTAAGTCCCATCTGTGTTTTGTGCTTCTTTCTGGCCAATTTCTTCTCTTTGGCTGGGAGGGCTTACCCAATGCCTGTACAACCATTGTACCTTGGAAGTGGTTAACTTGCTTTGTATTTCAGAGGCTCGGGGCAAAAGATATGGCAGCCTTGTCTCAGAAGAGACTTTGGGCTTTGGACATTTGAGTAAATGCTGGGATGAGTTAAGACTTGGGGGACTCTAGGGAAGGCATCATTGCATTTTGCAATGTGAGAAACACATGAACTTTGGGGGACCAGGACAGAATAATATGTTTTGGCTCTGTGTCTCTGCCAAAACTCATGTGGAATTTTAATGGGAAATGTTAAAGGTGGGGGCTGGTGGAAGGTGATTTAATCATGGTGGAGAGTGGAGGTTGGATGGTTGGGAGGGTGGGGAGGGTTGGGGTGATTGTGGTGGTGGGGAGGTGGGGGATTGGGGGGTGGGGAGGTTGGGGGGATTGTGGTGGGGTTGGGGGTGAAAGGGAGTGGTGGGGGCGGATCCTTCACAAATAGACATTTGAGTAAACGCTGGAATGAGTTCAGACATTGGAGTACTGTAAAGAATGCATCATTGTATTTTGCAATATGAGACGGACATGAGATTGGGGGCCAAAGGGAGAATAATATGGTTTGGCTCTGTGTCCCTACCAAAATTCCTGTGGGATTGTAATGGGGAATGTTAAATGTGGGGCTTGGTGGAACGTGATTTAATCATGGTAGAGAATGGGGGTTGGAAGGGGGATGTGGGAGAATGGAGGTTCATGGTGTGGGTGAGGATGAAACATGGGGATGGGTGGCAGATCCTTCACAAATGGTTAAATACTATCTCCTTAATGCAGTCTGTGTGATAGTGAGTTCTCATGATAAATGAATGCTGTCCTGCTGGGTTTTAGACTCGGATTGGGCCTGTGTCCCATTTGTGTTATTTTTCTGGGAAAATCTTCCCTTTGGTTTGAGAAAGCTTACCCAGTGCCTGTGCCATCATTGTAACTTGAAAGAAAAGAATTGTCTTTTACATTCAGGAACTCATAGGCAGAAGGGATTGCAGCCTTCTCTTGGTTGAGACTTGAACTTACTACATTTGAGTTACTGCTGGAGTGAGTTAAGACTTTTCAAAACTTTTGAAAATGCATGTTTGTATTTTTCTGTGTGAGAAGGACATGAGATTTGGGGGTGTCAGGGTCAGAATAATATGGTTTGGCTGTGTTTCCCTACAAAATCTCATGCGGAATTGTATTCCTGACTGTTGTAGGTCGAGCCTGGTGGGAGGTAATTTAATCACAAACGGCAGAGTGGTAGGGGTGGAAGGGAAAACAAGTGGGTAGTGTGGGGAGGAGTAGGCTGGCAGTAGGGTGGTGAGATGCTGGTGGGCAGTAGAAAGGGGGAGTAGCCTGCTGCAGAAGCAAAGGCTCATGGAAAGCCTCTATACCAGGGCAGTGCACCTGTGGCTTTGCAGGCTTTAGCACCCATGGTTGCTCTCATGGGCTGGGCTGGTGTTGAGTGCCTGTAGCTTTTCCATACTGAGAGTGCAAGCTGCTGGTGGGTCTATGAATCTGGGGTCTGGAGGTTGGTAACCTCCTGTGTGGGGCCTCCAAGCCCATATATTTTTTCTGTACTGCCCTAGTAGAAGTTTTCCTAGTGGCTCTGCCTCTGCTTCATGCTTCTGCCTGGAAACAGTGGGGGGTAGGGGTGGTAGGGGGCAGATCTTTCACCAATGGTTAAGCAACATCTTCTTGATGCTGACCTTGTGATAGTGAGTTCTCAGGAAATCTGGTTGTATAACAGGTTTATACAACATGTGGCACCCTTTTCCTCTCTCTGTCTTGTTTCTACTTCTGCCATATAAAACATCCCATTACTGCTTGGTCTTCTGGTATGATTGGGAGGCTTCCTGAGTCCTCCCAGAGGCAGAAGCCTCTAGGATTTATTTAAAGCTTGCAGAACCATGAACCAGTTCAACCTCTTTTCTTTCTGATTATACATAAATTTAGTGCTGTGAAGTGGAGCTATGAAATGCCTTCAAGGCCTTTTCATTATTGTCTTGGTAATCAGCACTCAGCTCCTTTTCAGGCAAATGTCTGAAGCCTGCATTAATTTTTCTCCTGAAATGGACTTTTCTTCTTTTACCACATTGCCAGGCTGTGACAAATGTAGCTGAAAATGTAGAAGCAGGTTGAGAAGTGTGTAATGGCCAGAGGTTGGAGAGTTTGGAGGTCTTGGAAGAAGACAGGAAGATGAGGAAAAGTTTGGATCAGTGTAGAGACTTGTCAAATAGTTGTAATTAAAAAGGTGACAGAAGGATGGATAGTGATTACCAGGCTTAGAAGTTCTCACATGAAAATGAGGAGCTTGCTGGGAACAGGAGCCAAGGTCGCTTTTGTTTTTTCCTTAGCAAAGAACGTTGCTGCACGATGCCCTTAACGTGGAGACGTGTGAAATTTTGAACATCAGGGTGATAATTTAGAGTGTATCTGGTGGAAGGAAATTTTAGGCAGCAAAGCTTAAGAGGTGTCCTGTCTGTGTCGAACAGCCTGTGGTCGTATATGTGACCAGAGAAATGACCTCATGGTGAAACATATTTAAAAGTTTGGAAAATTTGCAGCCTGGACAAGTGGTCAAAAAGAAAAGCTGATTGTCAGTGAGAAAGTTCAAGAAGTCTTCAGAAATTTGCATAAAATGGAGTTCAGTGCTAATAGCCAATACAGTGTTAAAAAGGCCTTGAAGGTATTTCAGAGACTTTTGTAGCAGCCCTTGCTATCACAGGCCCTGAGGCCTGGGAGAAAAGAATGGTTTCCTTCTCCAGCACCATGGCCCAGCTGCTGTGTCCATCCTCAGGACACTGCTGGCTGCATTTCTGAAGCTCCAGCTCCAGCCATGGCTGAAAGATGGACAGGTACAGCTTGGTCACTGCTTCAGAGGGCACAAGCTGCAGGCTTTGGTGGCTTCCACATAGTGTTAAGCCAGCAGGTGTGAAGAGCACAAAACTGGAGGCTGGGGATCCTTTGTCTAGACTCCAGAGTACATATGGAGAAACCTGGGTGTCCAGGTCAAAATTTTCCAAGAAACAGAGCCTTCTTTACTAGGGCAGTACAGAAGAAACATATAGGGCTGGAACCCCCATACAGGGAGGCACCATTCTGCAAATGCCAGATTCATAGACTCTCTAACAGCTTGCACCCTCATTGTGGAAAAGCTGCAGGTACTCAACACCAGCCCAGCCCATGAGAGCCACTGTGGAGGTTAGACCTTGCAAAGCCACAGGTGCAGAGCTGCCCAAGGCCTTGGGAGCCCAGCCATGACATGCCTGTGCTCTGGATGTGAGATGTCCATTCAGAAAAGATGATTTGGAGCTGTAGGATTCAATGACTGGCCTGCTGCGTTTTTGACTCGTACGGGGTCTGTAAGTCCTTGGACATTTCAGTAAATGCTGGAATGAGTTAAGTCATTGGGGGACAGTAGAGAAGTCATCAGTGTATTTTGCAGTGTGACAGGGAAAGAAGATTAGGGGAGCAAGAGCCAGAATAATATGATTTGATTCTGTGTCTCTACCAATATTCATGTGGAATTGTAGTGGGGAATGTTAAAGGTGGGACCTGGCGGGAGGTGATTTAATCATGGAGAAGAGTGGGTTTAGGAGGTAGGGGTGTGGGGATAATGGGAGAGATTATTTTGTGGGTGGGAGTGAAAGATGAGGGTGGGAGGGCAGATTCTTCACAAATGGGTAAACACTATCTCCTTAATGCTGTCTGCATGATAGTGAGTTCTCATGATGATTTTTGAGCTGTGAGATAGAGTGAATACTGTCCTGCTGTTTTTTGGACTTCCATTTGGCCTGAGGTCCCATATCTGTTTTCTGCGAAATTTCTTCCCTTTGGATTGAGAGAGCTTACACAACGCCTGTACCATCATTGTACCTTGAAAGAAAAGAAATCTCTTTTAAATTCAGGAACTCATAGACAGAAGGGATGATGGTATTTTGCTCTGTGATAAGGACATGAGATTCTGGGACATCCGGGTCAGAATAATACGGTTTGGCTGTGTGTCCCTATAAAAATTCAGGTGGAATTGTAATTCCAAATGTTGAAGGTGGGGCCTGGGGGAGATGATTTAATCATGGATTGGAGGTGGTCGGGGGTGGAAGGAAAAGGGTTGTAACCGAGTGAGTTGTAGAGAAACGCCACACTATGAGACGAATTCAGGGGACATTTATTGCCGGCAACTGAGAGACCACTAGTGCTCAAAATTCTCTTGGCCCGGAAGAAGAGGCTAGATTTTCTTTTATATTTTGGTTTAGAAAGGGGGAGGTGGAGCCTAGCTGAAGGACTCTCACAGCAGCAAAACAGGCAAAAAAGTTAAAAAGATAAATGGCTACAGGAAAGCAAACAGTTCCAGTTTCAGGGGCTTTAAATCCATCAAAAGGTGAGAGATGTGGGGGCTTTGGATGCTGTCAACTGGACACAAATGCAGGGGTTTTGGGTACTATCAACCGGGCCAATTCCTGGGAACTGTGGATATAGCTTGCCAGAGTATCTTGTCAGTAATTGAATTCTTTGATGTGCTGGGATTCAGCTTGCACAAGTTAAGTCGTTGAGGAAGGGGGGTGGGTAAGGGGCTGCAAGTGAAGGAGCCAAGATGGAGTCTGTCTGGCCCTCTCAGTTAAGGGAGAGTCAACCAGGTTGAAACAAGGTAGGGTATCACAAATGGGTTGGTTAGGTTGGGGAGGAGTAGGCTGGCAGTAGAATGGTGGGAGGTTGGGGGGTAGTAAGAAGGGGGAGTAGCGTGCTGTAGAGGCAAAGCCTCATGGGAAACCTCTACTAGGATAGTGCACCTGTAGCTTTGCAGGGTTTAGCTCCTGCATCTGCTCTCATGGGCTGGGCTTTTGTTGAGTGCCTGTAGCTTTTCCACAGTGGGTGTGAGCTTTTGGTGGGTCTATGAATCTGGGGTCTGGAGGTTGGTGGCCATCTGCATGGGGGCTTCAAGCCCATATTTTCCTTCCACACTTCCCTGGTAGAGGTTTTCCAAGAGGCTCTGCCTGTGCGGCAGGCTTCTGTTTGGAAACAGTGGGAGTTGGGGGTGGGTTGTTTTTCCTTCATCAATGTTTAGGTACCATGTTCATGATGCTGACCTTGTGATAGTGAGTTCTCATGAGATCTGGTTGTATAATAGGGTGTGGCCCCCTTTCGTCTCTCTGTCTTGTGCCTACGCCTGCCACATGAATCACCTCATTGCCCCTGGACATTCTGATATGATTGGGAGGCTTCCTGAGTCCTTCCAGATTCAGAAGCCATTATGTTTCCTTATGGCCTGCAGAATCATGAGCCAATTAAACCTCTTTTCTTTATGATCATAGAGAAAATTAGTGGAGCAAAGTGGAACTATTAAATGTCAATGTCTTGCAAATCAGCACTCAGCTTCTTTTCATTCAAGTATGTGAAGGCTTCATGAATTTTCCCCCTGAAAATGGACTTGTCTTCCTTTACCACATTGCCAGGCTGTGGCAAAAATAGTGATAATGTAGAAGCAGGTTCAGAAGGGAGTAGCGGACAGAGGTTGGGAGAGTTTGGAGGGCTTCAAAGACAAGAAGATGAATGAAAGTTTGGATCTTTGTAAAGAATTGTTAAACACTTGTGATCAGAAGGCTCACAGGAAAATGGTCAGTGAAAGCCCGACTTAGAAGGTCTCAGATGAAAATGAAGCACTTACTGGGAACAGAAGTCAAAGTTACTTTTGTTTCCTTAGCAAAGAACGTGGCTGCACAGTGACCTCGCCGTGGAGATCTCTGAAACTTTGAACATGAGGGTGATGATTTACTGAGTATCTGGTGGAATGAACTGGGCAGCAAAGCTCAAGAGGTGTCCTGTCTCCATCAAACAGCCTGTGCTCTTATGTCTGATGGAGAAAATGACCTCTGGATGAGACTTACAGTAAATGAGTCCCGACTCTTACATTACATGAGAAACAGAACTCAAAAGTTTGGCAAATTTGCAGCCCGGACATGTGGTCAAAAAGAAAAGCTGATTTTCAGGGGGAAAATTGAGGAAGGCTTCAGAAACTTGCATGAAAAGGAGCCCAGTGCTATTAGACAAGACAATAGGGAAAAGGCCTGGAAGGCATTTCAGAGAAGTTTGCAGCAGCCCTTGCTGTTAGAGGCCCTGGGGCCTAGGAGAGAAGAATGGTTTCCTGGGCGAGTTCCATGACCCCCCTCTGTGTGCAGCCTCAGGACACTGCTGCCTGCATCCCTGCAGCTCCAGCTCCAGCTCCAGCTCCAGTCATGATTGAAAAATGCACAGGTACAGCTTGGGTCACTGCTACAGAGCGTGCCGCCTAGAAGCCTTGGTAACTTCCTCATAGTGTTAAGCCACTGGTGGACGGAGCATGAGAATAGAGGCTTGGGAACCTCTCTATAGATTTTGGAAGATGTATGGAAATGCCTGGGTGTCCAGGCAAAAGCATCCCAAAAAGGCAGAGCCTTATATGAAACTTCTACTAGGGCAGTGCAGAAGGAAAACATGGGCTTGGAACGTCCACACTGGAGGCCACCATCCTGCAGACCCCAGATTCATAGACCCCCAACAACTTGCATCCTCAGTGGGGAAAAGTCACAGGCACTCAACACCAGCCAAGCCCCTGAGGGCAGCCTTGGGGCATAAACCCTGCAAAGCCACAGGTGCCAAGCTGCCCAAGGCCTTGGGAGCCCAGACCTCACACCCCTGTGCCATGGAGGTGGGACATAGTTTCAAAAAGGGTGATTTTGAAGCTGTAGGATTGAATGACTGGCCTTCTGGTTTGGAGTTTCTTGGGACCGGTAAGTCCTGTGTGTGTTTTGTTTTTTTCTGGCAAAATTATTCCTTTTGGCTGGGAATGCTTACCCAATGCCTGTGCAAGCATTGTGCCTTGGAAGTAGTTAATTTGCTTTATATTTCAGAGGCTCATGGGCCTAAGCGACCGTAGCCTTGTGTCAGATGAGACTTTAAACTTTGAACATTTGTATAAATGCTGTAATGATATAAGATTTTAGGAGACTGTAGGGAAGGCATCATTATATTTTGCAATGTGAGAAGGACATGTGATTTGGGGAGCCAGGGACAGAATAATAAAATTCAGCTCTGTGTCTCTACCAAAACTTATGTGGAATTATCATCGGAATGTTAAAGGTGGTGCCTGGTGGAAAGTGATTTAATCAGGGTGGAGAGTGGGGGTTGGAAGATGGGGCATAGGGAGAATGGGGGATTTATGGTGCGGGTGAGGAGTGAAAATTGGGGGTTGGGGGGCGGATGCTTCACAAATGATTAAACACTCTCCTTATTGTTGTCCTTGTGATAGTGAGTTCTCTTCATGATTTTGGAGCTGTAAGATTGAATGGATACTGGCCTTCTGGGTTTCGGACTTGTATTGGGTCTGTGGTCCCATTTGTGTTTTCTTCCTGGGAAATTCCTTCCCTTTGGATTGAAAAAGCTTACCCAAAGCCTGTACCATTATTGTACTTTGAAAGAAAAGAACATACTTTTAAATTCAGGGACTCATAGGCAAAAGGTACTGTAGACTTGTCTCAGATGAGATGTTGATTTTTTTACATTTGAGTTAATGTTGGAATGAGTTAAGACTTTTGGAAACTTTTAAAAAGGCATGAATATATTTTGCTCTGTGAGAAGGTCATGAGTCTGTGGGGATCAGGGTCAGAATAATATGATTTGGCTGTGTTTCTTTACCAAAACTCGTGTGAATTGTAATCCTTAGTGTTGGAGGTGGGGCCTGGCTGGAGGTGATTTAATCATGGATGGGAGGGGGCCGGAGGTGGAAGGAAAAGGGGTGGATAGGGTGAGGAGTAGATTGTTAGTAGGGTGGTGAGAGGGTGGTGGGTAGCAGGAAGGGGGAGTAGCCTGCTGCAGAGGCAGAGGCTCATGGAAATTCTCTGCTAGGGCAGAGCACCTGTGGCTTTGCAGGGTGTAGCCCCCATGGCTGCTCTCATGAGATGGGCTGGTATGGAGTGCCTGTAGCTTTTCCACGCAGAGAGTGCAAGCTGTTGGTGGGTCTATGAATCTGCAGTCTGGAGGATGGTGGCCTCCTGTGTGGGGGCTCCAAGCCCATATTTTCCTTCTGCACTGCACTCGTAGAGGTTCTCCATGAGGTTCTGCCTCTGCAGGAGGCTTCTGCCTGGAAACAGTAGGCGGTGGTGTGGTTGGATCTTTCAACATTGGTTAATCTTCCTGATGCTGATCTCCTGAGAGTGAGATCTCATGAGATCTGGTTGTATGACGTGGTGTGACACCTCTTTCCTCTCTGTGTCTTCTTCCTACTCCTGCCATATGGAACATCTCATTGTCACTTGGCCTTCTGGTATGATTGGGAGGCTCCCTGAGTCCTCCCAGAAGCAGAAACCACTTGCTGCCTTTACAGCCTGCAGAAACATGAGCCAATTAAACCTCTTTTAAAAATAATATTACAGAAAATTTGTACTGTAGAGTGGAGCTATGAAATGCCATCAAGGTGTTTTCCTCTTTTTTTTTTTTTTTACTATTAGCATTTGGCTTCTTTATATGGAAATATCTGAAGGCTTCTTGAATTTTCTCCCTGAAAATGGACTGTTCTTCTTTTACCACATTGCCAGGCTGCCACAACGGTAGCTGAAATTCGAGAAGCAGGTTCAGAAGTGGGTAACGACCGGAGGCTGCACAGTTTGGGGGGCTTGGAAGAAGACAGAAAGATGAGGGAAAATTTGGACTATTGTAGAGACGTGTTAAATTAAAAGGGTGAGAATAGAGACTTGTTACATAGCTATAATTAAAAGAGTGACTGAAGGATGGACAGTGAAGGCCAGGCTTAGAAGGTCTCAGATGAAAATGAGCAACTTACTGGGAACAGGAGTCAAGGTTACTTTTGTTTTGCCTTAGCAAAGAACTTGGCTGGATGGTGTCCCTGCCCTGGAGACCTCTGAAACTTTGAACTTGAGGGTGATGATTTAGGGTATATCTGGTGAAATGAAGTAGGCAGCAAAGCTCAATAGGTGTCTTGTCTGTTTTGAACAGCCTGTGGTCTTCTGTGTGACTATATATAAATGACCTCAAGTTGAAAGTTATATTTAAATGAGAAGCAGGGCTTAAAAGTCTGGAAAATTTGCAGCCTGGCCAGGTGTTAAAAAAGAAAAGCCGATTTTCAGTCGGAAAATTCAAGAAGGCTTCAGAAATTTTCATAAAATGGAGCCCAGTGCTAATAGCTAAGACAATGTTTAAAAGGTCTTGAAGCTATTTCAGAGACCTTTGCAGCAGAGCTTGCTGTCAGAGGCCCCGAGTTCTAGAACGCAAGAATGCTTTCCTGGGTCAGTCCCATGGGCGCGCTGCTGTGTCCGTCCTCAGGACACTGCTGCCTGCATCCCTGCAGCTCCAGCTCCAGCTCCAGCCATCGCTGAAAGATGCACAGGTACAGCTTGCATCACTGCTTCAGAGGTGCAAGCTTCAAACCTTGGTGGCTTCCACATAGTACTAAGCCAGCAGGTGCATAGAACACAAAAGTAGAGGCTTTGGAGCCTTTGTCTGGACTCCAGAGTATGTACGGGAACACCTGGGTGTTCAGGCAGAAGTTTTCCAAGAGGCAGAGCCTCATGGGAAACCTTTACTAGGGCAGTACAGAAGGAACATATAGGTTTGGAGCCCCCACACAGGAATGCACCATTTTCCAGACCCCAGATTCATAGACCCACCAACTGCTGGCACCCTCAGTGTGGACAAGCCACAGGCACTCAACACCTGCCCAGCCCATGAGGGCACCTGTGGGGGATAGACCCTTCACAGCCACAGATGCTGAGCTGCCCAAGGACTTGGGAGCCCAGCCATCCACCCCTGTGCTCCAGATGTGGAGTATAGATTCAGAAAAGATGATTTGGGGGTTGTAGGATTCAATGACTGGCTTGCTGTGTTTTTGAATTTCATGGGGTCTGTAAGTCCCATCTGTGTTTTGTGCTTCTTTCTGGCAAATTTTTTCCTTTTGTCTGGGAATGCTTACCCAACGCCTGTACAATCATTGCACCTTGGGAGTAGTAAACTTGCTTTATATATAATTCAGTGGCTCATGGTCAGGAGGGACTGTAGATTTGTCTCAGATGAGACTCTGGGCTTTGGGCGTATGAGTAAATGCTGGAATGAGTTAAGATTTGAGAGACTCTAGGGAAGGCATCATTGCATTTTGCAATGTGAGAAAGACATGAACATTGGGGGACCGGGGATAGAATAATATGTTTTGGCTCTCTGTGTCTACCAAAACTCATGTGGAATGTTAATGGGAAATGTTAAATGTGGGGGCTGGTGGAAGGTGATTTAATCATGTTGGAGAGAGGAGGTTGGATGGTTGGGGGTTGGGGAGGGTTGGGGGTGATTGGGTGGTGAGTAGGGTTGGAGCGATTGTGGTGGGGTTGGGGGTGTAAGGCAGGGGCTGGGGTGCATCCTTCACAAATGGTTAAACACCATCTCCTTAATGCCGTCCTTCTGATAGTGAGTTCTCTTCATGATTTTGGAGCTGTGAGATTGAATGAACACTGACCTGTGGGATTTTGGGTGTCCATTGGGCCTGTGGTCCCATTTGTGTTATTTTTCGTGGAAATTTCTTCCCTTTGGATTGAGAGAGCTTACCCAATACCTGTACCATCATTGTACCTTGAAAGAAATGAACACACTTTTAACTTCAGGGACTCATAGGCAGAAGAGACTGTGGCCTTGTCTCAGATGAGACTTTGAACTTTTTACATTTGAGTTAATGTGGGAATGAGTTAAGGCTTTTGGAAACTTTGAAAAGACACAATTGTATTTTCTTCTGTGAGAAGGATATGAGATTTGGGGGGGTCAAGGTCAGCATAATAAGATTTGGCTGTGTGTCCCTGGAAAATCTCATGTTGAATTGCAATCCCAAATGTTGGAGTTGGGGCCTGGTGGGAGATTATTTAATCATGGGTGGGAGGGTTAGGGGTGGAAGAAAAAAGGGGTGGGTAGGGTGGGGAAGAGTAGGCTGGCTGTAGGGTGGTGGGAGGGTGGTGGGTAGTAGGTAGGGGGAGTAGCCTGCTGCAGAGGCAGAGGCTCCTGGAAAACCTCTACCAGGGTAGTGCACCAGTGGCTTTGCAGGCTTTAGCCCCCATGGCTGCTCTCATGGGCTGGGCTGCTGTTGAGTGCCTATCACTTTTCCATACTGAGGGTGTGAACTTTTGGTAGGTCTATGAATCTGGGGTCTAGAGGATGGTGGGCTCCTGCATAGTCACTCAAAGCCCTTATTTTCCTTGTGCACTGCCATAGTACAGGATTTCCAGGAGCCTCTGCCTCTGCAGCAGGTTTCTGTCTGGAACGGTAGCCGGTGGAGATGTGTTGGGGGGTGGATCCTTCACCAATGGTTAAGCACCATCTTCTTGATGCTGACCTAGTGATAATGGGTTCTCATGAGATCTGGTTATAGGACGGTGTGGCACCTCTTTCCTCTCTCAGCCTTGCTCCTACTCCTGCTGTATGAAACATTTCATTGCTGTTTTCCTACTGGTATGATTGGGAGGCTTCCTGAGTCCTCCCAGAAGCAGAAGCCACTATGCTTTCTTTACAGCCTGCAGAACCATGAGCCAATTAAACCCCTTTTCATTATGATCATACAGAAAATAAAGTACTGCGAAGTGGAGCTATGAAATATCTTCAATGACATTTCCCCATCGTCTTGGCTATTAACATTGGACTTCTTTTAATGCAAATATCTGAAGGCTTCTTGAAGTTTCCCCCTGAAAATGGACTTCTTTTTCTTCTGCATTGCCAGGCTGCAACAAAGATAGCTGAAAATGTAAAGCAGGTTCAGAAGTGGGTAACAGCCAGAGGTTGGAGAGTCTGGAGATCTTGAAAGAAGACAGGAAGATGAAGGAAAGTTTGGACCATTGTGGGCACTTGTCAAATAGTTGTAATTAAAGGCTGGCAGAAGGATGGAAGTGAAGGCCAGGCTTACAAGGTCTCAGATGAAAATGAGGAACTTACTGGGAATGGGAGCCAAGGTTAAGTTTTGTTTTGCTTTAGCAAAGAACATGGCTGCAGGGCGACCTTGCCCTCAAGATCTGTGAAACTTTGAACTCAAGGGTGATGATTTAGTGCATATCTGGTGGAATGAACTTCTAGGCAGCGTAGCACAATGGGAGGGGGTGTCTGCATCAAACAGCCTGTGCTCTAATGTGTGACCGAGGTTATGTGTGACCGAGGAAATGACCTCAAGTTGGAAGTTATATGTAAATGACAAGCAGAGCTCAAAAGTTTGGAATATCTGCAGCCTGGCCAAGTGATCAAAAAGAGAAGCTGATTTTCAGGGGGAAAATTCATGAAGGCTCCAGAAATTTGCTTAAAATGGAGGCCAGTGCTAATAGCCAAGACAATGGGGGAAAAAGCCTTGGAGGCATTTCAGAGATGTTTGCAGCAGCACTTGCTGTCAGGCCCTGGGTCCTAGGAGAGATGAATGGTTTCCTGGGCCAGCCCTGTGACCCTGTTGCTGTGTGCAGCCTCAGGACACTGCTGCTTGCATCCCGGCAGCCCCAGCTCCTGCTCCGACCTTGGCTGAAAGATGCACAGGTACAGATTGCATCACTGCTTCAGAGGGTACAGGCCATAAGACTTCATGGCTTCCACATAGTGTTAAGCCAGTGAATGCACAGAGCACTAGTCCAGAGGCTTCGGAGCCTTCATGTAGATTTCGGAAGACATACGAAAATGCCTGGGTGTCCAGACAGAAGGCGCCAAAAAAGCAGAGCCTCCTGGGAAACCTCTACTAGGGCAGTGCAGAAGGAAAATATGGGGTTGGAGCCCCCACACTGGAGGCCAGCATCATGCAGACCCCAGATTCATAGACCCACCAAGAACTTTGTACCCCCTGTGGGTAAAAACTACAGGTAGTCAACACCAGCACAGCCCATGAGGGCAGCTGTGGGGACTGAACACTGCAAAGCCACAGGTAGAGAGCTGCCCAAGGCCTTGGGAACCCCGCCCTCATACCCTTGTGCCCTGGATGTGGGACAAGGATTAAAAAAGGATGACTTTGGAGCTGTAGGTTTGAATAACTGGCCGGCTGGGTTTTGGATTTTCATGGGACCTGTAAGTCCCGTTTGTGTTTTGTTCTTCTCTCTGGCAAAAATCTTCCTTTTGGTTGGGAATTCTTACTCAATGTCTGGACAATCATACCTTGGAAGCAGTTAACTTGCTTTGTATTTCCGAGGCTCAGGAGCAGAAGGGACTGCATCTTTGTCTTAGATGAGAGTTTGGGCTTCAGACATTTGAGTAAATGCTGGAATGAGTTAAGACCTTGGGGGTCTTAGCCAAGATGATGGGGAAAAGTCATTGAAGGCATTTCATAGCTTCACTTCACAGTACTAATTTTCTGTATGATCATACCAAAAAGGTGTTTAATTGGCTCATGATTCTGCAGGCTGTAAAAAAAAAGCACAGTGGCTTGGGGAATGGTACGTAAGGCATCATTGTATTTTGCAAAGTGAGAAGGACATGAGATTTGTGGGGCAGGGACAGAATAATAAGATTTGGCTGTGTGTCCCTATGGAAACTCATGTGGAATTGTAATCAGAAATGTTAAAAGTGGGACCAGGTGGAAGGTGATTTAATCATGGAGGGCACTGGGTGTTGGAAGGGGGGGATTGGGGAAAATGGGTAGATTATGGTGGGAGTGAGGGGTGAAAAGTGGGGGTGGGGGAGGATCCTTCACAAATGGTTAAACATCATCTCCTTAATCCTTTCCTCATGATGGTGAGTTCTCGTGATGGTTTTGGAGCTGTGAGATTGAATGGATACTGGCCTCCTGGGTTTTGGACTTGCATTGGCCCTGTCATCCCATTTGTGTTATTTTCCTGGCAAACATCTCCCCTTTGGATTGAGAAAACTTACCCAATGCCTGTACCATCATTGTACCTTGAAAGAAAAGAAATCCCTTTTAAATTCAGGAACTTATAGGCCAAAGGGTCTGTAGCCTTTTCTCAGGTGAGACGTTGAACTTTTTACATTTGAGTTAATGCTGAAATGACTTAAGACTTTCGGCAACTTTTGAAAAGGCATGATTGTATTTTAGTCTGTGAGACGGATATCATATTCGGGGGTTCAGGGTCAGAATAATATGGTTTAGCTGTGTCCCTACCTAAACTCACATGTAATTGTAATCCCGAATGTTGCATATGGGGCCTGGTGGGAGGTGATTTATTCATGGATTGGAGAGGGGTTGGATTGGAAGTAAAAACAGGTGGGCAAGTTGGGGAGGAGTAGGCTGGCTGTAGGGTTGTGTGTAGCAGGAGGGGAGTAGCCTGCCGCAGATGCAGAGGCTCATGGGAAAACTCTACTAAGGCAGTGCACCTGTGACTTTGCAGGGTTTAGCACCTGTAGCTGCTCTCATGGGCTGGGCTGGTGTTGAGTGCCTGTTGCTTTTCCATACATGGGGTGTGAGCTGTTGATGGGTCTGTGAATCTGGGTTCTGGAGGATGGTGGTATCCTACATGGGGTCTCCAAGCCCATAGTTTTCTTCTAAACAGCCATGGTAGAGGTTTTCCAAGAGGATCTGCCTCTGCCTCAGGCTTCTGCTTGGAAACAGTGGGTGGTAGATATGGGATAGTGGGCGGATCCTTTACCAACATTGAAGCACCATCTTCTTGATGCTGATCTCCTGATAGTGAGCTCTAATGAGATCTAGTTGTATAACAGGCTGTCGCACCTCTTTCCTCTCTCTGTCTTGCTTCTACTCCTGCCATATGAAACATTTCATTGCCGCTTGGCTTTCTGGTATGATTGGGAGGCTTCCTGAGTCCTACTATAAGCAGAAACCAGTATGCTTTCTTTATAGCCTGAAGAACTGTGAGTTAACTAACCTCTTTTTTTATGTACATACAGAAAATTAATGCTGCGAAGTGAAGCTATGAAATGACTTCTAGGCCTTCCCCCAATCTCTTGGCTATTAGCACTGAGCTTTTTCAATGCAAATATTGGAGGCCTTCTTGATGTTTCCCCCTGATGATGGACTTTTCTTCTTTTACCACATTGCCAGGCTACAAAAAAGATAGCTGACAGTGTAGAAGCAGGTTCTGAATTACATAATGGCCAGATGTTAGAGAGTTTGGAGAGCTTGGAAGAAAAGAGGAAGATGAGGGAAAGTTTTGACCATTGCAGAGACTTGTTAAATAGTTGTGATTAAAAGGCTAACATAAGGATGGACAGTGAAGGCCAGGTTTACAAGATCTCAGGTGAAAATGAAGGACTTACTGGGAAGAGGAGCCAAGGTTTTTTTGTTTTGCCTTAGCAAAGTAATTGACTACACAGTGACCCTTCCCGGGAGATCTGTGAAACTGAACTTGAGGGTGATGATTTAGAGTGTATCTGGTGGAATGAACTTCTAAGCAACAATGCTCAAGAGTTTTCCTGCCTACATTGAACAGCCTGTGCACCTATGTGTGATCAAAGAAATGACCATAAGTTGGAACTTATATTTAAAAGAGAAGCAGAGTTTAAACATATGGAAAATTTGTAATCTGCACAAGTGGTCAAAAAGAAAAGCTGATTTTCAGGGGGAAAGTCAAGAAGGCTTCAGATATTTGCATAAAAAGGATCCCAGTGCTAATAATTCAAGACAATGGGAAAAAGGCCTTGAAGGCATTTCAGTGACCTTTGTAGCAGCCCTTGCTGTCACTGGCCCTGGGGCCTAGGAGAAAAGAATAGTTTCCTGGCCCAGCCCCATGGCTCCACTGCTGTGTGCAGCCTCAGGACACTGCTGCCTGCATCCCTGCAGCTCCATCTCCAGCTCCAGCCATGGATGAAAGATGCACAGGTACAGCTTGCGTCACTGCTTCAGAGGATGCAAGCTCGAAGACTTGGTGGCTTCCACATGGTGTTAAGCCAGCAGGTGCATAAAGCAAGGACTAGAAGCTTCCGAGCCTTCATCTAGACTCCAGAGGATGTATCAGAAGGCTGATTGTCCAGCCAGAAGCTTTTTCAAGAGGCAGAGCCTCATGGTAAATCTATACTCAGGCAGTACACAAGCAGAGTATAGGGTTGGAGTCCCCATACAGGGAGGCACCATTTTCCATTCCCCAGTTTCATAGACCCACCAGCTGCTTGCACCCTTAGTGTTGAAAAGCTACAGGTACTCAACACCAGCCTAGTCAATGAGGGCAGCTGTAGGGGAAAGATTCTGCAATGCCACAGGTGCAGAGCTGCCCAAGGCCTTGGGATCCCAGCTGTCATATCACCCTGTGCTCTGGATGTGGACATAGATTCCAAAAAGATGATTTGGTTGTGTAGGATGGATGACTGGCCTGCTGGGCTTTTGACTTGCAGGGGGTTTATAAGTCCCATCTGTGTTTTGTGCTTCTTTCTGGCAAATTTCTTCTTTTTGGCTGGGAATGCTTCACCAATGCCTGTACAATCATTGTACCTTGGAAGTAGTTAATTTGCTGTGTATTTCAGAGTCTCAGGGCAGAAGAGACTGCAGCCTTGTCTAAGAAGAGACTGTGGGCTTTGGATATTTGAGTAAATGCTGGAATGAGTTAAGACTTGGGGGATTCTAGGGAAGGCATCGTTGCATTTTGCAATATGAAAAATACATGAGATTTGGGGGACCAGGGATAGAATAATATGTTTTGACTCTGTGTCTCTACCAAAACTCATGCGGAATTTTAATGGGAAATGTTAAAGGTGGGGGCTGGTGGAAGGTGATTTAATCATGTTGGAGCGTGGAGGGTGGATGCTGGGGGTGGTGGGGAGGGTTGGGGCTATAGGTGGGTGGGGAGGGTTGGGGTATTGTAGTACAGTTGTGGCTGAAAGGCAGGGGTGGGGGGTGGATCCTTCACAAATGGACATTTCAGTAAATGCTGGAATGAGTTCAGACATTGGGGGACCTTAGAGAACACATCATTATATTTTGCAGTAGAAGAAGGACATGAGATTGCGGACCAAGTGGAGAACAGTATGATTTGGCTCTGTGTCCCTTCCAAAACTCATCTGGAATTGTAATGGGGAATGTTAAATGTGGGGCTTGATAGAAGGTGATTTAATCATGGTAGAGAATGGGGGTTGGAAGGGGGATGTGGGAGAATGGGGGTGCAGGGTATGGGTGGGGGTGAAACGTTGGGATGGGCGGCAGATCCTTCACAAGTGATTAAATACTATCTCCTTAATGCAGTCTGTGTGATAGTGAGTTCTTATGATAAATGAATGCTGTCCTGCTGGGTTTTGGACTCGCATTGGGCCTGTGTCCCATTTGTGTTATTTTTCTGGGAAAAACTTCCCTTTTGTTTGAGAAAGCTTACCCAGTGCCTGTGCCATCATTGTAACTTGAAAGAAAAGAATTGTCTTTTACATTCAGGGACTCATAGGCAGAAGAGATTGCAACCTTGTCTTGGATGAGACTTGAACTTACTACATTTGAGTTACTGCTGGAATGAGTTAAGACCTTTTGAAACTTTTGAAAAGGTATGTTTGTATTTTTCTGTGTGAGAAGGACATGAGATTTGGGGGTGTCAGGGTCAGAAAAATATGGTTTGACTGTGTTTCCCTACAAAAACTCATGGGGAATTGTACTCCTGACTGTTGTAGGTGGGGCCTGGTGGGAGGTGATTTAATCACAAACGGGAGGTTGGTAGGGGTGGAAGGGAAAACAAGTGGGTAGGGTGGGGAGGAGTAGGCTGGCAGTAGGGTGGTGAGAGGGTGGTGGGCAGAAGGAAGAGGGAGTAGCCTGCTGCAGAGGCAGAGCCTCATGGAAAACCTCTACCAGGGCAGTGTGCCTGTGGCTTTGCAGGGTGTAGCCCCCATGGCTGCCCTCGTGGGCTGGGCTAGTGTTGAGTGCCTGTAGCTTTTCCATACTGAGAATGCAAGCTGTTGGTGGGTCTATGAATCTGGGGTCTGGAGGATGGTAACCTCCTGCGTTGGGCTTCCAAGCCCATATATTTTTTCTGCACTGCCGTAGTACAGGTTTTCCAAGAGGCTCTGCCTCTGCCTGAGGCTTCTGCCTGGAAACAGTGGGGTGTGGGGGTGGTAGGGGACAGATCTTTCACCAATGGTTAAGCAACATCTTCTTGATGCTGCCTCGTGGTAGTGAGATCTCAGGAAATCTGTTTGTATAACAGGGTTATACAATGTGTGGCACATTTTTCCTCTCTCTGTCTTGTTTCTACTTGTGCCATATAAAACTTCCCATTGCTGCTTGCTCTTCTGGTATGATTGGGAGGCTTCCTGAGTCCTCCCAGAGGCAGAAGCCTCTAGGATTTATTTAAAGCTTGCAGAACCATGAACCAGTTCAACCTCTTTTCTTTCTGATCATACAGAAATTTAGTGCTGTGAAGTGGAGCTATGAAATGCCTTCAAGGCCTTTTCCTTATTGTGTTGGTAATCAGCACTCAGCTCCTTTTCAGGCAAATGTCTGAAGCCTGCATTAATTTTTCTCCTGAAATGGACTTTTCTTCTGTTACCACATTGCCAGGCTGTGACACATGTAGCTGAAAATGTAGAAGCAGGTTGAGAAGTGTGTAATGGCCAGAGGTTGGAGAGTTTGGAGGTCTTGGAAGAAGACAGGAAGGTGAGGAAAAGTTTGGATCAGTGTAGAGACTTGTTAAATAGTTATAATTAAAAAGGTGACATAATGATGGACAGTGGCCACCAGGCTTACAAGGTCTCACATGAAAATATGTGACCAAAGAAATGACCTCAAGGTGAAACATATTTAAATGACAAGGAGAGCTTAAAAGTTTGGAAAATTTGCAGCCTGGCCAAGTGGTCAAAAAGAAAAGCTTATTATCAGTGGGAAAGTTCAAGAAGGCTTCAGAAATGTGCATAAAATGGAGTTCAGTGCTAATAGCCAATACAATGTTAAAAAGGCCTTGAAGGCATTTCAGAGACTTTTGCAGCAGCCCTTGCTATCACAGGCCCTGAGGCCTGGGAGAAAAGAATGGTTTCCTTCTCCAGCCCCATGGCCCCACTGCTATGTCCATCCTCAGGACACTGCTGGCTGGATTCCTGAAGCTCCAGCTCCAGCCATGGTTGAAAGATGCACAGGAACAGCTTGGGTCACTGCTTCAGAGGGTGCAAGCTGCAAGCCTTGGTGGCTTCCACATAGTGTTAAGCCAGCAGGTGCGCAGAGCACAAAACTGGAGGCTGGGAATCCTTTGTCTGGACTCCAGAGTATGTATGGAAAAACCTGGGTGTCCAGGTCGAAACTTTTCCAAGAGGCAGAGCCTCCTTTACTAGGGCAGTACAGAAGGAACATATAGGGTTGGGACCGCATACAGGGAGGCACCATTCTGCAAACCCCAGATTCATAGACTCACTAGCAGCTTGCACCCTCATTGTGGAAAAGCTATAGGTACTCAACAGCAGCCCAGCCCATCAGGGCAACTGTGGAGGTTAGACCCTGCAACGTCACAGGTGCAGAGCTGCCGAAGACCTTGGGAGCCCAGGACTCATACCCTTGTGCTCTGGATGTGGGATCTGGATTCAAAAAAAATGATTTGGAACTGTAGGATTCAATGACTGGCTGTTGGATTTTTAACTCCTATGGGGTTTGTAAGTCCCATCTGTGTTTTGTGCTTCTTTCTGGCAAATTTCTTCCTTTTGGCTGGGAATACTTACCCAATGCCTGCCTGTACAGTCATTGTACTTTGGAAGTAGTTAACTTGCTTTGTATTTCAGAGGCTCAGGTAGAACATATGGCAGCCTTGTCTCAGAAGAGACTTTGGGCTTTGGACATTTCAGTAAAAGCTGGAATGAGTTAAGAGATTGGGAAACTGTAGAGAAGTCATCATTGTATTTTGCAGTGTGAGAACAACATGAGATATGGGGGCCAGGGTCAGAATAATATGATTTGGTTCTGCATCCCTACCAAACTCATTTGTAATTGTAATGGGGAATGTTAAAGGTGGGGCCTGGTGGGAGGTGATTTAATCATGGAGAAGAAAGGGGGTTGGAGGTAGGGGAGTGGGGAGAATAGGGGAGATTATTTTGTGGGTGGGAGTGAAAGAAGAGATTGGGGGCAGATCCTTCACAAATGGATAAACACACTCTCCTTAATGCTGTTCACATGATAGTGAGTCCTCTTGATGATTTTGGAGCTGAGAGATTGAGTGAGTACTCTCCTGCTGGGTTATGGATTTGCATTGGGCCTGTGGGCCCATTTGTGTTATTTTTCTGGGAAATTTCTTCCTTTTGGACTGAGAAAGTTTACACAATGCCTGTACCATCATTGTACCTTGAAAGAAAAGAACTCCATTTTAAATTCAGGGACTCATAGGCAGAAGGGACTGTGGCCTTATCTGAGATGAGACTTTGAATTTTTTACATTTGGAATGAATTAAGACTTTTCAAACTTTTGAAGAGTCATGATGGTATTTTGCTCTGTGATAAGGACTTGAGATTCTGGAATATCAGAGTCAGAATTATATGGTTTGCCTGTGTGTCCCTATGAAACTCATATGGAATTGTAATCCCTAATGTTGAAGCAGGTGACTTAATTATGGACAGGAGGTTGGTGCTGCTGGAAGGTAAAAGGGATGGGTAGGATTGGGAGGAGTGGGTTGGCAGTAGGGTGGTGGGAGGGTGGGGTTAGAGGGAAGGGGGTGTAGCCTGCTGCAGAGGTAAAGCCTCATGGAAAACCTCCACTAGAGAAGTGCACCTGTGGCTTTGCAGGTTTAACCCATCAGCTGTTCTTGTGGGCTGGGCTGGTATTGAGGGCCTGTAGCTTTTCCACACTAAGGGCGTGAGTTGTTGGTGGGTCTATGAATCTGGGATCTGGAGGTTGGTAGCCACATGTGTGGGGGCTCCAAGCCCATATTTTCTTTCTGCACTTCCATAATAGAGGTTTTCCAAGAGGCTCTGCATCTGAAGGAGGCTTCTGCCTGGGAACAGTGGGAGTTGGGGATGGGGGGCAGATCCTTCACCAATGTTTAAGCACCATCTTCTAGATGCTGACCTTGTGATAGTGAGTTCTCATGAGATCTGCTTGTATAATCGGGCATGACAACTTTTTCCTTTCTCTGTCTTGTTCCTTCTCTTCCGATATGAGACATCTCCTTGCTCCTTGACATTCTGGTGTGATTGGGAGGCTTCCTGAGTCCTGTCAGGTGCAGAAGCCACTATGCTTCCTTACAGCCTGCAGAATCATTAACCTATTAAACCTCTTTTCTTTATGATCATGGAGAAAATTATTATGGCAAAATGGAACTGTTAAATGTCTTCAAGGCCTTCTCCCTAATGTCTTGGCAATCAGCACTCGGCTTCTTTTCATTCAACTATCTGAAGCCTCCTTGAATTTTTCCCCAGAAAATGGGCTTGTGTTCCTTTACCACACTGCCAGCCTGTGACAAAGATAGCTGATAATGTAGAAGCAGGTTCAGAAGGGGGTAGCAGATGGAGTTCGGGAGAGTTTGGAGGACTTCAAAGACAGGGAGATGAGGGAAAGTTTGGATCTTTGTAAAGAATTGTTAAATACTTGTGATCAGAAGACTCACAGGAAAATAGACAGTAAGGATCAGATTGAGAAGCTCTCAGATGCAAATGAGGAACTTACTGCAAACAGGAGCCAAGGTTACTTTTGTTTTGCTGTAGCAAAGGACGTGGATGCACAGTGACCCTGCCCTGGAGATCTGTGAAACTTTGAACTTGAGGGTGATGACTTACTGCGTATCTGATGGAATGAAGTTCTGGGCAGCAAAGCTGCAGTGGTGTCCTGTCTGTATCAAACAGCCTGTGCCCTTATGTGTGACTGAGGAAATGACATCTGGATGGGTCTTACATTAAATGAGTCCGAACTCTTATATTAAATGAGAAACAGAACTCAACAATTTGCTTCCTGGCCAAATGGTCAAAAAGAAAAGCTGATTTTCAGGGGAAAACTGAGGAAGGCTTCAGAAATTTGCATGGAAAGGAGCCCAGTGCTAATAGCCAAGACAATAGGGAAAAAGCCTTGAAGCCATTTCAGAAACCTTTGTAGCAGCCCTTGCTAATATAGGCCCTGGGGCCTAGGAGAGAGGAATGGTTTCCTGGGCCAGTTGCATAACCCCTGTCTGTGTGCAGCCTCAGGACACTGCTGCCTGCATCCCTGCAGCTCTAGTTCCAGCCAGGGCTGAAAGATGCACAGGTACAGCTTGCATCACACTTCAGGGGTGCAAGCTTCAAGCTTTGGTAGCTTCCACATAGTGTTAAGCCAGCAGGTGCACAGAGCACAAAACAAGAGGCTTGGGAGCCTTTGTCTAGACTCCATAGTATGTACGGAAAAACCTGGGTGTTCAGGCAGCAGCTTTTCCAAGAGGCAGAGCCTCATGGGAAACCTTTACTAGGACAGTACAGAAGGACAATATAGGGCTGGAGTCCCTAAATATGGAGGCACCATTCTCCAGACCCCAGATTCATATACCCACCAACAGCTGGCACACTGAGTGTGAAAAGCTACAGGCACTCAACACCAGCCCAGCCCATGAGGGCAGCTGTGGGGGATAGACCCTGCACAGCCACAGGTGCAGAGCTGCCCAAGGCCTTGGGAGCCCAGCCATGACACGCCTGTGCTCTGGATGTGAGACGTCCATTCAGAAAAGATGATTTGGAGCTGTAGGATTCAATGACTGGCCTGCTGGGTTTTTGACTTGTATGGGGTCTGTAAGTCCTTGGACATTTTAGTAAGTGCTGGAATGAGTTAAGTCATTGGGGGACAGTAGAGAAGTCATCAGTGTATTTTGCAGTTTGACAAGGATACAAGATTTGGGGAGCAAGAGCCAGAATAATATGATTTGATTCTGTGTCTCTACCAATACTCATGTGGAATTGTAGTAGGGAATGTTAAAGGTGGGACCTGGTGGGAGGTGATTTAATCACGGAGAAGAGTGGGTGTTGGAGGTAGGGGTGTGGGGATAATGGGAGAGATTATTTTGTGGGTGGGAGTGAAAGATGAGGGTGGGAGGGCAGATTCTTCACAAACGGGTAAACGCTATGTCCTTAATGCTGTCCGCATGATAGTGAGTTCTCTTGATGATTTTTGAGCTGTGAGATTGAGTGAATACTGTCCTGCTGGGTTTTGGACTTGCATTTGGCTTGTGGTCCCAGTTGTGTTTTCTGCGAAATTTCTTCCCTTTGGATTGAGAAAGCTTATACAACGCCTGTACCATCATTGTACCTCGAAAGAAAAGAAATCTCTTTTAAATTCAGGAACTCATAGGCAGAAGGGATAGTAGCCTTGTCTCAGATGAGACTTTGAACTTTTTACACTTGGAATGAGTTAAGGCTACTGGAACTTTTGAAAAGGCATGATTGTATTTTGCTCTGTGATAAGGACATGAGATTCTGGGATATCAGGGTCAGAATAATATGGTTTGGCTGTGTGTCCCTATAAAAATTCAGGTGGAATTGTAATTCCAAATGTTGAAGGTGGGGCCTGGGGGAAATGATTTAATCATGGATTGGAGGTGGTTGGGGGTGGAAGGAAAAGGGTTGTAACTGAGTGAGTTGTAGAGAAACCCCACACTATGAGACGAATTCAGGAGTCCTTTATTGCTGGTGACCGAGAGAGCGCTAGTGCTCAAACTTCTCTCGGCCCCTAAGAAGGGGCTAGATTTTCTTTTATACTTTGGTTTAGAAAGGGGAGGGGGAGCCTTGCTGAAGCAATCTTACAGAAGCAAAACAGGCAAAAAAGTTAAAAAGATAAATGGCTACAGGAAAACAAACACTTCCAGGTGCAGGGGCTTTAAATCCATCAAAAGGTGAGAGATGTGGGGCTTTGGGTGCTATCAACTGGACACAAATGTGGGGGTTTTAGGTACCATCAACAGGGTGAATTCCTGGGAACTGTGGATATAGCTTTCCACAGTATCTTGTCAGTATTTGCATTCTTTGATGTGCTGGGAGTCAGCTTGCACAGGTTATGTCCTTGAGGAAGGGGTGTGTGTAAGGGGCTGCAAGTGAAAGAGCCAAGATGGAGTCTGCCTGGCTCCCTCAGCTAAGGGAGAGTTGATCAGGTTAAAACAAGGTAGGGTATCACAAAAGGGTTGTTTAGGGTGGGGAGGAGTAGGCTGGCAGTAGAATGGTGGGCAGGTGGGGGATAGTAGGAATGGGGAGTAGCCTGCTGCAGAGGCAAAGCCTCATGGAAAACCTCTACTAGGGTAGTGCACCTGTGGCTTTGCAGGGTTGAGCCCCTGCAGCTGCTTTCATGGGCTGGGTTGGTGTTGAGGTTTGGAAAAGCCTGTAGCTTTTCCACAGAGGGTGTGAGCTGCTGGTGAGTCTATGAATCTGGGGTCTGGATGGTGGTGGCCCTCTGCGTGGGGGCTCCAAGCCCACTTTTTCCTTCCACACAGCACTAGTAGAGGTTTTCCAAGAGGTTCTGCCTCTGCAGCAGGCTTCTGTTTGGAAACAGTGGGAGGTGGGGGTGGGTGGTTGTTTCTTCATCAATATTTAAGCACCATCTTCATAATGCTGACCTTGTAATAGTGAGTTCTCATAAGATTTGGTTGTATAATAGGGTATAGTCCTCTTTCCTCTCTGTCTTGCACCTACTCCTGCCACATGAATCATCTCATTGCCCCTGGACATTCTGGCATGATTGGGAGGCTTCCTGAGTCCTCCCAGATTCAGAAGCCACTGTGTTTCCTTACAGCCTGCAGAATCATGAGCCAATTAAACCTCTTTTCTTTATGATCATAGAGAAAATTAGTGGTGCAAAGTGGAACTATTAAATGTCATTGTCTTGGCAATCAGCACTCAGCTTCTTTTCATTCAAGTATGTGAAGGCTTCATGAATTTTCCCCCTGAAAATGGACTTGTCTTCCTTTACCACATTGCCAGGCTGTGGCAAAGATAGTGATAATGTAGAAGCAGGTTCAGAAGGGAGTAGCGGACAGAGGTCGGGAGAGTTTGGAGGGCTTCAAAGACAAGAAGATGAATGAAAGTTTGGATCTTTGTAAAGAATTGTTAAACACTTGTGATCAGAAGGCTCACAGGAAAATGGTCAGTGAAAACCCGACTTAGAAGGTCTCAGATGAAAATGAAGCACTTACTGGGAACAGAAGTCAAAGTTACTTTTGTTTCCTTAGCAAAGAACGTGGCTGCATGGTGACTCGCCCTGGAGATCTCTGAAACTTTGAACTTGAGGGTGATGATTTACTGAGTATCTGGTGGAATGAACTGGGCAGCAAAGCTCAAGAGGTGTCCTGTCTCCATCGAACAGCCTGTGCTCTTATGTGTGATAGAGGAAATGACCTCTGGGTGGGACTTACATTAAATGAGTCCCAACCCTTATATTAAATGAGAAACAGAAGTCAAAAGTTTGGCAAATTTGCAGCCCGGACATGTGGTCAAAAAGAAAAGCTGATTTTCAGGGGGAAAATTGAGGAAGGCTTCAGAAACTTGCTTGAAAAGGAGTCCAGTGCTAATAGACAAGACAATAGGGAAAAGGCCTTGAAGGCATTTCAGAGACCTTTCCAGCAGCCCTTGCTGTTAGAGGCCCTGGGGCCTAGGAGAGAATGGTTTCCTGGGTGAGTTCCATGACCCCCCTCTGTGTGCAGCCTCAGGACACTGCTTCCTGCATCCCTGCAGCTCCAGCTCCAGCTCCAGCTCCAGCCATGACTGAAAGATGCACAGGTACAGCTTGGGTCACTGCTACAGAGGGTGCCGCCTAGAAGCCTTGGTAACTTCCTCATAGTGTTAAGCCACTGGTGGACGCAGCATGAGACTAGAGGCTTGGGAACCTTGCTATAGATTTTGGAAGATATATGGAAATGACTGGCTGTCCAGGCAAAAGCATCCCAAAAAGGCAGAGCCTTATATGAAACTTCTACTAGGGCAACACAGAAGGAAAATATGGTGTTGGAGCCCCCACACTGGAGGCCACCATCATGCAGACCCGAGATTCATAGACCCCCCAACAACTTGTATTCTCAGTGGGGAAAAGTCACAGGCACTCAACACCAGCCGAGCCCCTGAGGGCAGCCGTGGGGCATAAACCCTGCAAAGCCACAGGTGCCAAGCTGCCCAAGGCCTTGTGAGCCTAGCCCTCACACCCCTGTGCCCTGGATGTGGGACAAGGTTTCAAAAAGGCTGATTTTGGAGCTGTAGGATGGAATGACTGGCCTTCTGGGTTTGGAGTTTCATGGGGCCGGTAAGTCCTATCTGTGTTTTGTTGTTTTCTGGCAACATTCTTCCTTTTGGCTGGGAATGTTTACCCAATGTGTGTACAAGCATTGTACCTTGGAAGTAGTTAAGTTGCTTTATATTTCAGAGGCTCATGGGCCTAAGAAACTGTAGCCTTGTGTCAGATGAGACATTAAGCTTTGAACATTTGTATAAATGCTGTAATGATATAAGATTTTGGGGGACTGTAAGGAAGACATCATTGTATTTTGCAATGTGAGAAGGACATGAGATTTGGGGAGCCAGGGACAGAATAATAAAATTCAGCTCTGTGTCTCTACCAAAACTTATGTGGAATTGTCATCGGAATGTTAAAGGTGGTGCCTGGTGGAAAGTGATTTAATCAGGGTGGAGACTGGGGGTTGGAAGATGAGGCATAGGGGGAATGGGGGATTTATGGTGCGGGAGAGGAGTGAAAATTGGGGGTGGGGGGCGGATCCTTCACAAATGATTAAACACTCTCCTTATTGCTGTCCTTGTGATAGTGAGTTCTCTTCATGATTTTGGAGCTGTAAGATTGAATGGATACTGGCCTTCTGGGTTTCGGACTTGTATTGGGTCTGTGGTCCCATTTGTGTTTTCTTCCTGGGAAATTTCTTCCCTTTGGATTGAAAAAGCTTACCCAAAGCCTGTACCATTATTGTACTTTGAAAGAAAAGAACATACTTTTAAATTCAGGGACTCATAGGCAAAAGGTACTGTAGACTTGTCTCAGATGAGATGTTGATTTTTTTACATTTGAGTTAATGTTGGAATGAGTTAAGACTTTTGGAAACTTTTAAAAAGGCATGAATATATTTTGCTCTGTGAGAAGGTCATGAGTCTGTGGGGATCAGGGTCAGAATAATATGATTTGGCTGTGTTTCTTTACCAAAACTCGTGTGAATTGTAATCCTTAGTGTTGGAGGTGGGGCCTGGCTGGAGGTGATTTAATCATGGATGGGAGGGGGCCGGAGGTGGAAGGAAAAGGGGGGTAGGGTGAGGAGTAGATTGTTAGTAGGGTGGTGAGAGGGTGGTGGGTAGCAGGAAGGGGGAGTAGCCTGCTGCAGAGGCAGAGGCTCATGGAAATTCTCTGCTAGGGCAGTGCACCTGTGGCTTTGCAGGGTGTAGCCCCCATGGCTGCTCTCATGAGATGGGCTGGTATGGAGTGCCTGTAGCTTTTCCACGCAGAGAGTGCAAGCTGTTGGTGGGTCTATGAATCTGCAGTCTGGAGGATGGTGGCCTCCTGTGTGGGGGCTCCAAGCCCATATTTTCCTTCTGCACTGCACTCGTAGAGGTTCTCCATGAGGTTCTGCCTCTGCAGGAGGCTACTGCCTGGAAACAGTGGGGGGTGGTGCAGACGGATCCTTCACCATTGGTTAATCTTCCTGATGCTGATCTCCTGAGAGTGAGTTCTCATGAGATCTGGTAGTGTAACCGGGTGTGGCACCTCTTTCCTCTCTGTGTCTTCTTCCTACTCCTGCCATATGGAACATCTCATTGTCACTTGGCCTTCTGGTATGATTGAGAGGCTTCCTGAGTCCTCCCAGAAGCAGAAGCCACTTGCTGCCTTTACAGCCTGCAGAAACATGAGGCAGTTAAACCTCTTTTAAAAATAATATTATAGAAAATTTGTACTGTAGAGTGGAGCTATGAAATGCCATCAAGGTTTTTTCCTCTTTTTTTTTTTTTACTATTAGCATTTGGCTTCTTTTATATGCAAATATCTGAAAGCTTCTTGAATTTTCTCCCTGAAAATGGACTTTTCTTCTTTTACCACATTGCCAGGCTGCCACAACGGTAGCTGAAAATGTAGAAGCAGGTTCAGAAGTGGGTAAGGACCGGAGGCTGCACAGTTTGGGGGGCTTGGAAGAAGACAGAAAGATGAGGGAAAATTTGGACTCTTGTAGAGATGTGGTAAATTAAAAGGGTGAGCATAGAGACTTGTTACATAGCTATAATTAAAAGAGTGACTGAAGGATGGACAGTGAAGGCCAGGCTTAGAAGGTCTCAGATGAAAATGAGCAACTTACTGGGAACAGGAGTCAAGGTTACTTTTGTTTTGCCTTAGCAAAGAACTTGGCTGGATGGTGTCCCTGCCCTGGAGACCTCTGAAACTTTGAACTTGGGGGTGATGATTTAGGGTATATCTGGTGAAATGAAGTAGGCAGCAAAGCTCAAGAGGTGTTTTGTCTGTTTTGAACAGCCTGTGGTCTTCTGTGTGACTATATATAAATGACCTCAAGTTGAAAGTTATATTTAAATGAGAAGCAGGGCTTAAAAGTTTGGAAAATTTGCAGCCTGGCCAAGTGGTCAAAAAGAAAAGCTGATTTTCAGTGGGAAAATTCAAGAAGGCTTCAGAAATTTTCATAAAATGGAGCCCAGTGCTAATAGCTAAGACAATGTTTAAAAGGCCTTGAAGCCATTTCAGAGACCTTTGCAGCAGAGCTTGCTGTCAGAGTCCCCGAGTTCTAGGACCCAAGAATGCTTTCCTGGGTCAGTCCCATGGGCGCGCTGCTGTATCCGTCCTCAGGACACTGCTGCCTGCATCCCTGCAGCTCCAGCTCCAGCTCCAGCTCCAGCCATCGCTGAAAGATGCACAGGTACAGCTTGCATCACCGCTTCAGGTGTGCAAGCTTCAAACCTTGGTGGCTTCCACATAGCCAGCAGGTGCACAGAGCACAAAACTAGAGGCTTTGGAGCCTTTGTCTAGACTCCAGAGTATGTACGGGAACACCTGGGTGTTCAGGCAGAAGCTTTTCTAAGAGGCAGAGCCTCATGGGAAACCTTTACTGGGGCAGTACAGAAGGAACATATAGGGTTGGAGCCCCCAAACAGGAATGCACCATTTTCCAGACCCCAGATTCATGGACCCACCAACTGCTGGCACCCTCAGTGTGGAAAAGCCACAGGCACCCAACACCAGCCCAGCCCATGAGGGCACCTGTGGGGGATAGACCCAGCACAGCCACAGATGCTGAGCTGCCCAAGGCCTTGGGAGCCCAGCCATCCACTCCTGTGCTCCAGATGTGGGATACAGATTCAGAAAAGATGATTTGGGACCTGTAGGATTCAATGACTGGCCTGCTGGGTTTTTGACTTGCATGGGGTCTGTAAGTCCCGTCTGTGTTTTGTGCTTGTTTCTGGCAAATTTTTTCCTTTTGTCTGGGAATGCTTACCCAACGCCTGTACAATCATTGCACCTTGGAAGTAGTAAACTTGCTTTATATATAATTCAGTGGCTCATGGACAGAAGGACTGTAGACTTGTCTCAGATGAGACTCTGGGCTTTGGGCATTTCAGTAAATGCTGGAATGAGTTAAGACTTTGGGGGACTGTACAGAAGGCATCATTGTATTTTATAGTGTGATAAGGATATGAGGTTGGGGGGCACCCGAGTCAGAATAATATTTGACTTTTTGTCCCTACTAATACTCTCATGGAATTGTGATGGTGAATGTTAAAGGTGGGACCTGGTGGGAGGTGATTTAATCATGGAGAAGAGTGGGTGTTGGAGGTAGGAATGTGGGGAGAATGGGGGAGATTATTTTGTGGGTGGAGGTGAAAGATGAGGGTGGGGGTTGGATTCTTTGTAAATGGTTAAACACTGTCTCCTTAATGCTGTCTGCATGATAGTGAGTTCTCTTGATGATTACAGAGCTGTGAGATTGAATGAATACTGTACTGCTGGGGTTTGGACTTGCATTTGTGTTATTTTTCTGGGGAATTTCTCCCCTTTGGATTGAGAAAACTTACCCAATGGCTATTGTACCTTGAAGGAAAAGAAATCCCTTTTAAACTCAGGGACTCATTGGCAGAAGGGATTGTAACCTTGTCTCTGATAAGACTTTGAAATTTTTACATTTGGAATGAGTTAAGACTTTTGGAAACTTTTGAAAAGGCATGATTGTGTTTTGCTCTGTGAGAAGGACATGAGGTTCTGGGGTATCAGGGTCAGAATAATATGGGTTGGCTGTGTGTCCCTATAAAACTCACGTGTCATCCTTAATGTTGGAGGTGTGCCAGGTGGGAGGTGATTTAATCTTGGATAGGAGGGGTTTGGGGTGGAAGGAAAAGGAGGGTAGTGTGGGGAGGAGTAGGTTGTCAGTAGGGTGGTGGGAGGGTGGGAGTAACCTGCTGCAGAGGCAGAGGCTCATAGGAAACCTCTACTAGGACAGTGCACCTGTGGCTTTGCAGGGCGTAGCCCCCATGGCTGCTCTCATGGGCTGGGTTGGTGTCGAGTGCCTGTAGATTTTCCATACTGAGGGTGTGAGCTGTTGGTGGGCTTATGAACCTGGAGTCTGGAGGATGGTGGCCTCCTGTGTGGGGGCTCAAAGCCTATATTTTCCTTCTGCACTGCCATAGTGGAAGTTTCCTAAGAGGTTCTGCTTCTGCAGGAGGCTGCTGCCTGGAAACAGTGGGTGGTGGTGTGAGTGGAGAATCCTTCACCATTGGTTAGTCTTCTTGATGCTGATGTCCTGTTAGTGAGTTCTTATGTGATCTGGTTGTCTAACAGGATGTCACACCTCTTTCCTCTCTCTGTCTTGCTCCTACTCCTGCCATATGAAACATCTGATTGCCGCTTGGCCTTCTGATATGGTTAGGAGGGGCCTGATCAGTGTTGGCCTGCTCAGTGGACCTAGTCAGTTGGGACTTGGTCAGTGAGGCCTATTTAGTGGGGGGTGGTCAGCAGGTGTCTGCTTAGAGAGGGTCTCATTAGAGGGATCTAGTAGTGCAGGTCTTGGTGAGTGTGTTCCTAGTGGCAGACAAATGTTTGGTGTCTGGTCAATGCAAACCTGGGCTGTGGGACTTGGTCAGTGGAGACCTTGTCAGCTGGGGCTTAGCGGTGACCTTGTCAGATTGGGCTGGGTTACTGGTGACTATGTCAAGGGGTGCTATTCAGTGGAGGCCTGGCCACATGGGACCCAGTCAGCAGAGATGCTTGTCAGTGGGGCCCTGGTCAGGGCAGGCTGCTCAGTGGAACCTAATCAGTGGGGGCCTGGTCAGAAAGGACTTGATCAGTGGTGGCTTTTGTAGCACTGGTCTACGGGGTGACCTGGTCAGCGGGGATCTGAGCAGTGCGTGCCTGTTCAGTGGGGCATACTCATTAGAGTCCCGGTCAGGGGCATCTGGTCACCTCAGGCGTGGTTAGTAGGGGACTGGTCACTGGCAGCCTATTCCCTGGAGGCCTGGTCAGTGGGGCTTCATCTGTGGGACCAGGCAATGGGGTCATTATCGGTGGAATGTGATCAGTGAGGCCTTGTCAGTAAGGACCTGGTCAGTGAGGCCTTACCAGTGAGGCCTTGTCAGTAAGGTCCTTATCAGTGGAGTCCTGGTCATTGTGGGCCTGTCAGTGGGAATCTAGTTAGTGAGGCCTGGTGACAGGGGTCTAATCAGTGAAGGTGTGGTCAGGGAGGATCTGATATGCTGGATCTGGTCAGCAGGGACCTGTTCAGTTGGGGCTGCTGAGCACTGCAGGGAGATGTCAGGAGAAATGCATGTTGAAGGCCCTGTGGACAGCTGGGATGGCCCAGTGGTGTTCAATGGCCCAGTCAAAAGTGGACAAAGCAGGTGTTTGGATGGACCTGGGAGATCTTGCTCAGAGATTCTGACAGGACAAAGGTAAAGGAAGGGCCAGAGTGGTCGGAGAGATGGTCACAGTCTATGGGCTGCACAGGATGGAGGAGGCCAGGGAACAGGCAGGGTGGGCAGCTGGGTTTCAGGGAGAGGCATGTGCATGTTGGGAGGTCAGACTCTGTGAGGGCTGTGGGGGCATCAGGTGGACTGGGCTCCAGGAACACCCTCAGTGCACTGGGCAGGTCTTGGCCCAGGGTCCCTGGACCCTGGCTGGGTGATGTGGTCATTTGCTGGGGGACTATTGTCAGGCACTGGCCACCCAACCTGGGTAGCACTGTCCATCTCAGGACTGCACTTCCTCAGATCCTGCAGAGGGCACAGCCTCCAGCCCAGGAGGGGCAGCCCCATGGTGCAGCCTGAGCTCTCCATGGGTCTGGAGCATCCCCTGCCAGCCCTGCACTCCCTTTTCTCCCAGGTCCCGCTTTTCCAGGGACAGCCAGTGGGGAGGCCCCATCCTCCCTTCCCTATGTGTCTCCTGGGCTGAAACTTGCAGTGCACCGGGACAGGGATAAGGCTTCCCTAAGGCCTATTTAGGGAAGGGACTGGCTTCCAGCCTGGCACAGGTCCTCAGCTCTGCCACGGTTGCCTTAGACTGAGATGGATCAGTCAGTGCCCTGAAGGTAAAGGTAGCAGACTGTCCCTGCTGTTGGGAGGCTGGTCTAGGGATGGAGGACTTAAGAGGTCTTCCCAGTCTGTCAGGCCTGGGCAGTGCTGTCCTGTCTGAGGACTCAGAAAATCCAGTCCTGGGATGGGACAGTGCTGCCCAGGGTGGGTGGCCAGGGTCTGACAGTAGTCCCCCAGGGAGTGACCACATCACCCAGCCGGGGTCCAGGAAGCCTGGCCTGAGACCTGCCCATTACACTGAGGGTGCACCTGGAACCCACTCCACCTGATGCCCCCACAGCCCTCACAGGGCCTGACCTCCCAGCATGCACCTGCCTCTCCCTGCAACCAAGCTGTCCACGTTGCCTGTTCCCTCACTTCCTCCATCCTGTCCAGCAGGATGGGATGGGCAGGAGGACAGCCTGTGTGCACATTTCATGGCAGGTAGGAGTGACACACCATCCCTGGGAGGCGACTTGGTTCCTCCCAAACCCGGCCCCAGAACTCTGTCCCTGGGGTGGTTTTACCAAACCCGAAACCCAGAAATGTGGTTGTGGCTCAGGGGTCAGCACCCACTAGTGCCCGGACACTACTGGGAGGCTGGGACCTGACCAAAGCCCGTGGTGTCTGTGGCCTGAGGACAGGGTGTCTTGGGGCCATAAGGACAGGCCACAAGTTGCCATTGGGTCATAGGGGCTCAGCCCCAGTGTTTGTCCTTCCCTGGCTCCTTCCCATCAGTGCCTTGGAGCCCAAGACCAAGCATCCAAGGTTCCCTCCAGGAATCCTGGTGGCTCAGCTTACTTTGTCATGTTTCATCTGAGAGCAAAAATGTCAGATCGGATGCACAGAAAAATGGCTCAACATGCTTAATGACTAGAAGAAATCTAGGAGCAGCAAGAAGGTAATGTGGAGAGGGGAGGACCTCCATGGGACCTCCATGACCGGTGTCTGCAGAGCCAGGGGTACAGGCACCCAGTGCTGTGGTCTGGCACCACCTCTCAGAGGGTGGGTAGCACACTGTCCTTACCTCGGGGACAGCAGGTCTGGTCACCAGCTTTTGTACCTGTCTCTGCAAGCATTGCATTGCTGGAAGAGAATCTCATGCCAGAGCTTGGACCATGCCTTGCTCAGGGGTTAGGGGTTGTCTCTTGGTGACCTAATGAAAAAATAGCTCCAGATCATAGTTCCCACAGAGCCCAAGGCTGGAAACCTCCAGAATCCTCCGGCCCCCGATCCTCCCCAGGGACCCCTGTGGCCTATCTCACCAGAGCATTCTTCCATCTGTAGATTTCTTGGCTGCTCCACAAGGGAGTCCCACTTCAGGTGTGGTGCTGGGCATGATCACTCCTGCTGGATGTTTAGAAGGTGGAAACCAAGGACCTAGGGAAATACCAGTTACAGCCTTTCCACCCTCATCCAGAGCAGGACAAAGAGGCCAGGCGGTGTCAGGAGCCCAGGTCTCCAGCTGGAGGGAACATCAACCCTGCAGTGGGAGCAGGGGCCCATTGCACATCCTAGGCAGAGATGGTAACGTAGGCACCACAGGTAGGCAGGGATTGGTACCCCTCCCTGGCGTCAGAAAGAAGCCAAACAAGGAGCTTTCTGCAGAATGAAACCTCCTTTCCTTTCAGAAGCACTGCTGACAGTTTGGTGGTTGCCATTGGGACAGTGAGCCTTTTGTTCTTTCTGAGGTTGGGCTGGTTTCTCCTCTTGGCCCTGCCCTACAGACCGTAAAGGAAATCAGCAAGAAGTCCCCAGCAAACATCCACAGATGGCCCTGGACATCAGCCACATTCTGAGAAACATGTCACGTTCTGGGAGGGCTAAGGCATCAAGTAAGGCCTATGGGGCTGGAGAATCCGAGGGCAGGTGGGGCAACCCAGAGCCATGGGGGCTACCCATGGGAATTGGGAGGTCCCAAGGCAGATGCAGGGGTTCCACAGGAGAAGTCCCAGAGCCACCAAGTGCTCTCCTGTCCCAGGGAGCAGTCAACACCATGGACTGAACACTTACTGGGCTTCAAGCTCTGGGCCAGGCTGGGGCATGTGGGGCCATGAGGGAGCTCAGAGTGGGAGACAGAGAGACAAGTGTGCTCAGAGGGCACCCATTTCTGGGTGTAATGTGGTCCTGAGATTTTGGCTGAGAAGGGTTTCCAGGGTTTCATATGTGTTATGGAGCTGCTTCCTCTCCCCAGCCTCACCTTGCAGGAATCCCAGTGAATATATTGCCACCCTATTTGAGCTCAGTGCCCTCATAGTGTAATGGCACCAGCAGATCTGCCTGTGCATGGACTTCCTGTACTACCCATTCCTGAGGGGTGATGCTTCTGCAGGGCCTATGACCTGGTGCACAACTTTAGACACCATCATCCTGGAGCAGCACTGCACCCTCACTAGCCAGGGTGTTCATGACTTCCTCAAGGCCAAGGCCACGTTCAAGACTTGGGACTTCAGTGATGCACTTGTGCTGGGCAAGGTGGCTTCTCCGGTATCTTAATTTGCCATGGAAGGTGCTGGATAAAGGAGGGACAGTCAGATATGTCTTAGAGATGACTGTAGAAGGCTGCCTGGAAGGAGTGAACAAGAGCCAGGAGACCCAGGAGGGAGCTTGTGGGGCAGGTCTGGAGATGGCAAGGGAGGGATCCTGCTTGGATGAAAAGTCTTCAGGGACTGTCTCAGGTTACACTCAGGTGCCCTCAGAGCTAATGTGTTCAGAGGTCTTGTCTCCAGGATGAAAATGGGAAGGAGTTGTCAGAAGAGGACATATAAATGGAGGCTGGCATCTTCATGAGTACCAGCGGTGGTCCCGGTGTGGGTCTCTCCATCCAGGGACATGGTGGATGGACACTACATCACTCCATTCTGCCCTTCCTTTCCCTCCTCCCATTCTCCCAAGGGCCTCAGTGCATGGGCGGTGTCCAACCTCTGGTGCTGAATCAGCCAAGAGATCCAAGCCTGCTTGGCTGCCTCTTAGGATATGAAAGCACAGCCACTGGGCTCTACTGAATCCTATGCAACCTCAGAAGACACCCAGGAGTGATGCCATCACGTGGTGCAAGAGTTCTGAGGGACCGCAATCCTGAAGACATTGAATGGTGGGTGCAGGGCCTCATGGCCTGTTCCACAGCTCCTCTCATTGGCTCTGCTCCAGGTGGTGAAGGGGGATAACATTTCTGTCAATTCTGCCATGATTGCCTAGCAGGAAAAGGAGCAGAGCCCAGAAGCAGGGCCTGGTATGCAGCCTGCCTAACAAGGGAGAATTTATAGGCTCTGTGGACGGAAAGATCTGGGAGTCCATATCTATCACGCACTAGCTTGCTGAGACATTAGTAAAGTCAGTTTTCTGAACTACATTTCTGTCATCTGTAAATTGAGAGGAATTTCTTCTACCCCACGAGGCTTCTTGGATAGTTAGTGACAGTGTGTGTAGAGCAGGTGCCATCCAGCCGGCATTTGGTGTCCAGACCACTCCTCTTCCCCCTTGATTTTCTGCCTAAATTTGCATTTTGTTCTTAAGATTTTCACTCCCCTTAATTCTGCTCTTCCCTCTGATTTCTGCCTTACTGTATATCCCATGGAGTCACCAGGATCAAAGTGGGTAACCGTCATGTATGCATGTATGTGTGTGTACATATACACATTGCTGGGGTTGGAGTGTGGTGTGTGGGTAAGTGTGAGTTGGAATCACTGACTAAAACTCTCCACACCAGGCTGTGTTCCTGCTCATTGCTGGAGGCACTGTCAGGGGCCCTGTCCTCAACCCCGGGTCTGACACTTGCAGATCAGGCAGGACATTCTGGAGGAATCATGCCCTTGGAAGGATCCCTGAGGAGTGACTGGTGGGTATTGGTGGATAAATACCCCAGCTCCCTTGCTTTGGGTGGGATGACTCTGAGGCACATGTTCTGTGCTGTCTCTGCAGATGTGCCTGGCAGGGCTGAGTCCTGGCTGCCACAGAGGAAACTTTCTTGATGAAGGTCCCTTTAACTGCTGCATTCCTTTCCTGTCTCAGTTCCCCACTCCTCTACTGGTGTTTCCTGGGATTCGCACCCTAAGGAAGAACTGGCAGTCGAATTACTATCCTAGAGTTATCTCCAAATAGAATTTTTGTATTTGAATATGTGCCTCAGGATCTACTTCCAGGAAATTTATACTAAGGCACACATTTTTCTGTCAGCTCCTTCAATCCCCATAGGCCTGCCATTGTGCTGTTTTTATCGAAAGGGAATATGAGGATCAGAGAGGGGAAGTCACTTGCCCAAAGTCACCCAGCTGAACAGTGGTGGAGTTCAACTTTGACCATGGGAAGTCTGGCCCCAAGGTGGATGCTTGTTTGTATCCCATGAGACTCCTCCCTTACCAGGGTCAAATGAATGAATGGAGGATGTTAAAAGTAGAGTCTCTGATGCCTCTGCCAGTGAAACCCCAGGCTCATGGCTGGCACCTATGTTCTCACTCTTACCTCATTAGGAGTATAATGAAAAACATGCTCAGTGCTGACCGCGTGCCTGGGGGTGTTGTAGGCACTCTGCTTACTTTAATTCATTTAATTTTTACAATAACCTTGTTTTTACTTCTAGTTGTTAGATTAAAAAACAGTGGCAAAGAGCAATACAGAGAGTTGCCAAAATTCACACCGCTGGTCCAGGTTTGAAGCAAGCAATCTGTACCTGCAGTCCTTGTCTGTAACCATGGCACCCTGGCTTCTCACACATCTCATCGTGGAGTTCCACCATGTGTCAGGCATGGCACTGAGCACCTTCTTTTAAGAATATAATTTGTAATTATGTAGATTCTTAATTCTACTTCAAAATGCCACACAGCCTTCATGTGATAAAATGAAACAATTGGTGAGTCTAAGCATTGAGAAAAAACGTTCTTTTTTCCACTCCCGACTCCATTCCAACAGTTGGGACAGTGTTTTCTCTGTGCCTGTAGAAACCTCAGCTCCTGTGCTGAGGAGCCTGTTCCCTTTGGGGAATGTGGCAGTCAGGTACTGGCAGGGACCTCGAAGTGGCTGAAGGGTCATTAAGAAAAAGCTGTTTACGTAGGTGTGGGCAGGGCCAAGGGGAACCAGGGGGGATGGCGCAGGGCCCTGGGGTTAGCGTCATCTGGGAGCTGTCACCACCCTCCAGGCTGGTGGGGCCATGGAGAAGCTGTTTCAGTAACTCAGAGAATCTGCAGCTGAAAGAGGAGGCCAGAGGAGACATCACTCACTGTGCCCTTTGGCTGCATCTGGATGCCCTCACTGACCACACTACCATCCCCTTATTAGACTGGAGAGGCTGCAGGGAGGGGTTCTAAGCCTCCTATAGTGGCTCACCTCCAACAGTGAGTCAGCACCAGCCCCCCTAGTCCCACAGCACAGGGTCCACTTAGCCCCTGTATCCTGCGTGGTCCCCTTTCCTGCTGGGAAGCAGATATCCAAATGAACAGCAGAATCCTGTCTCTCCCTTCAGGCCCCTCTGCTCCTTATAAGTGGTGTTTTCCCTTGGTTTTGGATGAGAAACACCCTTTCCTCTTCCACAGGGATTGTTTCTGTGGACCCCACCCTGAGTTTTCCCCTGGTTAGGCAATGGGCAGGTGGGGATGGTGGGACCAACTCTTTAGAACCAGCAATGACAAACAGATCCCACTTGGGGGAAGTTGATGTTAAGTGTCATGGGTCCTCTGGAATTTTCTGAAGCTTTCCTGTTTTTTTTTTTTCTCCCCCTAACCAGCTCAACTGATCTCCTGGGATCTCTACTAAGATGTTGGCAGCCCGGTCAGCTGGTCTGGCCCTGGACGTGCCTTCAGGGTCTGGTTATGCTTCATGACCTGCATTGTGGTCAGTGGTAAGCAGCACCTGCTTCTAGCTTTACTGTTGGGTCAGATTTTATCCCCACTCCAGCTCTGCAGTGTGGCTGCTTCTTGATTCATCCATGGACCCTGCACGAAATTGCCCCATGTTACTGTTTGTGCATCACTGAGGAAGGAAGCATGAAGGACGCACAGGTCAGGCCATTCCATTGCCCTCCTGGTGCTGGGTTTGCCCTCCCAATCCTGGGGTTGCTTCAGGGGCTGGTCGTTCTCCATAGCCCCCTCCACATTTCTCAGGTTTCTGCTCAAAAGTCACCTTTCGGAGGGGTCTCCACCTGTCACTGTGTTTTTAAGAGCTCCTTCGGTTTCTTTCTAGCTCATCTCACTCTGGTAATGTCTTTGATTACCACCACCATCTGACCTGGTCTTATGATCTGTTAGCTTCCTTCATCAGATGTGAGCACCAGGATGGCAGGGGCCTCATCTGTCCTGTTCCTCCTGTGGCCTGGGTCCTAGCACCATGTCTGGTACAGTGTAGATGCTCAAGGGAAGTTTACTTTGTAGAACTGTTTATCTGGGAGATATTACTGTTGGTCTAACCTGTACCATATTGTAAACCTCCAGCCATTTTGCAGACTTTGATCACAGTGAAACGTTCCATGGGAACTTGGGCCATGAGAAACATCCTTCCTAACCACGTGACTGCAGAAACATCCTTATCACATCCTCCTGGGCAAAGGCCCAACAGCCTGACTGCAGGGACATCCTTGCCATATCCTGCTGGGCAGCAAGCTCTACCACCCAGATCCCTCCCTCCCAGTCCCATGATTACCCCAGCCTGTGAGTGGCAGTTGGTTCTGGCACTAAGCTGGTTTCCTCCTCCCCAGGGTTTTGCTGGCAATAAAGATGTTGCTGTTGAAGCCACCAACTGTCCCTCTGTCTTTCTTTAACCCTCGCCTTGCCTTCCAAACCTAACAATAACTCTACCTCTCCATTTTACCAATGAGGATGTGGGACTCAAGGAGAGCAAGAGACTTACCCAGTGAGTCACAGAGCCTGAACTTGAACTCAGTTCAGCTGAATCCAGAACTTGTTTCTCCCTGAGAGTCCAGGGAAGGAAAAGTGGAACTGCAGCCTGTAGGTGCCCTCATGCTTGTCCTAGAAGACCCCAGGCGGGCTCCTGGGAATTGCATCTTCATGCACACAAAAGAAGAACTGCTCACTGTCGCATCAGCTAAGGGTCCCCATTGTCCCAAATTGTTACTTCTTTTCAAAGTTTTGTTTTAATAATTACAGTTCTCACAGCTCAGTGTTGAATACAAAGCACAGAGGCATGTAGAAAGTCTTGTGTGGGTTTTTCTCAATTTTTTTCCCAGTGACTATATCAATAAGTTTACCAAAGAACACAAATACGCTCATACTTTTTATATAGAGATGAGGCCCTCCCTCCCATATTTCTCTGCCACTATTCTTCTATTTTTTTTCTTCATGTGAGGACCACTCTTTCAATACTAGCCCATGTGATTGGGGTGAGGCTGGCCACCCTGGGCAATCAGCAGGGTAATTAATTCAGGGACAGGCATGTGATCCAAGCTGGGCTGATGGAAGTCATCCCTGCACTTTTGATGAAACTGCTGGGAATGAGGTGCTTTCTTTTTATTGGCATAGCTATTTGCAAGGAAGTAAATGATATGGAATTTATGGGGCCATTTTTGCTGTTCTCTCAAAATAGCTAGCATGAAAAGCAGAGCTGACACAGGAAATGAAGGGACAGAATGAGTCTTGGTTGATATTATTTGACCCCTGATCTCACTGAGCCAGAAGCCCATCTATTTAAGGATATTTTTAGTAATTAGAGTCAAGTAATTCAATGTTCTCCTGGATCGAGTAGGTTTCAGTCACTTGCAGTTAAGAGAGTCCTGCGTAATAGCAATTTCTCTTATGGTTAGGTCCCACCTTCCAGAGCTTTAGAGCTGTAGAAGGTATAAAGTAAACCCAGGCAGTGCTGAGCTAGCCAGCCTCCTGGATAAGTGTGCAAAGGAACCCTGGAATCACTACCACTTTGGTCTGACAAGTAGCCTTGCCTGCTGCTTACCATACAGCCATAGGGGTACTGTTTCCCTGAGCCCTTAGGCATTATACCACTTTTTAAAAATGATTTTTATCTAAGAAAATGTTTTGTAGAGATGGTGTCTTGCTATGTTGCCCAGGCTTGTCTTGAACTCCTGGCCTAAAGTGCTGAGGTTACAGGCATGAGCCACTGTGCTTAGCCAGCACTATACTTCTATTAGTTGTCAACGTTTTCTTTGTTCTGTAGTTTCTAGTGTGTGCTTGAGCATGTGTGTGTGTGTGAGTGTGTGTGTGTGAGTGTGTATGAGTTTTTAGTTTGATCTTGCAGGGTTATTTCAAGCATCAAGTGGGATCCTTTAGGCACAGCACTCAGCCCAGTGACTGGCACATATGGTAAGCTCTCTCTGTTCTCCTCTTTTCTCCTCCTGATTCAGAGAATGACTTAAGGATCTGTGATGTGTGCCAATTTTCAATGCCCTGGATAAATAATGGGGAGATGAAATACTGTTGCCAGAAATTTGCACTAGTTTTAATTCATTTTATCTGTTTAGCAATGAGATATCTCAAAGTAACTGAATAAATTTATGTCATATATATATATATATATATATACATACACATAAGTATGTTTCTTGAGAGCTGACAGGCTTAGTTTTTGTTCCCTGATGCTGCGGTAGAGGCCACTGTGTTCTGATTTCTTGAGTGATGGCTGCCAGCTCTCCAAGTGTCACAGTTGGTGAGGCATCCATGGAGGTGAGCATCAAGGATGTGTGGCCAGTCAGCATCTGCAAGCCCATTTTGTCTATTCTCCTTATTTTTATAATATGTTTTATTCATTTTTAGGTTTACCGTTTAATTTATTGTAAGTATGTCTCCTAAAATTGTTTCTTAGTTCTACTAGGGGTTAGTTTTATGAAACAATTCCAGAAATAGTCCAGGGCAGCCATGGATACCCAACATGTCATTGGGCAGTGAGAAATCTTGTATATTGAAGACTGTGTTGTTGGGACCATCATTCCAATGGTCTTCAAGGTGCTAACTGGACTCAGGGCATTTCATCCTATTTCCAGAGATCAGCAAGCAGAGAGAGCAAAGGGAACATGATTAAGGGAAAAGAGGAGCAATAACTCTTCCCTTTCCAAACAGATTTTCAGAAATCCAAACCAGTGAATTCTGCGTTTCACATTGGCCAAGACTATAAGCTCTGCTCACTGCAGTTATGAGAAAAACTGGGAAACTCATTTAAAGACATTAATCAGGGCCAGGCATGGTGGCTCATGCCTGTAATTCTGGCAATTTGGGAGGCCAAGGTGGGAGAATCACCTGAGCACAGGAACTTGAAACCAGTCCAGGCAGCATAATGAAACCCAGTATCCACAAAAACAAAACAAAACAAAATCTGGGTGTGGTGGTGCACACCTGTTATGCCTGCAGTGCTACCTACTCAGGAGTCTGAGCTGGGAGGTCACAGGAACCCAGGAGGCTGTAGTGAGCTATGTTCATGCCACTGCACTCCAGCCTGGGAGACAGAGTTAGACCATTTTTCAAAAACAAATTATAAATTAAATAATAAAATAAGGATAAATAAATAAAGACATGTAAACTGTGCTCCTTGTAAATGATAAATCTATGCTCCCTTAGTGAAGAAGATGAGAATAATGGATATAGCAGGGAAATGGACAGAATTGGCCACATTAGACCACAATGAAAGTCATAATAGGCACCCCAAATCGGTACCATTAAAGCCACATAATGTGACCATAATGCAGGCAAATTGTGACCAATTAAAACAAACTGACAAAAAAAAAAAGGGTATCCTGGAGCATACGAATTCTAAATCTAAATTGAATGGAACTCAAAGAAGGCTTCACATTGAAAATAAAACCATGGGTATGTAAGTGAATTGTAACAAAGCTACTACATAGCAACATTAAGGTGGCAGAGCAGAAAGGGGGCTAAGACAGCTATCTGTCATTTTATACCATTTTTTTTAAGAAAAGAAAAACTATAAAATTATGAATTTGGGTTCTAATTGAGAGATAAGACAATGATAACTGCAACAACTGTTAACATTTACAGTGCTTCAGTCCTGCTATGTGCTCATTCATGCCCAATAAGTGAAGAGCTGGAACTGAAAGCTTTCTTATATTTATTCCCATTGTAGTCTCCCTCCAGAGTGCGGAATCATGTGTAACAAGAGGGGTAAGTGTTTAAAGAGGTCTTTTCTACATTTTTTACTTCCATAAGCAGTCTCTGCAGTGTGAGTTCTTGTATGAACTACAAGTCTGAGGCAACACTGAGGCTTTTTTCATGTTCCTTGCTTTCATAGCTTCTCACCAGTGTGAGAACAAATAGCTACTCAAGATGAATGAAGATGAATGAAAGGCTTTCCATAGAGTTTACCTTCACAGGGTTTCTTTTCACACTACTGTAAGATATGAGAGTCCAGGAAAGATGTTCTCATGCATGTTAACTCATTGAGCTCCCTTCCAGTGTGTCCTCCTCAGTATGGTGAAAAATTAATGATGATTTTCCACCTTTCACTCACAGGGCTTCTCACTATTGTATCTCTTAAGGTGGCTTTTAATTCTAATGACTTTGCAAAGTCTTTTCCACATTTGTCACATTTATAGGGTTTCTTTCCAGCATGACTCCTTATATATGCATGTTTTGAGGCTTGCTGAAGGTTTTCCCACATTCCTTACATTCATAGGGCTTGTCCAGAATGTTCATTCTTAAATGTTTATTAAGGTGTAGGGAATATCTAAAGCCTTTGCCACTTTTGTCATATTCATAAGATTTCTTTCTAGTGTGAATTTTCATATGTCTCACAAGAAATCACTGGTAGGTAAAGGCTTTCCCATATTTGGGACATGTATGGCTTTTCTCTCCAGTAGTACTTCTGCTGTGTGAACCAGAATTTGGAGCAGGGGCAGAGGTTTTTCCACTTTGATGATTCTTATTCTTTGTCTCTACAGTACAGGACTGCATCTGCACAGCATGGACTGAGTTATTTCTGAAGAAATCTTCATATTGAATAAAGTTATACATTTTCTCCCTAACATGAGTTATGTGGGCCCTAAGGCATACATCTTCACTGCAGGTTATTCCAAATGGACGCCACTCATGCATGTTTGCAGTTGTATTAATTTTACTATGTATATGATGGACATTGTTCTGACTGTCTATCCATGTGTTTGATTTTAGCTGTTTTTCTCCCATATGAAACCCAGTGAATGTTGTACCTCAAGACTATCATATTCATTGTTTTCATACATATCACTTTATTTCAATAGTTTTTGGGAAACAAGTGGTTTCTGGTTACATGGAAAAGTTATTTGGTGGTGATTTTCTGAGATTTTGGTGTATGCACTACTCGAGTCATGTACACTGTACCCAATGTGTAGTCTTTCATCCCTCATCCCCCTAACCTTCCCTCCGAGTCCCCAGAGTCCCTTATATCATTCTTATGTCTTTACACCCTCATAGCTTAGCTCCCACTTATAAGTGAGAACATACAATATTTGTTTTTTTATTCCTGAGTTACTTCACTTAGAATAATCATCTCTAACTCCATCCAGATTGCTGCAAATGCCATTATTTCATTCCTTTTTAGGGCTGAGCAGTATTCCATGGTGTATCTATAACACATTTTCTTTGTCCACTCATTGGCTGATAGACATTTAACCTGGTTCCACATTTTTGCAACTGCAAATTGTGCTGCTATAAATGTGTGTACAAATGTCTTTTTCATATGACTTATTTTCCTCTAGGTAGATACCCAGGAGTGGGCTAATACAAATTTAAATAGAGATAATTATAAAATAAAGTAATCACCAAGTGAAAATTACTATTTCTAGTAGTAAAACAAAATGCATTTATTGAGTAAAATTTGAACATATTTCTGCTCACATAAAGAATATGTAGCTTCTGTATTTTGTATAAATGATATGCTTCATCTCACTAGACTCATCCTGTGGTTAATTTGTGGGGGAGGGCAGGAGAAAATAACATATCTTTAAATTTAGCTTCTTGATTCACATTTTTCTTCAAGTTTCAATAGCTCTATTTTAGGAAAATGCCTCCAAGAAGATATTCAGATGCTTTGGGCTTTCTGTGGCCTCAAGGCAAAGTGAAAGTGAGTCTCAAGTCTCTTATTGTCTTCATGCTGTTCTCTGGATCTCTGCTTTCTCTGTGGCAGAGGGTCTCTCTGGTCTGATCGCTGAGGCCATTGCATTGCTTTTCTCTGAGATGAAGCTTGTACTCTTGAATCAGAGTACCGTGGAATTCCCTGCCTCCTGTTGGCTTGGATAAGATCTTCAGATCTCTCTGAGTTTCAGCATCCTTCTTCTTCCACAGTGTGTCTGGAATTGTCACATGTGGCCTTTTTGGCTGGCTCATTTTGCCCCTTGGTGCAGTGGCCCCATGTTATGTATGTTAGTTTTCAACTCAGTTAAGTTGCTTCCTATTTACCTCTATGACACTTCCACATTGCATAGATTCATAGGTCTAGCAAGAGGTTTCTTTATATAAACCAAGCTGCCAGAAACAGAAGAATGCTCACACAGTAGGTCAGATAAACCAAATTTATTACTCACAGAGGAGCCGGAAGAATCAGCAAAAGCCTAAGTTCTATGGCAAGCCTGACCCTTGAGGTCAGAAAAGTTGCCCAGGGTTGACAGAGTCTCCTCTGCACATGCTCCACTGTGTACTGCAGCTGAGGAACCCCTGAGTGCTCTGCCCTAGGTTTCACACCCCATGTGCTACTTGGCTCTTTGAGTTTAAGAGTTGCCGAAATATCCTGTTCTAGGAACAACAAGGGCAGAGCCCAGACAATCCCAGACAGTTTCTCTCTATCTCAGGATATTGTCTTCTCGGAACATTCTAAAATTATTCTGAGAACCAGGAGGTACATAAAGCTGAGTTGGTCAAGGCCATTCAGGTCTTGTCCTCCTGATCACATAAACAAAGTAGGCTATAAAACAATAAGCATTAGCAGAAATAATCATATTGCATTATCACAGCCATTCTTTATTATGATAAAAAGAATTTATCCACCAAAAAGTTTTCTGAATTCTAAATCTGAATGAACCCAATAAAACAGAGATTTGGGCCTGTTGTTACAATTTAATAAAGGATTTACTAAACCAAAAAATTTACTTAAATACATAAACTCTGGAAGGAGTATAAAAATCATAAAGATTCATTTCAATAAAGGCTGGTATGCAAGGTTATCAGACATGTGACAGAGTAGTAGAAAATGTTGACAATGCTTAGGGCACAGTGAATATCATTGATTTTCAAATGAACAAAGAAGATAGTCAACTCAATAGAAAGATGGGCCAAAAAATTCCAATACATTATTAACAATATGACAGATGCAAATGTGCACAATAAAATGAGATCTGTATTTTCACCACTCGCTTAGAAAATTAAGAATCCTAGATAACATTGTGTGATGAGGATATGAGGATAACAACCTTTATGGGCAATGGATGGGAAATTCAATGGTTTTAAACATTTCAGAAAATAACATGACAGGATCCATTTGAAAGTATGCATACTCTACAACCTGTCTCAATGACGGTCACATATACCTGATATAGTTTGTATGTGTGTCCCCTCCAAATCTCATGCTGAAATGTGATCCCCCATGTTGGAGGTGGGGCCCAGTGAGAGGTATTGGATCATGGGGTGGATCCCTTATGAATAGTTTAGCACAGGAATGTCCAACTTTTGGCTTCCCTGGACCACAATGGAAGAATAATTTTCTTGGGCCACACATAAAATACACTAAAAATAGCTGCTGAGCTAAACACACACACACACACACACACACACACACACACACACACACACGAAGTCTCTTATGTTTTAACAAAGTTGACAAATTTGTTTTGGGCCACATTCAAAGCTGTTTGACCTGCATTCAGCCTGCAAGCTGCAGGTTAGACAAGCTTGGTTTAGAACCATCCCCTTGTGAGTGAGTTCTTCTCAGTGAGTTCATGAGAGATCTGATTGTTAAAAACAGCCTGGGACTGCCCCCTTCTCTCTCTTACTCCCTCTCTGACCATGTGACACACTGGCTCCCCTTCACCTTCTGCCATGATTGTAAGCTTCTTGAGGCCTCACCCAGAGCAGATGCCATTGCTTCCTGTGCAGCCTGCAGAACCCTGAACCAAGATAAACCTCTCTTTTTAAAAAATAAATAAATAAATTACCCAGCATCGCGTGTGTCTTCATAGCAATAGTAACAGACTAACATAGACCCTGACAAATTGTGACACATGACCAAAAAGTCTTTTCATAAGAATACCACAAGGAAGTGAATATTTCAGTAGCAGGATATCAGTGTGAATTCTACTGCAAGACTGGATAGGGAAAATGTGGTTGATTCATTTTGTCCAAAACTATGCAGCAGCTACAGGGGAATAAACAACCAAAAATAGCCTACAGCAGTGTGGAAATACATGAAGGATGTGATGCTCTGTGAAAAAAATAGAAATAAAATTAGCTTTATAGCACGATACTCTTTAAGAAAAATGTATACACTTGTGTATATACACATACACACACTCAGAAAACAACCTTCTTATCTTGTAAGAATTCTTTAAGAGTAAAGAACTTATATCAAACACATTTGCATGCCTGTCTGTGACAAGGGATAAAGAATAAAAAAATTGAATAAGTAAAACCAGAAAGAAACTTTTAGGAAACAATAATAATAATGTCTCATGAAGTAAAGAATATGATTAATTTTTTGCAACTGTGGTATAAAAACAGAAATTGTCAAAATCACATGTAATGAGGTTTAGCATAGAGCTTATTGTAGGGCAAAAATCAAATTTTAAAGACTTAGTTTGCATAGTTGGATGGAGGAATGGTCTCCTATGTGAAGTAGTAAGATACACGAAACAATCCCATGGGTGTATGGGAAGGAAATACTCAAAATGCTACTTATATTTATCTTTTACTCATTTTCCCTACAGTTTAGTATCTAAATGCTAGAGGAGGCCAGATGTGGTGACTCACACCTGTAATAGCAGTGCTTGAGGGTGGGGGGCAAGGCAGGAAGAACACTTGAGGCCAAGAGTTCTAGGCCAGCCTGGGCAACATAGTGGGTTTTTGTGTCCACACACAAAAAATAAAAATTAGCCAGGCATGATGCTGTGCACCTGTAGTTCTATCTACTGGAGAGGCTGAGGCAGGAGGATCACCTGAGGGAGGAGTTTGAGGCTGCAGTGAGCCATGATCACTGTACTGCACCATAGCCTGGGTGACAGAATGAGACCCTGTCTCTTAAGTGAAAATAAGTAAGAGTTGGAGACCACATGATCTTTCTAGTTTTCAGCCCCTATTGCAGTTTCCTGTAGATTATTTTGCTTATTCCCAATGTTCCAGGTGTCTCTGCACATTGTAGCCTTGTCCTTCTACCTAATCAAGGCCCCAGATCCAGCAAATGTCCTCAGAGATGGGCTCCGCTGGTAATCTGTGATCACCTAGGAAAGGCTTATTTTTCTCTGAAATTTAGTTCATTGTAACTTTAGGCCCATAGTGTTTTGATGGCTTTAAACAAAAAAAAAAATTTTTAAGTTCATCCAATGTCTTCTCATTATGGCAGGAGAAATTGCCCCTGGTAACTATTTTAATTGGAAGAAGAATTTCTAATGTAGGCATTGTAATGAGGTTTTTGGTCTTTGGCCTTACTGGAGCAGTTAAATTCAAGTCTATTTCCTATATTATGCATGTATTGAAGGATCAAATGAGAAAATATATGTAGAGCGTATAAAGTGTCTAATGTACACTACTGATATACAGTTGTATTATGACTACACACTGAAAACACATAATCAACCAGATTGCTTCCTGAGACCTAGAGCCAGGCCTTTCCAATGATACTTAACGGTCAAATAATTCTATTCAATTTTTCATGGGACTTGGGGTTTGGTCCATGAAGTGTTGCCATGGTATGCAAATCAATTATGTCAATAAGCCTGCTAGTTTATTCAGCAAATATATTCTTGTAGCAATAGTTACTCAATGAAAGAACTAATATATTTAATTTCTAGTAGAAGCTACTTCGTCATTGTGAACTGGTTACAAACCTTGAATGCTCTAGCTATTTTGAGGAGCATTAATAGGCATTACCCAAAGAAGATGATATATTCCTTAGACAGCAAGAACTCTTATTCTTGTTTATCTTCCTTTTGATGAACTCTACAGTCTCTTGGTAGTAAATCCAGATTCTGTCGGATGTACAAAACAATCCCCCATAAATTTAAATTTATGCCTATGATCATGTGTAATGAAATTAGCCCTCAAGAGCCAACTTGAGACCATGTTCAGAACAGAAGCTTCAGAAACCTATGGCACATGAATATAAGACCATTTTAGACACAGTCCCCAAATTACCTCTGAATTCAGTAGGAAAAAAGTGACAAGGAACAATATTTAGGGCATCTAGGATAGTGCTACATTCTCATGCCTAACATAAGCAAATTAAAACCTCATACTAATGCTCTGAAGCCTAATAATAACTAGTAAGGTTCATGTCTGTCAAAAAGCCACTGCAGGCTACTGTTAAAACCAGCTACACAACGATCTGAAAGCCATTTGCCTCCCTCTAGTTAAAAACAGTCCCATGTCTACTGATGATGTAGTTAAGGCTGTATCAAGATCTATCTCTCAGCAGGGACATATTGCCCAAATGCTAATGTTTGACCAACAAAAGTTTTGCAGCCAGAGCTTGTGCCAGTATTGGTAGATAGAAAATACAAAATCAAACCATTTCTCATGAATGATTAAACAATTAAAAAAATGAATGCAAGAAGCTTGTGTGCATGTGCATGGGTGTATGCATGTGTGTGTATATTCAGCTTTGTTAAATTTATTTAACTTTATTAACTTTGTTTAAAATTTAATTTGAAAATTAGATTGGGGAGCAAAATATCATTCTTTCTCTCTCATCATAAAACTTTTGGCTCATGGGATTATGACATTCTGCCATGCTTGGAAAAGTTGGATTTATGAAACCAGTAGCTGGACTGAGCCTGCCTATGCAGCTCTTACACAAGTGCTTCCTATTTTGTGCACAAGCAGCCTCAAGAGCCCAAAGATAGTGATTGAGAGAGACAGGCTCTGAAGCCTTTTTATTTCAACTTCTTGGAATCACCACCTTGCTAATAAATATCAAAATCTTTGGTGTCATTTATCAGATTAATTACTTTTTCCATAAAAAGAGTGAGTTGAGAAAATAACAAGCAAGAAACTCCCTGTCCCTTCTTCATCCTGAAAACAGGAGAATCAATATCTTAACCCTGTTTTTGAGAGATGAATGGGTAGGTCAATATTGCTTGGCTATTTGTCCTTCCACTTGGGAGAGATTACTGCTGCATTTTCCCCTCAATCTCTAGAATCATGGCTTATAGAAAACAATTATGTACTGAATTACTAATTGCATCAAAACTTTATTAGACTTCTTATCAAAGAGCATGCTCAGATTTATTTATTATTAATAGTAATAAAAATATAAAAATTTAAAAACAATATTATAAGTAACAGAGAAAACTATGCACTGTTATGAAAGCCTTTCATATTTAGGGATATCAGGTAAGGCTTCCCTTGGTGGTGAAGATGAAGAGCAAACTAAAATAAAAGTAAGAGCTAATTATATAAATCTGGGATGGTAGTGGGAAAAGCATTTGAATAAGAAGACCAAAGTCCAGAAGGCAAGAAAAAATATATCTGAATCATTTAGCTCAATAATGTTCCTGCCACAAGATGGGGGAGAGAGAAAAGAAACAAATTTTCTACTGCTTGAACCCATTTTTTGACTCTTGATTGGACTCCTAGTACCAATGTGAAGTCTTTGGGAATTTTTAAGCCAAGCAATTTACAATGTAAATTGTATTTACATTTCAAGTAAGTCATTTTGCATATAGCACAGAAACATTTTTGGAGAGAGAATCAGGGAGAGCACTTTAGAGGTGCTCACTGTAGCCCAGGTGAGAGAGTGATGGGGTGGAATCCATAATGGCAATGAAGACAGAAAGAGAAAAATTCATTCAAGAAATAGAGAGAAGGTAAAATCTGACAACACTTGGCGACTGAAAATGGAAATGTGAAGAAGAAAATGTCAAGAATTACACTGAGATGTCAGGTGTAGGTAGAGGTCGACATCACTTGCTGGAAAGAAAAAACCCAGGAAGAATACCACTTTCAGTGAAAGAGACATCTGGGTTGCTTAAAGTATCATGAAATGGGACTTTTCCAGTTCCAGGCAGGTAAGTTAGGAGGGCTCAACCTTGAGGCACAAAAGATGGTGATGGTGGTAACAGTGGCCTTGAGACCAGGACCTATACCAGACTCCAGAAAGATTAGTGTGATTTGGAGTAGCTACAGACCGGAATATTTCAGTGAAAAACAAAACAAAACATTCATACTTATTCTTGGAATCTTGCTTTATTTGAAGGAGTAAATAGTTGGGCCTTACAGCTGCAAGTTTTGGTAAGCCCTAAAATGAAGAGAAAATTGTATAAAATGGAAGCAATTCACCAATTCTATTCACTAAACATTTAATGATTTTCTTCCAGGTTTAAGTATTATGATAGACATTGTACAGTAATTAATTTATTGACCATCTTCTCTGGTGTTTGTATTAATACACAAAGAGATATAACTTTAAAAGTATAGTATTGCTTTCAGCTTACACCAATCATTACCCATTATCCCAATTCATTAAATCAGATTGTTTCAGTGATAAGTTACATTTTGAAGTTAATGAAATACTTAAAAGGCTGTGATGTTGTAACTGCAGATGTAGTATGCAAAACACGTTTGATTCATGTTGCTCAACACAATTTCATCATAAAATCTTATCTATAAAATAATATTTTTACACATCTATTATTATTCTCTTGCTTTATGTAAACTTTATATCTATCATTTATCTCTATCAAATAAAGTTACATTTCTAGTTTTTTATTCCCAACTATAAATGACAGCATTAATTTTTACAAACATTAATGATGAACTATACTCACTCATAACTATTTATGTCTAAGTTTTCTTAGAGTTATTGAACAATTTCTGAGTAACTAATGGCTAGCCTTTTATTATTCTATGATGATAAATATTTTTCAGTATCCAGGCTTCAGACATATTTTTGAAAACTTATTTCTCTATGGGTCAAAATTTAAATCAGTTGTAATATGTGATCCACTCACAAATATCTTCTCCAGGCTGAGCTATTAAAATGAAATACCAAAGTGGCTCCCCAAGACACCCATTTATAGTCTATACGTGCAGTGCAGGGTTCCTGAACCAAGGCACAGTGTAATCAGGGAAATTTTATTTTTTGTTTTCTTTTTCCTAAGATGTTTCTTATTCCCAGTTATATAAAAATGTATATTACAGGCAAAGAAAAATTAACATGAATGGAAGTAAATATAAAGTATATTCACATTAATATCAGCTTTGCTTTATCTATTAAAGTATATGACAAGCTTGCGGTTTTCAGGACCTTGTAACTCCTGGTTCATTGCAAAGCACAGAAATTCTTCAGAGCCTCAAGAGTTGTGTTTAATGCACTATTTAAATAGTCTCCAACCACTAGGTTAGATAGCTTAGCAGTCAAATAGCCTTTGAAATCTCTGTAGACTCACCTCAATTGAGCAGTCCTGATAATTTACAGAAGTGTGTAGTGCACTAAGAGATCCCTGATGTATGATGTCTTTGCCTGTAGAGTGTTTTCTGTGTTTATCCACTGAAGTGTGTGTGGGGGTGTGTTTCTGTGTGTAGGTGGGTGAGTATGGGGGTGTGTGTGTGTCTGCGTGTAGGTGGGTGAGTATGGGTGTGCACGGGTGTGTGTGTGTGTGTTTATATTGTGGTGTGTGTCTGTTGGGGTGCTGCCATCAGGGATTTGGAAGACTGAGAACCATAAACTTGTAAACACTCCTACATGTCTGCTTCATAAGAAGTGTATTGAACATGGCCAAAAGTAACTAAACCAAGTAAACAAATTAGACATTAATTAAGTTTAATGTTGGGCAGGAAAGAAGTATTAAGACGAGGTTAAATGAAGAAATATAACCAAATGAATGAAAATTTTAAATTGATTAGTAGAATGAGACAGGAATATTTTTTAAAGTTTATAATTTCTAATGAATATCAGTATACAAAACTAAGAATTATATGGCTGTCAATTGACTAAAAACTGTACTTAAGATTTGAGCTAGTGAAACAACCATACATGATCTTCTAATTCCACTTTTCTGTCTCAAGAAGGACTTGTTAAAATGATTTTTTTTGAAATTTTACATTCTCATCTTGAAAGAGCATCACAAAACTTACATGAGAATCTGGATTGTCATAAGAGGTCTGATTTTTTAATGGTATGTTTGTATTTCTATTATGTACATCAATGTCAAGCATTCATTTCCTGAGCTGTTCTCCAGAACACAATTTAACTTGTAATGGACACTCAATAAATGGTCGGTTGGATAATCAAATCAACACCTTAGTTCCATCAATTTTCATTTCATATAAAAATCACTGATCTTCTATACTCATCAAAGAAACAGAGAGATGAAGGAGGGAGAGGAGTTGAGACTGAGAGGATGACAAGCAGACCTCATTCTGCACTTCTGAATGCTTGGAAACACTTGCCTTCCCCAAAAAATTGGTATTTCCTAGGCAGCAAATGGGAGTTAAAGAAAGTCCATATTTCTGTATTACAATAACTTACACTATAATACACAGATGACATACATTTCTAAGCTATTCAATTCATAGAAAATGTAGATAAATTTAGGTGAGCAAGGTGTAGGAGAAGGGTTAGTAATCCAGCTGAGTGTGATTGTGAGATTAAATCTAATATTATCTTATACAATTGTTGTATAATTGTATCAGTTGACATATCTGTTGAAACAAAAGGTGGGAGAGTTTTGCATGAGCTTCTGAAATTTACAGGATGATGTTAGGAGAGAGGTTGGTCAATGTGGCTAGGCCAGATGTATTTACTAATTGAGGCTTAAGAAAGTTAAGTTCCTAACCTCTCCCAGAGACTGGGAGATAGAGGCGCTAAATTGTATAACATTTATATTTAATATATATTTAATAATATATATAAAGTCTTAAAATGCCAATTTTGAGTCTTTTCATTTTCTTCTTAAAAACAGAGGTTTTATTGTGTTTGGTCCACAGTTGGTATTTCACATTATCTCATGGTCCAGGGTCCCTGGGTGGGGGGCCCTGTGCAGTACTTGGCAGGGCGTGTGGTGGGGGGAGATACAGCAGTAGACCTGGTCAGGCCCGGAAGGGGAGAAGGAGGGCTGGAGCTCCTTAAAACCTACTGAGGGGCTGGGCGTGGTGGCTCACACCTGCCATCCCAACACTTTGGGAGGACGAGGCAGGCAGATCACATGAAGGCAAGAGTTCCAGATCAACCTGGCCAACATGGTGAAATCCCGTCTCTACTAAAAATACAAAAAATTAGCCAGGCGTGGTGGCACAGGCCTGTAGTCCTAGCTACTCTGGAGGCTGAGGCAGGAGGATCGCTTGAGCATGGGAGGCTGGTGCAGTGAGGCGAGATTACTCCACTGTGCTTCAGCCTGAGAGACAAAGTGAGACTACATCTCAAAAAAACAAAAACAAAAACAATCAAAAAAACCCTACTGAGGGCCACGGGGGTAAGGGGACTAGTATGGAGAGGGGTCAGGCTTAACACTAACAACGGAGAATTCCACTACCTTGTACGGGCCTGTTTCCTCACCGGGCCCCAGCGTAGGTCTGAGGGTCTGAGTTCTGTTGGTCTGAGGGTCCTAGGGAAATCCAGCCACTCAGGAGCCTGAGATATTTTAGCATCCTGGCCGGGCCCCCTGTCCCAAGGGACTGATTTCCCAGCACCCACTGTCCCCGCCCCATTCCTGGGGGAAAAAAAAATTTTTTTCTTTTGTTAATACTTCTTGAAACTTTTGCGGGTACAGAAACCACAAACTGATCGGTTGACAAAAGGGGGAAGAGGACAGGCAACCGGAAACCTTCGGGGACCGGCTCCCTCCATGCCCAGGTCTCGTCTCCCCAGCACAGCTAGGCCCACAGCCTGGACGCGCCAGCGGGGAACCTCACCCTACACGCATCGGGATACGGCCTTGATCCCTTCCCCCACAGCCTGGTGGCTCAGTCCTGCAAAGGAACGAAAGCAACGGGGAAAAAAAAACCCTGCTGCCTGATCCCACGCTGCTACTCAACAGACGCTCTGTTGACTGGCAGCACTGAACAGGTTAAAAAAAAAAAAAAAGAAGAAAACACAGAAAAACCCAAACACCCAGATGGGGAGACCATGTGGGGAGAGAGCGTGCTGGGAGCCTCAGTAGCTGGTCTCCTCTTGGTAGTAAGGGAGATATTCAGGGGCCTCCGCTGGCCCCGGGCCATCGCCTGCACCCGAGGGAGCCCTGTGGGCCACTGTCCCTTAGCACAGCCTGTAATGGAGTGTGGAAAGGAGAAACCAAAAATTCTCTAGAAAGAAATGGCATCAAAATTGAGGCTTAAAGGTCTATCTTTAAGCTATCTTTGTTGCTATCTTTTTCAAAAGGAAGAGATTGGTAGAAAAGAGAAAAACCTTTTTTTTATTTCTGTTGTCCTTCCACTAGTATTTATTATGGGAAATCTGTGTCTACTGCTTCTTCAGAATTCATTACACCTGGTGAGTCCCACGGGCCAAGGCCCCCATATAATTTCTATGCCTTTGCTTAATTAAGACACTGTGATAGACTGGGCAGACATTTCCTGGCAATTTATGATCAGCTGGAGGAGCTTAAGTCTTAAAGCAAAGCTGTGAAAATATGCAGTTATGTTTATATAAAAAGTAGTGAAATTATAACTTTTCATGTCTTAGCTAAAAGTTGAAAAGGCACATTGTTGTGGTTGACAAGCTGCATTTATACTTTTTGTTCTTTTCCTATTCATTAAAAGCCATTCACAAATAAACAGGAAGAAAGAGACACACACTCTGAGTTTGACACTTGCTCTTTTTTATTAGGTATTTGGAATCCAGGTCAATGTGAAGAACTTCCCTAAGACTCATTGCTGGCTAACACTGGGATTAGTTACTCAAAGAGCTTTGTAGTGTGACCATCATTAAGACTTTTACAGATGTCTTTATTTAATCACATAGGTTTAGCAGAGTTCAGCCAATAGACTGTGGAATGGACAGAATGAGCCCAATGCTTGTCTGACAAAATATGTTGAATTTGTCAGTTCTAAGTGTAACACTTGGATCTTCCACAGCTATCACCATGTAGTACAGTGTTATTCACCTATCCAAGTTCATAGAAGATTCCATTCCAGGCTCTGCACCAAGTATTTTCCATCTATAACAGGGATAAAGTTTTAGATATATTTTCTAAGTTTTCTTACGGTTGGGCTGATTTCTGTCCTTGCACCCTGCTAGGGTCTGACTGTTTCTGCCTTCTCAGAATTTGTATGTTGAAATTTTAACTCCTAAGGTGACGGTATCAGAGGGTGAAGACTTAGGGAGGTGATTAGGTCATGGGGGCAGATCCACATGAATGGGATTAGTGCCCTTATGAGGCACTCAAGGAAAAGCCCTCGCCTCTTCCACCAATGTGAGGACACAGTGAGAAAGCACCATCTATGAACCAGAAAACAGGCCTAAGCAGACATGGAATTTGCTGGTGCCTTCATCTTAGACTTCCCAGACTTGAGAACGGTGAGAAATACGTTTCTGTTTTTTATAAGCTACCCAGTCTATGGTAGTTTGTTGTAGTAGCCAGAATAAACCAAGATACAGCCAATTTCATCATTTGGGCTGAACTTTGAGAGTGAAATCTTAGAGGAATGAGGAGCAAATGATATAGGACAGTTGCATTCAGACAGGAAGGGAAAGTAACAGGAAAGCTTACCCCTTCCCATCCTGTCAGATAATGGAGGCAGAAAAAAAAAGTACAACAAAAAGGTTCCTATTCCCACATAAGAATCACACATCAAATGCAAAAGTCTTTTAGGAACATAGAAGTATGGGGCAATACACTAATATCAGAGCAGTAGATTATTTTCCAAGGCAGAGTCTGCAGGCCCCTAGAACAACTTGTGCCTTCAGCTGGATGCCAGATCCATCATGGCTCCAGAGCAATTCTGTGGGAAGACTGCAGAATGGGTTCAGGTGGTGAGTCCACTATGGAGCCTGGCTCTCCATTGTCTGCACTTGTTATGACAGGGATTTAAGATTTCCCAAATGCTCCAGAAGGGATGTGGAAGTGTTGAGAAAGGAGTGGGCAACTGTCAGAAGCTTGGGGTCAGAGTGGATAGGATAAAGTCGGGGTGGACTTGAATACACACAAATGCCTGAAACCTTGGACTCCAGGAAGCCAAAGCTTCACTCCAAAAGGATAGGCAGAGCTAGACAGAGCTCAGCAATCCTCAGACAAGGAGAGGTGGACCAGCCTGTCCACAGCTGGGCATAGAGGGCATCTAACGATTCCACATGATCTGAATTTTTTTCTCTCCACTATCACAAGGACACAGTAAACCCCTCATACAACTTGGTGTCATTCCAGGGAAGTTCAGGAGTAGGAGACAGAATATGAAAGTCTGAAAAGCATCTAAAACAGGCAGCCTGGGAAGGCTCAGGGTGCTGGGCCCCCGCCTGGGAGCTGAGAGTGGTCCTGCTCTGCACTTCCCAGACACCCCCAGTGGGGTGCACCACCATACCCCGCCTGCCCAGCCCTGCTGCAGGACATGGGCCAGTGAGGCCCCGCAGAGCACTGGGATGGGGGAAGCTCAGGCAGGGGGAGCCAAGCTGGGCCTCAGGGGCCTGGGGACGCACCACCCCCTTGCTTTCCACAACTTGAAAACAAGGACTGATCAGTCACTGATTCACAGTCCAAAAACCAACCCCCAAATCCCAGGGCTTCCAGCAACAAAGAAGGACCTCTCTCACTTCCGGGTCAGCAAGAGCTTCAGGGCTGGGCCCACTCCACATCTCCTCCCTGCAGAAGGACCCTCTGCTCTCCGCCCCCAGAGCAATGCAGTGGGCTGCCTGGGTTTGGAGCAGCTGGGTAGGGCGAGGGCAATGGGTGGGGTAGGGGGGTGCAGCCCAGGGGTTGCAGACAACAGGCGAGGAGCAGACTGAGGGCCTTGCCAGGGCCATCTGTGTCCCTGGTCACTGATGGTGGCAGGGGAGACTGAAAGGGAAACAGACTCCCAGGTGGGGAGGGCCCCGAGCCAGCCCCCACGGCAGCCCCTGCAGGCCTCAGTGCTCCTGGATCCCACCAGGGCCGCAGCAGGAACCGAGGCTGAAGCAAATCAGGGCAGCTGGTGGCACAGCTTGGGCCACACCCAGGCACAATTCCTTCCCAACACAGCCAGGAGGCTATCTTGGGGGCACCAGTGCCTGCACGGGGATGGACTTGGGGCCTCCACAACTGCAGTCCCCACAAACCCTGTGCACGGTCCACCCTGACTGCGTGGGGGCTGGGGCCCCCAGTGGAGGGATGTGGCTTGTTGTCCTGAGGAAAGCGGGGGCAGCTGTCCCAGGGTGGGCCCAGCCCTGTGAATCAGGGAGCAGCTCATGGGAACGGCCCTGGGGGTGCAGGGGAAGTTCACAGAGCCATTTATTGAACCCCACAACCGACCAGAAGGAAGGGCGTCCACCAGGCTCAGGCCATGGTCCTTGAGGGGCCGGTGCTCTCTACTTGGCCCACACATGTGTCCTGAGGAGTTGTGGCATGCCCACTGCCCTGGTCAGAGCTGGCCGCCATCTTCCAGCTGCATCTGCCGGGCCAGCGTCTGCCCGATGGCCACCAGGGTGCTGGCTCTGTAGGCCGGACTGGACAGCAGCTCCTGAAACCGGGTCCTTCCTTCCTCGAGAAGCTGCTGTCTCTGGGCTGCGCTCATCCGGCTGAGCTCTGAGGGCCAGGGCTTGTTGCTCTCCCTGCTGCAGGCTTGGCGCCGGCTGCCAGCCTCGAGCCCCAGCAGCTCGGGCAGGGCATCCCTGAGCGGGTGCAGGTGCCCCACCACCACCGTGGCCCTCCGCCTCCGCTCCTCCCTGTGCTTCTGCTCAGCCAGTTTTATGGCTTCGATTTTCTGCAAGCATTGCTCACGTCTCAGCTTCATTTTCTCCTTCTTGGGCAAAACGGTCTTGGCCTCTGCACCTCTCCTGATGGAAGTGACGCTCCTCACATCCAGCTCCAGCTTCTGCACCAAGGCGCTGGGGTCTATCTTGGTCCTGGCAAAGATGTTGGTGTTGATGAACGGAGGTATAATTCTTATTAGCCCTGTTTTTATAGATGAAGACAATGAAAGAGCTATTGCAAACTTATAACTGAGAAAGAGATCTGACCTAACCAACTCCATCTGCTTTTAACCTCCAAGCTGTCCTTGTTCATTCCTGGGTGTAGGGTGAACTAACTTTGGGAGGAACTTACTTTATAGTGTGAAACAAAGATATTAACACCCCTTTCTCAAAACAAACCTCCTTCTTTCCTGGGGACTAGACTGCCTTTGTAAGACTAACAAATTAGCTACAAAATTAGAAATTGTGGTTTAGGAGTCATGCAGCTGGAGGCTACAAGATTCTAATCCTCCCTAAACTGCTCCTAAGATCAGTGCTTGAGGTATTTTGCAGACCCGGCACTTGATGGATCAGCTGGCGCCCAGTTTATTGAAACACTCAGATCGATAAACTGGCTCATCTGATCTTGTGGCCCCCACCCAGGAACGGACTCAGTGAACGAGGACAACTTCAATTCCCTATGATTTTATCTCTGACCTAACCAATCAGCACTCTGGACTCACTGGCCTTCCTCCATGCACCAAATTATCCTTAAAAACTCTGAAAGCTCTGGGAGATGGATTTGAGAAATAATGAATCTCCAGTCTCCTGTACAGCTGGCTCTGTGTGAATTCACTCTTTCTCTATTGCAATTCCCATCTTGATTAATTGGCTCTGTCTAGGCAGTGGCCAAGGTAAACCCACTGGACATTTACAACACTGAGGCACAGACAGGTTGAGTGACCAACCCAGAGTTTCACAGGACACAGTAGAGTCAGGATTTGAACACAGACATTCTGACTCCAGAGTCTATGCCCTTAACCACAACTGATACTAATTCACTTATGTTTTTTGTCCATGTTTTCATTTATTTTCTTTAATCTACAGTAAAACTTTGATTTTTACACTGGCTGAGGATGAAGTAAGAATGTTGCAAATAGAAAAATGTTAATTGAAAGACACAATTTATCTTATTCTATCACCAAAAATGATCAGGCCTATTTTGACCATGAATCTCGCAAGCTGTGCTCTCTAAACTTTTGGATGAGAGGGTGTGGGCTCAGAGTCTGGGAACGCTCTCTCCCTCACTCCCTCTACTAAGTAGGTTCCATGCTCTATTCAAGTTTGAGAGACTCTGCTTGGTTGGGGCCTGCATTTATGTTACTCCTATTCTTTATACTTGGCACATCACAGACCGTGAAAAAATAATCTGGTGGAAATGGCAACTTTGGATTTTTAATCTCAGTTGTTAAAATTTTTCCAAATGAGAACACTTGGACACAGGGCAGGGAACATCACACCATAGGGCCTGTTGTGGGGTGGGGGGAGGGGGGAGGGAGAGCATTAGGAGAAATACCTAAGGTAAATGACAAGTTAATGGGTGCAGCAAACCAACATGGCACATGTATACCTATGTAACAAACCCGCATGTTGTGCACATGTACCATAGAACTTAAAGTATAATTAAAAAATTAAAAATTTAAAAAAATTTCCAAATATATTTATCTTTTGAATAATCTAAGGCCCTTATCCCCCTAAGGTTTACATGGCATAGTTCATACTGCTTTTACTTTTCAAAGCCGTTAATCTTTTGTAATAACATTTTGTATCCAGTTATGTTCCTTTGCTTAGTTTTCAACTTTGTTATTCTCCAAGCTGATTTTATTAATTAACGCAGAGAGAGTCAGGAGCATCTGAATTAATTAGGTGATAGTGAACTAGGAGGAAATCACAGGCCTCAGTGTGAGATAAATCTGGATTTAAATCCTGGCTCTAACTCAGTCCATGACCTTGAGGAGGTCAGGTGGGTTCACTGGGCTCAGTTTCCAAATCTCTAAAATGGAGATGACAAAATCCACCTCACAGAATTGTTGAAAGGACAATTACATGTTTGAGAACATGTTACTGTAGTGTCTATAACCTATCAAGTGTATAGCAAATGATGATGATGATGATGCTAATTTAAAAAATATCTATTGAAGGTCCCAGAAGTTTTACTTTAACATGTTGATTTTTGTCCCATGGAAAGGCATATGATTTGGTGGAAAATATAACCCCAAATGTTATTATGCATTGCTCTGTAAGATATTAACAAGTTTTATATATAACCCAAATATCTTAACATTTTAAAATTAAATGGTCTATAAATACCTAGCTCCTCAAATATTGTTTGAACTGGTCTTAATATCTAATTGTTTCCCCACCTAATTAATGAGTTGAACAAAATCCTTGCCATATATTCATATTATATTTGCATCAGTGTCCTAATTATATCGTTTGAAATTATACTTTAGCAATAAGAATAAAAGTCATAATCAAAATGTTAGCACTTAACATGAGAATGAGTCTATCAGTCAGAGTTTAGTCAAGAAAAACTGGTTGCTCTAGATAATCCAAATTAAAAAGGTTTAATGCAGATGTCAAGAAGCCTATACAACCATTGGAAGACTAGGGGAAGCTGAGGTCAATGAAGCCACGGTGGACAACCTCAGCTCAGCTCCCAGCTGAACAGTTTCCTGTTCATTGTCCATTGTCCTTGAACTTCTAGATATTTCTCTTCAACCATCACAGTCTGCAGCGATGAAGGGAGTGGCTTTCTGGTGGAGCCTCTTAGAATCTCATGGCTGTCCACATTTCTGCCTTTAACCCCCTTTAGCCTGTCATTCGTTTCAGCCTTCCAAATCTTCAGCAAGGGAAGGGACTTCTTGGTAAACCAACCTGTAACCATATGGGAAGGGCATTCTGCAAATATAGCTCCCAACTTTTCTGAAAGACAGAGGAACCCTTAGAAGGGAGAGTTGGTGATGCCAAATTGGCAATAAATAACCCAGGACTGCAGCTCAGCTCAGCACCTAACTCCATAGGGCACTCACTCACTTCAGGAAGGGTGCATTTACTCAGTAAGACAGATTAAAGGATCACTTGGTTCATATGGACTCAGACAAAAGTGGGCTAAGTGATCTTTAAACAGATTTGACCAAGCTGAGAAATACCAAAGACTTATGATTTTTCAATCAGAAAACACAGCATGGAATAGCAGAAAGAGTACCAGACTGGAAGCCAGAGAACCTGGAATCCAGCTCAGCCTATACTGAACTTGCTAGCTGGGGAAGCCCTCAGGGCGGTCACTTCACCTCTCTGTAATTCAAGTTTTGTCTTCTATGAAACAAGGAAAATAGTATCTGTCATGCCTCAGAGAATCACCACAAGGTTAACATATGTGGAAATATTTTAAAGTGTACAAACACCATATCAACATTAAAGTCCCCATATGAACATGAAGACCTAAGGTTTTCTTGGTTTAGTCTGAAGAAGCTTCCAACACAAGGCTGGATTAGGAAAGATGAAAATGAAATAAAAGTTGGACCGGGACTGGGCGCAGTGGCTCACGCCTGTAATCCCAGCACTTTGGGAGGCCAAGGCGGGCAGATCCTGAGGTTAAGAGATTGAGACAAGCCTGGCCAACATGGTGAAACACCGTCTCTACTAAAAATACAAAAATTAGCTGGGCATGGTGGCAAGTGCCTGTAATCCCAGCTACTCAGGAGACTGAGGTAGGAGAATCACTTGAACCTGGGAGGCGGAGGTTGCAGTGAGCCAAGATCACACCATTCCACTCCAGCCTGGGTGACAAGAGCAAAACTCCATCTCAAAAAAAAAGTTGGACTGGGAGCCTTACAGAGTTCACACATATTTGTAACATTCTTCAGATGTCATGTGCACAAATTGGAGTTATTAGTCCAATATTTATAAAGAAAAATCATATTTTGAATGTAGCCAAATAACTTCCTAATTAAAATGATATGATCCTTAGAAGGTTTTTGGGGAGGAGGTAATGGAGAGAGGATCAGAATTAGGAGGATCAAAGTAGAATGCATATACTTGAAAGTAAATATAAGGCCAGGTGCGGTGGCTCACGCCTGTAATCCCAGCACTTTGGGAGGCCGAGGCAGGCGGATCACCTGAGGTCAGGAGTTCAAGACCAGCCTGACCAACATGGAGAAAACCCGTCTCTACTAAAAATACAAAATTAGCCGGTCATGGTGGCGCATCCCTGTAATCCCAGCTACTCAGGAGGCTGAGGCAGGAGAATTGCTTGAACCCGGGAGGTGGATTGCAGTGAGCTGAAATCGGGCCATTGCACTCCAGCCTGGGCAACAAAAGCGAAACTCCATCTCAAAAGAAAAGAAAAGAAAAGAAAAGAAATATAATATTTGGCCAAAGAAAAATAAAAGCTCTACCTAATCAGTCTGCAGAAATGCCTAGAAAATAAACCATCTTCTAAGTATATCAGCAATTTTAAAGACGATAAAGTATGAGGAAGGGGGGGAGTTGTCTATGAGAAAAAGTATATAATTTTACAACATTTTATGTTTATTAAAAGGGAGCATGGGTTAAAACCACCATGAGAATTAGGTCATCAAACCATGAACAATAGACTAATATTCCCCCAAAATTCCTACGTTGAAATTCTAATTCCCAATATGATGGCATTAGGAGATGGAGCCTTTCATAAGTGATTAGTGATTCATGAATTGGTGAATGAGATTAGTGCTCTTATCAAAGACATGCAAGAGATCCACTGCAAGAGAAATCAATTGCAGGAGAAGACACAGCGAGAAGACAGCCATTGTCTGTGAACCAGGAAATGGTCTCACCAGATATGGATTCTGATAGTGACTTAATCTCAGCTTTCCAAGCCTCTAGTAGTGTAAGAAATAAATTTATGTTGTTTATAACCTACCCAGTTTATGGCATTTTTGTAACAAAAATTTCTGTAACAGCCTAAATGGACTAAGATACCATCTCTAAGTAGAACAGTCATCCTAAAGTAGTTACAACACAACAAAAACAAGGGGAAGACTTAATTGAAAAATTTCATTCATGAGATGTAATAAACCAGGTGAATTTAGTAATGGGAAATGATTCTGCGAGGGACTTTTAGCATTCTCACCCTCCAGAAGCATGTCAGAAAAATCTAGCACATTATTCCCTGGGTGGGACAGATTTGGGAGAATGCATGCTACCTTATCAGCTCTCTGTCCCTCCCTGGGAGACTGATGCTTCCCAATGCACAACTCAATTCAAAGCAGCAATGTACTCTGAAATTTCATCTCTTTCTTTCTTCTTTCTCTTTCTTTCTTTCTTTTTTCTTTCTTTCTTTTCTTTCTCTTTCTTTCTTTCTTTCTCTTCCTTCCTTCCTTCCTTTCTTCCTTTCTTTCTTTTCTCTTTCTCTTTTTTCTTTCTTTTTTTCCTTCCTTCCTTCCTTCCTTCTCTTTTTCTTCTTCCTGAGACAGGTTCTCACTCTGTTGCCCAGGCTGGAGTGCAGTGGCATGATTATAGCTCATTTCAGCCTTGAACTCCTGGCCTCAAACTATCCTCCCACCTCTGCCTCCTGAGTAGCTGGGTCTACAGGCATCCACCACCGTGCTTGGTTAATTTTTTAAAGTGTTTGTAGAGATAAGGTCTCACTCTCTTGCACAGGTTGGTCTTGAACTCTTGGCCTCAAGTGATCTTCCCACCTCAGCCTCCCAAAGTGTTGGGATTATAGGTGTGAGTCACCGTGCTCAACCCAGAAAGTATTTTTATGTAAAAATAAATTATGCAATGGCATTTTATGAACTTCAAAGAAAAATACTTTATTTGTGTTGTTCTCATATCTGAGAATAAAAATGATTAATTTTCTAAATAAAACATTCTGTTATTTTACAACTTTTCTCAAAATGGAAGGGTTTAAATTGTGATTAAAAGTAGTAGGTAGAGTGTACACTTATGTTCATAGCAGCATTACTTACAATAGTCAAGATTAGAAACTACTCAAGTGTTCATCTACAGATGAATTGAAACAAAATTTGTATATATATATATATATATGAATATTATTCAGCCTTAAAAGGGAATGAAACTCTGACACAATACTACAACATGGAGGCATCTTGCAGATATGCTAAGTAAAATAAGCAAGCCACAAAAAGACAAATACTATGAGTCCACTTACATGAAGTGTCTAAAGTAATAAAATGCATAGAAATGGAAAGTAGAATTATGGTTGCCAGGAGCTGAGGAGAGGGGAAAATGAGGAGTTGTTTAATGGGGATAGAGTTTCAGTTGTGACAGATGGAAAAGTTCTGGACACTGATTACACAACAATGTAATTCACTTAACACTATTGAACTGCACACTTAAAAATGGTTAAGATGGTGAATTTTATGTTATGTGTATTTTACCACTATTTTAAAAATTAGTTGAAAAATAGTAGGCCAAAATTTGTTTCTAACTATGGCTTCCCACCGCCATTTAGGGGGAGTTTTGTTGTGAAATTTTAGGCGATTTACTTTGTCAAATTTTACTGAGTCATGGGTTTGTTTTCCCATGGAAAAATTACTAAAATAAGGGCATGTGGAAATACATAACACTTAAGTCACTTCCAGGAGAGGGATTGCAAAGGTGTGTCCATAAGACTTTTGACTTTGATGAGATAAAAGCTAGGCTGCCTTTTCTTCCTTCTCACTGCATCCCATCTCCTAGGGCCAGCCTGTTCCTCAAAAGAGTGAAAAACATAGGAAAATTACTGCCTTAACTATCCTGATCTTCATTTTTTTTCCTGTGTAAAATGAAGACATTAATAAACAATGCCTTTCTTGTTAGAAATGTAAAGGTCAAACATAAAGAAACGTGAAATCCTAAGTCCTGCATGCCTTCTACCACTGGTCTAGTCACGTGTGCCAGCTGAACATTCCCTGGGCTGCAAGTGATGTGACTGATGGTTTTATTCCTGGTTTTCCCAGGGAGAAATCTAGACACAGAAATCCTGAAAAATGCCTCTGCGGAAAGGTGGATCCAAAGTGGTTCTTCTAAGGGAAGCTGCAGAATGTTTCTCCCTCAGCCTATAGCTTGACAGAATGCTAAGATATCAAGATGAAACTCTGAAAACCCGAGGATTTTTCATGGATTTCATTATTCTATTGAAGACCTACAAAAAAAAGTGGCTGATAAATATATTTTTAGAAATTGCTTTAGTATGATTTTTATTAATTTAAATTAACATTTATTTAATTAACTACATAAAATCTGTGTATAAAAGAGGCAAAAGATTATTCTTGCTCTCAGCCAGACAGTTGCTGATAAGGTAGTTTCGACAGGAATCTCACAGAAGAAGAGGGCCCTGACTCAACAACCATCAATATGGTTGGAATGTGGTATTTGCTCTTCCTGGAAACAATGCTTCCCACTTATAGAGTTTATATTCAATGTGGTGTTAATACATAGACCTCATCCAACTATCTCTCTGTGAAATCTGAGTTCCTACTCAAGTCAATATCCTGTAATATGCTAAACAAAAAACCTCCTGTATTAGTTTCCTGAGGCCACTGTAACAAAGTACCACAAACTGGGTGGCTTAAACAACAAGGATGTATTCTCTCACTGTTGTGAAGGTCAGAAGTCCAAAATCAAGGTGTTAGCAGGGACACCCTTCCTTGGAAGGTTGCAATCCTTCCTTGCCTCTTTCATCTTCTTCTGGGCCTTTGCATTTCTTGGTCTGTGGCAGGATAACTCCAATCTCTGCCAGAGGTTACAAATGGCCTTATACCCTGTGTCTCTGTATTTTTCCCTCTTCTCATACAGACACCAGTCATTACACTAGATTTTTGTATGCACTGTAAATCCAGGGTGGTTTTATCCCAGAATCCTTTTTATATCCCAAATATATCTACAAAGATTCTCTTTTCAAATAAGGTCACATTCTGATGTTCCAGGTTGGAATGCTCTGAATGTTTGCGTACCCCCAAAATTCCTATGTTCAAACTTTTTTTTTTTTTGAGACAGAGTCTTGCTGTTACCTGGGCTGTAGTACAGTGGCACCATCTCAGCTCACTGCAACCTCTGCCTCCTGGGTTCAAGTGGTTCTCCTGCCTCAGCCTCCCTAGTAGCTGGGATTACAGGTGCGTGCCACCACGCCCAGTACTTTTAGTAGAGACAGGGTTTCACCATGTTGGCCAGGCTGGTCTCGAACTCCTGACCTCAGGTGATTCATCCGCCTCAGCCTCCCAAAGTACTGGGATTACAGGCATGAGCCACCATGCCCAGCCCATGTGTTGAAACTTAATCCCCAATATGAGAGTGTTAAGAGATGTGGCTTTTTTTAGGGGGGGGGGTGATTAAGCCATGAACACAGATTCCTCATGAATTGGATTAATACCCTATAAAAGAGGCTTCAGGGACCTTGGTCAACCTTTCTGCCATGTGAGGACGCAGCGAGAAGGCACCATCTATGAAGCAGTGAGTAAACCTCCACCAAACATTGAATAGGAAGTCATCTTGATCTTGCACTTCCCAGCCTCCAGAACTATGAGCAATAAATTTTCTTTTGTTTATAAATTACCTAGTCTATGGTATTTTTGTTATAGCAGCTCAAAAGAACTAAGACACAGATGCGTATAAATTTAGGGAAAAATTATTCAACCCACTATACCTCTTTCCCTTTCACTAATTCCTATTTGATTAATGGTGCCTGTGGTTTATTTAGTGACAACCATATCTATGGTCAATATGTGAGATTCTCAGAAAAGGAAATGTAGCCATCAGCAGCCAACAGAAAGTGGGAGGCAATGGAAAACCTACCTCATTCCCCATGTTAGAGAAAAAAAATCAATACATGAAGACATGAAATAATGCTTTGTGGGTCTGTTTTCTTGTAGCTTCTGTATATGTCAATCTTTTATGCTCAGCTTTCTTCATATCTTATTTTTTAATTTTAGTATAAAAATAAATGTTTTATTGCCTTCAATTTACCATTATTATTTTTTACATCAGTTGTTCTTCGTGTGTGTGTATGTGTTGGATTTACTTTTCTGGAGTGTGAATACATGTGGTATGTGTGTATGTGTGTGACCTAAATAAGTTTTTCTCCTGAAAAGAAAACAACATCAACATTTAAAGATGAGGTTAACAGAACTCACTTTATTAAATGCCTGCTATGTGTCCAGGCCTTGAGCTAAGGAATAAGAACAATGATGAATAAAGGCCATCCCTGCTCTCAAGGTGTTTGTAGACTACAAAGGAGCCTGCAACCTTGCAGCAAAACAAAAAAGTAAAGAAACACAAACCACGGAACATGTTGCACTCAACAGAGGTTCATTCTCACCCATTGTGAAGATGCTGGGAGTAACTGGAACTTTGTTGAAGAAAACAGGGAGATCATTTCTGTTTTGTCTGTGTAGCACCGTGACTGCCTAGCACCATGGAGAAAGGGACCCCCTTTCAGAGCACAAACTCTGACCACAGAGGCCCTTGGTCTATCCTTTGTTTTACTCTAAACTTTTCTCAAAATAATCATGGATGAAGCTGGAAACCATCATTCTAAGAAAACTAACACAGGAACATAAAACCAAATATCGCATGTTCTCACTCACAAGTGGGAACTGAACAATGAGATCACATGGACACAAGGAGGGGAACATCACACAATGGGGCCTATTATGGGGTGAGGGGCTAGGAGAGTGATGGCATTAGGAGAAATACCTAACATAGATGATGTGTTGATGGGTGCAGCAAACCACCAAGGCATGTGTATACCTATGTAACAAACCTGCACATTCTGCACATGTATCCCAGAACTTAAAGTATAATAAATAAATAAATAAATAACCCTTTGTGAATCTGTACTTCTGGAGAAAAACCCACACAACTCTGGGACATTAGTATGCATCACAAGTAAGATTTTAAAAATAATGTAAAAAGTGTTATTTCTGTTTTTGTTACCTTGTCATTAAATAAGGTTTCTATCTTCCTTGACCTCTCAAGATCAGTGATTTAGCTACATGTAAATGCCTTCTTGCATTGGATTCTTCCCATAAACCAGACTCCTCATTTCTCTCGTGGATTGGGCCTTCTATGACTGCACTTATATAGCTGCTTCAGAATAGAAAGCTACTTTCTCTCTTAGCAAGGTATGGCTTTTCCAATGTCCCCTCTTGCTTTGCCAAGTTGAGTTCCAAAGATGTGTTAAATCTCAGCTAAATCAGTGTATTTGCCTTTCCTGCTTATGGCATTAATTGCACTTTACCCGTGCTATTATTTTCCATTTAACTTCTTAGACTTCCTAATTCCTTCGTGTATTCTGGGATACCATTTGGATATGGAGATATTATGCAAATGATGTAGAAAGGGAATGAACTTCAGCACTCCAGGTCAGAGTTACTTGGCTACTTTTAAGTATTTTTTGCACCTTATTTTTTGGTCCTTGGGAACCTTGGACAATAAGCTGTTATCCACTTACATTTCTGAATTATACTTACATGAATCTGGTGCCAGAGAAAGTTCTATGGTAAAGAATTAAAAGCAATGATCCCACTGTTTACAATCAGAGCTGGTGACTAACGAGGGTGCCTCTACTGACTCCTATCCCTGTTGCTAATCTTCCTCAGAGGAGTAAAGTTCATTGAGACTGAGTATCTTCCAGACTCCTATTTTCTTCCACATAAAACTATATATTTTGTGAAAAAATTGGATCAGGGATTTTACTCTCTCAGGCATTAACTAGTAATTCACTTTAAGAAAAGTGCAAGGAGAGGGGACAGAATGAAAATTGTAAGCTACCCTTTGGATGGGCTTATGAAAGGCCCATTTACTCACAGACTATAAGAAATGGAATGTGTATATTATCAAAAAGCAAACTGGAATCAGCCATGAAGTTGTGAATGTAAAAGAGTGGATTCTCCATCTTATTGTGTTTTTCCTTTTAACTTAAGAGCCAATTTTGCTAAGGAAGCCAAAATCCCTGTCTGCCTGGCCCATCATACTCGGATGTATGTAGAAGGTAGACAGACAAGGCACATGACAATGGCACAGATGCTTTTGGGTTTATGTCTGTCAAAGGGGGAGAAATTGTTCTTTTAAGATCCAGATTTTGAAGGCAAATAAACAAAAATTTCAGTCCCAAACCCACCTCCTCTTCATTGTGTGGTCTTTAGTAAGTTTCTGAAAATGTTTAAGCTTGGCTTTGTCAGCTAGAAAGTGGCAATAATCATTTAACCCATAAGTACCAGGTCCTGGCTGGATCAGTTGGCATGCTAAAAAAAGGATAACTGAAGAGGGTTTAATCAAGAGTTCATTCAGGGTATGGACAAAGCTAAGGAACCCACTAGAAGCAGTGACGCACCCAGGGACTAGAGGTGGTGAAGGCCATTCCTACCATCAGTCCTGTAGGGATGGGGGAGGTGGGAGCTCTTATCAGAGCACTGGGGAACCTGCACATGGGAGATACTACCCAGCAAGAGCTGCTTCAGTGAGGGATGCTGCCACCGCCACTGCCACATCACTGCCAGGCCAGGTGGGGGTGGAATAAACCCCACTAAGGCTCTTTCCTCTTGCTCTCCAATCCCATGGCAATGTGCTCCATTGGCTGCACTTGACATAAAGTCAGAGGACAAAGGAAGAGAGTGGCCAAGGAGGTGAGCTTCCTTTGCACAAAATCAGGTTAGAAAAGGATGAAGAGTGGATATGGAGGAGCAAATAGATAATTTTCAGCATCTCTCTGTATTAGATGACTGTTGTTTGCCCAGTATCCCTTCTTTTGAGTAAATGCTATGCCTCGCTCCATAAAACTTGAATGAGGCTGAAATAACATTTACCCCTCTCCAATGACCAGGACCAGAGAACTTCATCACCCTACCCTCTAGCAAATCAATCAAATTCAAATTTGAGATTTAATACAGGGTTTCTGGAAAATAGATAATCTCTTTTTCATCTGGATTATGAGCCATAAGGATGTAGACTTGGGGCAAGCAACAGTCATCTTTCCAGTTATACAGAAAGAACTAGCCTGACAGCAAAGACAATGCAAAAAGAGCACAGAAGAGTCCAGGAATAGGGAGAAAGAGGCAGGTCCATGGTGACTTTGTTTGAGGCCCTTTGTTTAATTATATCTAAAGGCAGTTATGCTTTTTAACATTTCAGTAATATGCTTTTTAATATCCTATTTTGGAAGAGTGGAAAAAGTTAATAAGGAAATGTGAAGCACCCAGAGGTTAGCAACAACAGAAAGTCTCTATGATATCAGAAATGGAGCACAAAGGGAGGCAATGGCACTACGGGATTCTCTGAGTTGGGGCCTCAGTAGGACCTGGAATCATGGAGAAGGAACTGCTTAGGAAATGCCAAGGCTGCCAAGCTGGAAGCATGGCAAAGACTGCACAACAGGAACCGAAACCAGAGAAGAGATGCTACCTCAAGTACAGAGAGTGAGAAGAAATAGTCTGGCTTCTCCTTCCCTTCCACCCTTTGGATGCCTGCTCCTCTGCCTTCACTTAGCTAAACCTAATTGTGAGACTAACATTCAGAGCTGAGCAGAAAAAGGGGCAGGGTATGGCTTTCAGAGCAAATGAGTAATACACGTGGTCAGGACATATTCATTCTGCTTTCCTCTTTCCTTCCAAAATGCATTCCAAACTTTAGTGAAGGATACACAATTTTTTTCTCAAATCTCAGAGAATGGGGGTCAGGTTATTTTCTGCTTAGAAACTTGAGTGGGTTACTACATAAGACAAGGCAATTTGGTCTGATATTCAAGTTCATTTAGACTATTGCCATAATTTATGGGCATGAAATAACATGATAGAAAAATGTAAAGGTAAATTGAAATCCAGTCACATTAGGCTACTTGCTCTTTTTTTTTTTTTTTTTTTTTTTTTTTTTGGGACGGAGTCTCGCTCTGTCGCCCAGGGCTGGAGTGCAGTGGCGGGATCTCGGCTCACTGCAAGCTCCGCCTCCCGGGTTCACGCCATTCTCCTGCCTCAGCCTCCCAAGTAGCTGGGACTACAGGCGCCCGCCACTACGCCCGGCTAATTTTTTGGATTTTTTAGTAGAGACGGGGTTTCACCGTTTTAGCCGGGATGGTCTCGATCTCCTGACCTCGTGATCCGCCCGCCTCGGCCTCCCAAAGTGCTGGGATTACAGGCGTGAGCCACCGCGCCCGGCCTGCTCTTTTTGATTAGAGTACATTTTCCTGCACTTGCTAATAATATTCCTTCTGCCAGGCTTACCATCTTCTTCCCCATTTTTCTTTACTGAGATTTTATCTTCACATCACAAATTAAGTGCTATTCCTTCAAGAAACATACTGGCTTGCCCAAACTTTGTTGTATCTCTCCCTTCTTAAACTCTTATATCATTCTCATGGCACTTAACACTTTAGATTTTGTGTTTTAGATATTGAAATTTCTATCATATGCTTTGATAATAGATTGTGATTTCTGCAAAGGCAAAGAGTGCTTTCCTCAACTTTGTATCCTTTGGGGTGGGTTTAAATGATCTCTTATACCTACTAGGTGTTTGATAAATGTTTGTTGTAGCAGATGAACACCTGAAACAGTAATTCAGAACCTTAGGTTCTAGTATTTTCTATGTCACATTAGTGTGACTTGCAGAATGGCTCAGCTTAGCTTTTCCTATGTATAATGATTTCAGACTAGATGAATTCCAGGGTCCCTCCTGGCCCTTTCAATTCCCTAATTTCAAGTAGAATTTAGAAGAAAAAATTTGTAAGCAGCAATTTTATAGTTCTATTATGGAATTTCTACTTGGGGAAAGCTAACATTTCATGATCTCATTCTTGCTGGATTCTTTCTCAAGATTTTCCATGGAGCTGAAATTTACCCATGACCTTGAGAAAGAAATGCACATGCTTCATGATCCTCACTCCACTTTCTTGTCCTTAATGCTTTTCCTCTGATGATTGCTCATTTCACACCCCAAAAGCAACTCATTTTATAAACCTTTTACAGCGCAGCAAGCAGTAAAGAATAAGAAATTACAAAATATTATATCCTATGAAGAAACACTCTCCTAATGCATCCACAAAGAATCAAGCTCATAATTGCTGGTTTGTCAATTATAATGGTAAAATATGTATTTATATAATACATATGATATGTTGGATGCTATTGGAGTGAGTTTGGCATATTTATTTATTTATTTTTTATGGTACTCATCCATGTTTCTGTTCATATATAGGATAACAAATTCAGAAACAATGGGAAAGTAATATATGAAACCTTAATAGAAAATACAATAGAGATTACAAAACACTACCATTTGATTTTTTATGCAAATACTTCAATATTCCAATATTTTTACTCACTTGCTAAATAAAGCACATGACTCGAAATGCTAAATAATTCTGTTAGTGTAAATCTTTTAGATAAAATGTTGGTGAAAAACCAAAATTGTTTGTAAGGTATGTATGACCTTGTTTATTATCTATCACAGACATCAAGATGATCATAGTTAATACCAATTTAAGCTTTATAGAATACTCTTTTAGGCCCAATATTGATATATTAAATGAAGGTATCAGAGAATCTTGTATTTATGGCATCAGGTTATAAAGATCTACTCAAAACCATTTTTGTCAAAGTTTAAGCACTGGAACAAAAGTCAAATTCTTTCTAAATGAGACACAAATGATTCTTGCTAATAGTACAAATTTTGTCCCATGGGCAATACTATTGTCTTTTTCTTTTTTAAAACAATTATTTCGATTTTTTTTTTAGATTCAGGGAACACATGGGCAGGTTTGTCAGCTGGGTGTACTGTGTGATGTTGAGGTTTAGGGTATGGATGATCCTGTCACCCAGGTAGTGAGCAGAGTCCCCAGTAGGTAGTTTTTCAGCTCTTGTTCCCGCTCCCCACCTACCTCCCCAGTGTCTGTTATTCCCATGGGTCCTCAGGTATTACTGTTTTCAAGTTTTTTTCTTTACATGAAACTACTGAAAGCGAAAGTATGTCATGCTTATAGGTTACTCTGTACATTTATCATTCTATTAATAAACATCTTAAGTAATTAAGTAGTATATTAAGGCCATAAACCAAGTCATTATCTCCTGTCAAAGGACTACTGTTATTCAATTGTCTAGAAAATTCATTTTAGGCAGGATGCAGTGGCTCACATCTGTAATCTCAGCACTTTGGGAGGCCGAGGTGGGTGGATCATGAAGTCAGGAGTTCGAGACCATCCTGACCAGCATGGTGAAACCCCGCCTCTACTAAAAATACAAAAATTAGCTGGGCATGGTGGTGTGTGCCTATAATCCCAGCTACTCAGGAGGCTGAGGCAGGAGAATTGCTTGAACCCAGGAGGCAGAGGTTGCAGTGAGCTGAAATTGTGCCATTGCATTCCAGCTTGGGTGACAGAGAGAAACTTTGTCTTAAAAAAAAGTAAAATTCATTTTAATGGATTATGTTACAGTGTTGAGGTCAGCCTACAGACACAAAATAGGTTAACTGAATTTTTTTTTCATAACAGGTTTTAATTTTTTCATTGGAACAGGTTTTGGGGGTGGGGATACTAAATGTGGCAGGGTTCAACAAACTTACATTTTATCAAAATAAAGTTCTTAAAGAATACAATGATAGCACATGCTTTAACTCTTACAGCACAAACCCTCATATTAATTGATGGTCACAGAAAAATACTGTAATGCTTTAAACAAAAGTTTTAAAATACATCAATGACACAAGTTTCAAACAAAATACAGTGATCAAAATACTTAACTGTCCTTTCATCAAGCTTTTACAAACACAATCAGTCTTCGCTGTCTGAGCAAATCAGTTTTAGTTTCTTCGTGGTCCTCCATCTGTCTTTTAATGTGACACTTGTCCGGTTGTTGAATTTATAATGCAATAGTATTTTAGACCAGTTTCCCTCTCCATATTTCCTCACGCCAGATCTCAAATTCTTGTCTTCTTCCTGAAGCCATGCCTGTCTTTTTCTAGCTTGATGTTTTTCAGGAGTTACCGGTTGACTCTTTGAAACAGGTATTCTGCTTTCAGTGGCTCTTCTGCTTTCTTTTTTCTTTTTTGTACTTTGAAGAGTTCCTACTCTTCTTTCTTTCTTATTAAGGTCTTGTTGCTGGGTCCCATGTTGCAACTTAGATAAGAAAAGATTCTTATGAGACCTTTTTCTTGTATCCAAACTAGCTTCAGTTTCCATTTCAACATAATTACCATTAAGTTTATCTTGAGAAGTTATTGTTCTTGTTCTTTTACTTTCTACTACTTTTGCTGCTGCCTTCATTAGAAAGGTTGATGATTTTTCACTTAGCACATAATTCACATAACTCTTAATTTTCTCCATCATGTGATTGTAGCTGAAGTGTTGAAAAAAGGAATGAAATGTATCTTTCTGAGAGATTATCATAAGCAATTTGCTTTTGAGAGGCATATAAGAATTTGGATCACCAAATAGTCTTTCAAAGACTTCTTCTGCTTCTTTAAAGTTGCCATTTTCCATACAAACAGCTATAGCCTGTATTTTAATTAAATTCTGTATTTCTTCTTGAAGTTTGTCATGTTTCTTTTCAATTGAACCCCAAATTATCAGGGCCGATTCCAAGGGTGTAATTCGTTCATCATTTTCAAACTGTGCATCAAGGGTTTTTCCTGCTGCAATTCTTGTCAAAAACTGACATATGTATATCGTTCTCAACTGGTAAGCTGTTAGACTGGATAGTCCATGAATAATAGCCTCTGCGCTGTTGCGGGTCCTGCAGAAGTCCTCAGAGCGGCCGTCGGGGAAAGCTCGGCAAAGAGAGAAACAGAGGAACTCGAGCATCCAGCCGGCAGCCACGGCCTCGGCCTCGGCCTCGGCCACCAGGCCCGCGTCCTCCTCCTCCTCCTCGGGGGCCCCCACCTGCACCTGGCACTTGAGCCGTTCCTGGCATTCGAACTGCTCCTCGTCGTTTCTCTCTGTTTCTGCCATCTGCTCCTCGGTAGGGTCGGCATCCCTACCATCCGCCGGCATATTTATTACAATTTATTTTTATGAAAAAAGATTAAAAAGAGATATGTCTGCTCTAAGCAGTTACGTGAAAATGGATAAATACAAAAGCAAGCACAAGAGTATTCAGTAGAGAATTCTGAGCCTGAACAATCAAGTTTCAGGCAAATCTTGTGTGGTTCATAATTTTAGCCCTTTATTATGCAAACCTGCCAATTCAATTTTCCAATGCAAGAACTGTTTGGGGTGATTATCAAGTTATATTTACTGTTCTGTGGATCTACTAAAAGATGCACTATCTTGAAAGAGTCTGTTCAAATTACCTTGGAACACACTTTTAGATCCTCTTTTGTAAGCAAAAGTTGACAGACTAAAATGTATTCTTTTTTAACTGGCATCAGCATGTGAGACTTTAGAAAAATTGGTAGAGCAAATAATGATTCTGTTGCAGAGCCAGACAAATAACTTCCAAATCAACAAATTCAAACAGAGAAAAAAAGTTGCTGATCTTAGATGAATTGCCACGTTGCCACTTCCTTTCACATGTGTCTTGGTAGAAAAACTCTCATATAGAATTTTTCCCACCCATCAGAAGAAAGTAGTTATTATCTCAATTTCCTATCTCCTCTTCTGCATCTCACCTTCTGAGGAGATAAATATTAGAATCTCAAAGTATCCACTGCTAAAACCCAGAGAGAAGGGGTTGGGATGCAAGTTGGAAAAACTGGGAAAGTATTAACTTCTGGACTTATCTTCCCCCTCTGGCTTCTCTCATCTCTCTCAGTCTGTCTGTCTGTGTCTCTCTCTATCTTCCTTCCTCTTTCTAAAAGAAGACCTTTGAAAGAGTTTTATGTATATGCAGAATCAAATTTCTCTCATCTCTTCTTCTCTCTTCAGTGCACTCTGTTTAGGCTTCTGTTGTCATCTCTCCACCAAAACTGTTTTAGTCAACATCGTCGATGACCTCAATGCCACTAACACCAAAGTTCTAGTTTCAAGCTTTGTCTAACTCAACTCTAGCAGCATGAAACACAACTTATTACTCTCTACTCCTTGAAGCATTGTCTTGTCTTCCAGGAATATACACTGCCAGTGTTCCTTCTCTTATTGCCTGCTCTTTTTCAAGGTTCCTTGCTGGCTCCTCTTTTTCTTTCTGACAAATAGAAGTATTTCATGGCTCAGGCCTTGAAACTCTTCCCTTATCCATCTAACTATCCATTCACACTCACTTTCTTCATGAGTTCATTTAGTCTTGTGATAACTTCTAAATACATAACTTTAGTCTCAGCCTCTTTCCTGAGATATAGACTCAGAGATCCAGCTGACTACCTGATGTCTCCACTTGAATGTTCAATGGCCATCTCAAAGTCAACATGTCCAGAACCAAGCTTCTATATTCAATCCAGCCTCCCCAAATTTGCTTCTGCTCAGCCTGCCGCAACTCAGTGGATGGTGATACCATTGATCCAGTCAGGACTAGGACAAGAGTGAAGTAAGCCAACCACTTAGGCACAAACTTTAAGGCATTCAGAGCACCAAGGAAGTGCTGACCTTGCTTTTGCATGGCTATGCAAGGGCCTCCTTAAATTGTATGCCCTCAACATCTCACTTGGCTCACCCTAGTACCAGCCCTGCTTCTTCTTGCTCAAGCCAAAAACTTCAGCATCATCCTTTATGCCTCTGTTTCTCTCACTGTCTCTTCCAATCTACCAGGATATCCTATTGGCTCTACCTTCATTAATATTAAAGTGTTTGATCCAGTTATTAAAGAAATAATTAGATATATCAAAAGTAATGGAGGAGTTATTATAAAAATATAATTCTTGTCCTAAAGAAGAAAAACCAAAAGTCTGCTCTTATTTTCACAAAGGCAGGGAACTAATAGAAGATAGACATACTGTTTCAAGGTGTTTAAAAAAATTAATAGACTTTGATTTTTAGACCAGTTTTAGGTTTTCAGAAAATGTGAGCAAAATATATGGTGTTCCTGTATACTCTCTTCCCCCACCAGCCTCTGGTTTTTCCTATTGTTAACATTTTGTGTTGGTGTGGCGCATTTGTTACAACTGATGAACCAATATTCATGCATTATGATTAACTAACATCCACAGTTTATATTAGGATTTAGTCCCTGTGTTGTACGGTTCTATGGGCTTTGCTAAATGCATTATATCATATATTTCCCATAACAGTATCTTAAAGAATAATTTCACTGCCCTAACAATCTTCAGGGGCTTATTTCCCCTTAGCTAGCAGTGACGTCTTTAGGTACAAGTACACACCACCTATAACAACTTAATTTATTGCCTTCTAGGCAAGCCAGGGCAGGGACTGAGGACAGTGACAATGTCACCTATCTTCCATTCAGGAGCCTGTGTTTGGTGCAGAGCCCAGGGTTCCTAGGTCCAGCCTATATGCTCCAACGGTGGTTTCCTACACTCAAAGACAATGAACTTGCAGACACATCACAAATGCCCGGTGCTCTGCAAAGCTGTCCTGATTCCTCCTAGCAACATGAGTTGCCACATTTTCTTTACTCTAAGATGTCAGGCACATGATCATGGTATTCATCAGGCTGTCTGATCCTCTGATTATATGTCAGTCTCCCAGACTAGATCAGGGGCTTTTCAAGGGCAGAAGCTCCGTCTTAGTCATCTGTGTCTTCCTCAGGGCCTGTACTTGCCATTTGTTGATAATATGAAAAGAGTTGGGGTTGTGAGGGGGAGGAAGAAGGATAGTGGAATGAATAAAGGGAAAAGAGGGAAAGAAAAAAGACAGGGAGATAGGGAAGGTGTTTGTGCCCATGCCCTCGGTCATAGGTCACTATGGGTGGGCACAGGTGTTCAGCACCAGAATGACAGGAAGATGAGCAAGAGAGGGCATCTCTGAGTCAGGGCTGGTGCATTTCTCACACCCAACAATCCAGCTACATCACTGACGAATCTGGGATGTTGTACTTTTCCCCACCAGCAGCCCTAGTTGCACATGACAGGCTATCGCCTGCTATTGCACTGACTTCATATAGTCCTAGGACCTCAGGGTTAATGAGTTCTCAGTTACATGGAACAGCTTTGTTTGATAGGTTACTCTAGTTTTATATGTAAGAAAACTTGGCGTTCTTATATTATTTAATATATTGATTTGCTACATTGTATAAAAAGACAAATAAATGAGACTTCTTTAAACTGTCTTAGAAGAAGTCTCAAGTCTCCTGTGGCTCTCAAACCTCAGTGCGGACAGGCACTTCACGACATTTGTTGTCCATAGTGTACTTGTTTGGACAGTTTCTCAATTTCCAAACAGCAGTGATGTTTTTTGCAACAAATAAATTACAAAACAAAATATTTCACGTTTTGTCCTCCCTCTGATAGAAATCTTTGTGGTCCTAAACAATTAAAGCTCCTTAGTTTAAATTGGAAGTATTATTTTATTTTATTTATTTTATTTTTTTTTTAATTGATCATTCTTGGGTGTTTCTCGCAGAGGGGGATTTGGCAGGGTCACAGGACAATAGTGGAGGGAAGGTCAGCAGATAAACAAGTGAACAAAGGTCTCTGGTTTTCCTAGGCAGAGGACCCTGCGGCCTTCCGCAGTGTTTGTGTCCCTGGGTACTTGAGATTAGGGAGTGGTGATGACTCTTAAGGAGCATGCTGCCTTCAAGCATCTGTTTAACAAAGCACATCTTGCACCGCCCTTAATCCATTCAACCCTGAGTGGACACAGCACATGTTTCAGAGAGCACAGGGTTGGGGGTAAGGTCACAGATCAACAGGATCCCAAGGCAGAAGAATTTTTCTTAGTACAGAACAAAATGAAAAGTCTCCCACGTCTACCTCTTTCTACACAGACACGGCAACCATCCGATTTCTCAATCTTTTCCTCACCCTTCCCCCCTTTCTATTCCACAAAACCGCCATTGTCATCATGGCTCGTTCTCAATGAGCTGTTGGGTACACCTCCCAGACGGGGTGTTGGCCGGGCAGAGGGGCTCCTCACTTCCCAGTAGGGGCGGCCGGGCAGAGGCACCCCTCACCTCCCGGACGGGGAGGCTGGCTGGCCGGGGGGCTGACCCCCCCACCTCCCTGCCGGACAAGGTGGCTGCCGGGCAGAGACGTTCCTCACTTCCCAGACGGGGTGGCTCCTGGGCGGAGGGGCTTCTCACTTCTCAGACGGGGTGGCTGCCGGGCGGAGGGGCTCCTCACTTCTCAGACGGGGCGGTTGCCAGGCAGAGGGTCTCCTCACTTCTCAGACGGGGCGGCCGGGCAGAGACGCTCCTCACATCCCGGACGGGGTGGCAGGGCAGAGGTGCTCCCCACATCTCAGACGATGGGCGGCTGGGCAGAGACGCTCCTCACTTCCCAGATGGGATGGCGGCCGGGCAGAGACGCTCCTCACTTTCCAGACTGGGCAGCCAGGCAGAGAGGCTCCTCACATCCCAGACGATGGGCGGCCGGGCAGAGACGCTCCTCACTTCCCAGACGGGGTGGCGGCCGGGCAGAGGCTGCAATCTCGGCACTTTGGGAGGCCAAGGCAGGCAGCTGGGAGGTGGAGGTTGTAGCGAGCCGAGATCACGGCACCTCGGGAGGCCGAGGCTGGTGGATCACTCGCGGTTAGGAGCTGGAGACCAGCCCAGCCAACACAGCGAAACCCCGTCTCCACCAAAAAAATACGAAAACCAGTCAGGCGTGGCGGCGCACGCCTGCAATCGCAGGCAGTCAGCAGGCTGAGGCAGGAGAATCAGGCAGCAGTACCGTACAGCTTCAGCTCGGCATCAGAGGGAGACCGTGGGGAGAGGGAGAGGAAGAGGGAGAGGGCTAAATTGGAAGTATTATTAAGGAAAGTTGAAATTTTATGAAAGTGATTAAATTGAAGATTCAAAAATGTGTCTACATTTGGGAATATTGATTATGACTTTAATGTTAACTTTTTTGATCTGATACCATTTCCAAAAATTTAGCCTACAGAAATACTAAAACATATGTGCAGTTATAGGTTAAAAGAATATGATGAAATTATTTGCAGTAGGACAAAATTTAAAACAATTCAAATGGTTTTAAAAGGGGATTAAATAACTATATTTAATGATGAGTAAGTAGTAGGTTAAAAAACGAATTATTCTGAATAATAAGAAAAATAAAGATTCTAAGATACGTATTCAGTGAAGAAAGTTTCAGGATCACATGTTTGCTATTATTTCATTTTTGCAAAACAAACAAGAATAAAACCAAAAGCTACACAGGCACGCGTGCACGCACACCCACACACAGCGCAAGACACTTGTGAATTGAAGGGGGTAATGTTAATATTCACACAGGAACCATCAGCATGATATAAGAGTGTCAAGAAAACCAGGATCTATAACCACCTTAATTTAAAGGACTTTATATTCTGTATTATACCTTACTATCTATAAGAATAAAATTAAATTTTCCATACTTAAAGTATCTATAAAAAAAATTGAGTAAATTGTAATCTTGGATCTCAAGTCCAGTTCCTTTAGTTCTCTCAGAACTATCTCCCTTCATTTCAAAGTTCATGGATTGATTTTTGGTTTTCCTAAAATGTACCACTGTATTTTAAATTTACACATCACCAGGGCATTCTTTTTTCTTGTTCTCTTATTATTAGAACATACATTTAACCCCTTCTGACAATCTAGTCATTGTAAACCTCCCAGCTTTATCAACTGTCATCTTCCAAGTACTCACAGTGCAGATTTCTGGTATTACAATGGCCTTAAATTTTTTCCTTTGGATTTTTTTGAAAATAAATTACGGTGTCTATTTACATGGATAAAGAGTGACCACTGTCTTTGGCTGGTTCCTGTTGATAATGAGGTCAAGGCAGGGGCCTTCACTGAATTCCCACATGTGCTTGGTTGCAAGCCACACTCAGGTGACAGACAGTCTTGCAGTTGGTGCTGCTGGTCACATGAAGACTGGGAAAGAAAGTGCATCAGATCAAAATAAACTTATTTCTCTTGCAAAAAATAACAACTCGAGGCACATGCATTATGAATATTGGGTCAGAAGCATTATCTTCATATTCAAAGACTAGCATATAATTATCAAGAACAGAAATGTAAAGAACATAAACAGCTTGATGATAGAATTGGTACACGTTTATTATTAGAAATTCTATTTGAAATCCAGAGAAGAGTAACTGAACGGAGAAAAACACAGATATTAGATGACAAAGCATATGAGAAAATTTCAACTTTTTTTTCCAATTGAATTTAACAATGTTTTACTCCATAGTTGACTGATTGATTTGCCTCTGCCGGGATGTAAATTCTCAGAGATATTCTTTCTGCCATTGTGCCAATCTGTGACACAGCTAGCCTAGGATTTATATGCAGTGCTTGTCAATATCCTTCAGAAATGCCCAGCAGAACACAGGCACATACATTCTCCTTCAGCAAACACTCATGGAATGTGAAATCAGACTTCTACTGGTACTGACTCATCTGGAGGGCTTGTTATGAGGCCTCATTCAGTATGAGGCAAAGGTTGTGAAGTTTGCATTTAAGTTTTTAAAAAGCTATGTATAAAAAGTGGCCACCATGATGATTAAACACATTATATTGTACCCTTATAAAATTTGAACAAAAACCACAAACTTCAATGACAATAAGTAATTGGTCTTACTTGGTCTGCTCATTCTGAAAAAACTGAGTCTTGTCCTATGCAGCAGGGCTGGAACAGTTGCAACATGCATCAGTTGGAAAATGTTTAGAAGCTAATGGATAGCATTGGTTTACATTTCATATAAGACAGAGTAAATTAAGGACACATTTCTAGTATCTTCAGATATTCAAACAAGTAAATATTTCATATATCTCAGTTTGCTCCATTGCCAAACACATTTTCATTTTGATAAAAATGTCGCAAAAATGCCTTAATAATGTGTGCTTTGGTGAGGGAAATTTGGAAATAATGAACGTGAGCTAATCCTCTCTCTTTGTGACTGAAGGGTCCTCACATGAAATCATCACCTTTGGAGCTGTGCTTTTATAATGTGATGCTCACTGGATTTTTGAGATATAATGCCTGTCCCTAAACTGAATTGCCCCAAACTGCTTTATAGTTGTTGATTTCCCTGCCAGTGTCCTCTCCTTCACTCTTATTTTGCATTTCAGTGTACCAAATTTACAATGTTTTTGTTGGTTTTGTTACCAACAGAAACATCAGGTGAATTAAAAGATACCGAGATAAGTTCTCATCAAACTAAAAAGTAAATGCAATTAGATGTTATTTTTGCCAGAGGGTGGGTGGGCAAATTTACCATAATGCATTGCATTAGTTGTCAGTATGGAGCATGCTTCAGCGTCATCTGGAAGGCTTGTTAAAATGCAGGTTGTTGGGTTCCACCCCAGAGCTTCTGATTCAGCAGATCTTGGGTGAGGCCTGAGAATGTGCATTTCTAGCAGTTTTCCAGTGGATGCTGCCCATCTGAGGACTACACATTGAGAGCTACTTGCTGCAGAGAAAAGTGGAATGGGGACAGTTTAAAGAATCAGTAAGAGTTTAAGGTTTCAGGAAATGTTTGGAAGTCTGCAAGTAGAAAAAGGGGAATGTTAATTTTCTCTTCACATATTGGGCATTACATTTATGGAACTCTAACACAAAGAGGGAGAGCTGTGGGAAAAAATCAAGGGATTTGTCTGAAATGATAGATTAGAGTTACATGTTAGTTCACAAAATGATTTTGGGAAGATATTTTAAATAATTCCAACACTACAAACTGATACCACATCGGGCAACCTCGCTCTCCAAAATCCTCTCATGTTGCTTTTGCAGTAGGCTGGCCTGGATGGAGCATTGGTTGGACCCCATGTGGCATTCCTAATGTCTCTATATTCTAACCCATTGGTTGCCAATAAAGTGCTTTGCCAACAGATTTTGTTCTGAGATAGTGCACAGCGCTGAAGAGAAAATAACTTTGCAAATCCAGTGATTTCATGGGCCACTAGGCTCTCTGGATTCTCTAATACCCAGTTTATCTTTTGTTCATTTAATGCATCGCAAACAACATTGAATTAGTTTGTTGGACGATTAGGTAAGACATTAAACTAACGATATACATATAAATATGTCAAGTCATTATTTTAAGAGTACATCTGTAAGTCATAGTTGGAGAAGGCTTTTTCTTGTGAACCCTGTAAAGGCTTTTCCCCACAACTCTAATTGTTCAACAGGTACCAACTTTTATAAATAATACTTCTTTTTCAGAGGTGTTCACAAGTGAGAAAAAGAATTTTCTATAATGGATGTTTAAAAAAATCAGTTCCAAGGAAATTAATTCTTGTAAACCTCCCAAAATAAACATCAGGAAATTAAATTGGTGTTGGTTTGTTAGTAGAATGAACATCCCCAAAGAAATCCAAGATTGCAAATGTTTAGCTCAGACCTAGTTTCTAGTCTCTGAAAGAACCTTCCTTCCTGAGCTATGACCACCTACAGCCTTCCTGCAGCTTCACCATTGCCTTGACTTTCAGCACGAATCCTGCAATGATGCTAAGGAGATTTACGTGACTACGTGTCTGCCAGCTGTGGTTTCATCATTTTTCTTTGTCTCTGAGCTAATGCAGAGACAATACCCTGGGTCTGGTAAGTGGATCTCAGTCTGTTCCTTAGTCTCCTCTCCCGGCACCCAAGTCTGATTTCTGAGCTTCAGCTTGATCCTTTTTTGTTACCTGTCATTGTCCTCAGGAAGGGGTTCCCCAGTCCTGGATCCTGGACCATTGTCTTGGACCCTCCTCTGAAATGACAAATATTCCTAATTCCAATTTGCTATCTTTCTTGTAAGGATAAATTGTCTTGTACTGCATCCGTCTGTTTGGACAGGTCAACACTTCATTTGCCACCCTTCGTGGATATCTACTTACCTGCACTACAACCTGCTATCACTCGATCTTGTTGGACACACTACTGTAGTCTTGCTTTACATCTGTGATGGAATCCATCCATCCGGATCCTATGCAGTAATAGAGCCTTTTCTCAAATCCCAGCCCTTTCTCATCTGAGCTACATGACAATAAGTAATTGCTCTTACTTGGTCTGTTCATTCTGAAAAAACTGAGTCCTTACTGAGTGGAGTTTCATAAGGACTGAGTTCTTATGGAACCATGTTATGCATGGGAGTGATGGACATGAACAAGGTACAATTTCTCTCTTGAAGAAACTCACTCTTTTTTTTTTTTTTTTTTTTTTTTTTTTTGAGACAGAGTTTCACTCTCTCACCCAGGCTGGAGTGCAGTGACATAATCTTGGCTCACGGCAACCTCTGTCTCCTGGGCTCAAGCGATTCTCCTGCCTCAGCCTCCTGAGTAGCTGGGATTACAAAATTAGCCTGCCACCATGCCAGACTAAGTTTTTTTTAACTTAGTAGAGACAGGGTTTTGCCATATTGGCCAGGTGGGTCTCCAGCTCCTCGAGTGATCCACCCACCTCAGCCTCCCAAAGTGCTGGGAGTACAGGCATGAGCCACCACACCTGGCTCATTTTTGATGACAGAGCAAACAAGCAAACAATTGAAATGCAGGTTGAGTATTCCTTATCCAAAATTCTTGGGACAAGATGCGTATTGGATTTTTAAAAAATTTTTCAACATTTGCATTAAACTTACCGGTTGACACCCCAAATTCAAAAATTTGAAATCTAAAAAGCTTTAATGAGCATTTCCTTTTGAGTATAACCTTTGAACATTATGTCAGCATTCAAAAAGTGTGAATTTCAGATTTTTGGATTAGGAATGCTAAACCTATACAATACTTTAACCATACATTCTGAGAACCTTTCTCAAAAGTGTATAGTAGAAGAGGTCAGACAATCGTCCTCCATAAACATTCATTCTATCATTTGCTCAAACCCCACTGTGTTTCAGGCATTTTGTTAATGTATCGGGAATGGACCCAGAGGGCCTTTCTGAGAATTGTGAGTTAGACCCAGGTACTCACCCAGGGCCAGATCATCCTTGACCTTTTGCCTTCAAATACCAATGATAATTTGTCTTGTGGTCCTAAGAAGTTAATCGGAGCTGCTTATAATAGACAGCCTCTGAAACTGTCTTCTCTCCCCGGTAGCCCCAGATGGTCTACCCTGGACCCTGATGACATTAGGTTGGGGGATTGTAAGTGCAGTCACTTTGTTGCCAGGTCCACTTTCTTTCCAGAACCTCTGAATCAAATGTCAGCCTGTTTTCATTGTTCCCTACCTGATTAGCTGGAGCTGGATATACTGAAGGAATGAAAGTTTTCTGAGCTGACTGCACTGATAAACCTAGAAGGAGACCATAGTGATAAATGCTTCATAATTTTCAGAAGTCAGCATTAACTGCTGAGTAGCAGAGTGGACTTAAATTTGTGTTTTCAGTGGAAATGATCACCGTGATGTCCTTACTGCCTCCTAACTCATGAAAGGAACAACTGGCTGGTCCCTGGAACTCCCTGCGTGACTGGTGATTGCCCATGGACTTCTAAAACACTCTTTACTCTGAGATGTGAATGTTGCCCACGGCCTTCAGCTGGTGGATGATATCTGGGCCTGAGATGACAGTATCAGGTATTTCTGAAGACATCCTAGGGAAATGTGAGGATTGCCATGGTGCCTCTGAGCTTACCTTTAGAACAGACACTTTGATAAGTGCTTTTGCTTCTTTCTCTGAATTCTAAATCAGCCCTAGAATGCTGGATGATAATTCTGAAACAAGCCCTACCCAGTCGATTTTCCTGAAGTTTCATGAGGCTTTTGAAGAGTGGTGACAGTTGTGGGACTAAAATAAGGGAGGAAGGCCGAAGTGAGGAGAGCACTCAGAGACAGTGGGTGGACAGACATCATCCAGAGACTTGCAGAAAATAGGACCAAAGCCATGGCCCCCGACAGGAGTGGCAATCCTAAGTGCAGTTTTAGTTGCACTTTTGAGATAATGAAAGTACAAAATCAGTCACTTAACCTCTTTTAACATCAGTTTATTAATCTGCAAAACATTGACATGCTACCTCACAGCATTCTTCACATATAATAAGAAACAGCGTGTTAAAATACTAAACAAAGTTTAAGAAGTGATGCAAATATACTGTTAGGGTAGATTGTAGATTATAGTTCTATCACTTATCTCTTTCTTATTTTCTGAGAAGCTCTTAGGAACATTGATTTAATTATTTCTTTTCCCTCTTTATTTATGAGCGTACATGTCTTATTCAAGATTTAAAATATCACTTGGAAATTAACAAGGGGTTTCACAAATATAGTCGTATTCCTTATTTGTTCACAATATTTTGTCCCAAAATGTTGCTTTTAAAGAAATAAAAGAACTACTTCTAAAATTGTGGTAGAGTCAAGGCCGACTATTAACAAATGCTCACCAGCCAACAGAAGAAATCTATCCTGCAATATGAGTGACTTTCCCAGTGTACCATGATAGTTCCTTAAAGCTGTTATGAATTATTCCATAAACCTGTATTTAGAGACTTTTTTTTTCAAATATCTTTTTAATGACTTAAACACCAGTGCAGAGACTTGCGATGTAAACAGCCTCATTTCTCTGCTCTGTGCTTTGGGAGGGACAGGGACGCCATTTCCCTCCTTGGCTGAGATAAAACCTGTCTTGTAAATTAATAAATAATTTCCTAACTAACACAGCAAAAAAAAAAAAAAAGAAAAAAAATCCAAACGAGACCTAGTTTCCATCCAGGGACAGGATGTTTCTGGACACCCCCGGTTGCTGCTCCTCCTAAGGGCCTGGCTGTGGCTACTGCAGGGAGGATGTAGTGAGAATGGCTTCCCTTCTGCTGTTTGCTGCTGTCTACACCGGCCAAGAACCTGCTCCCGTCTGCCCGGGCTGATGGAGTCTCACTCTTGAGAAAAATCTTGCTGGGGCAGGTCCTCTGGCAGCCCCAGCACCTTACCCTGAGTCATGGGAACTTGAGACTTTGTCCAAACCTTGGCTGGAAGGCTGGTCTTGGCACTCAACGTCTTAGCTAGTGGATTTTTCACATTAAGACTGTACCTGGGCCTTTTTCATGATGACTTGGGTCCCAATCCTCGGAGCAGCTGAAAAAAGAGCTAGCGCCACCTGTGGATGCACCCACAATGAAATCAGAGGCCACGTGAGGTTTGCAAGGTGGAGTGGCCTGTAGTTTTAACTCAGGCACTATGGCAATGCAGACCCAAACCAATTGTGCCAGTTCTTGCTGGGTGGCAAAGTGTTGTCAGGCTTTGTGGTCACTCCTGATTTCTGTTTGGAAGCACAGTTCTCTTTCCAATGAGAATGGAAAATTGGAAAGGCCTGTAAAAGGCCGTAGAGTGGAGATGTATAAAAATGTATGGTCACCCATGTTTTAGGGGTCGACACCATGGACTTTTATCTCGCTCACCAACTTCCTCACACATACAGCTCACTCCCTGTGGCCTCAGCCATCTCAGGCACTACAAAATCCTCACTGCTTGAAATTCACTTATGGAGTCCAACAAACAACTTTCTTTAAAAAAAAAAAAGGCAGTAAAATCTCAGAATTTCTGTGCAATGCTTGCAACCTTCCCACTTATTAAATAAACAGAACACCAAACTAACCAAAAGCTATGCAAGTGGCAGGCTGCCCTGAGCAGAGCCCTGCCTGTCTGCCAGGGACTACGGTGGCACAGGAGCAGGTCGTGATCATGCTGGAAGAAATGAGAGGTGGTTTCATTCCCTGACTTTCAAACTCTCATCTCGGGAGCCCCCAGTCCTAACACTGTATTCAGCCGCTGGAGTTACCTGGCCATGTAAAAGGACAAGGGAAGGCAGACCATCCTCAACTTCTTCCTGTGTTTCTAGCAGGGAAGGAAAGCAATGGCTTTAGTCCCTCCGCCTCTAGGTAACAAGGCAAAGGCCTCCGTAACCCAGGCAGACAGGATGTGGGGAAGGTCTTGTGACTTTTCCTAACTCAGAATTTCTGAGTCAGTGGGCTCCCGGAGAAAGACTGTCCTCTTGGCATGTGACCCTGAAGGCTTCTAGCACCAAAGGCTCGCTAACACCTCAGAGCCTGTCTTCAGGTAAAGGGGATGGGAGGCAGAACCCTTCTCCTGATTGGTGCCTGAAGGAGGCAAGAACGAGCATCTGCTATACCCCAGGCTGATTTCCCCCGTCTCAGCAGGAGAGGGGAGAGGTGAGGGTGCAGATGTTCTGGGCAGGTCAGTGCAGTTCGATGAATGCCTCTAGATCTTCCGGGATGAAGCCCTTGTAAGGGATCTTGTTCTTACCCAGGGCCTGGGCTGCAAGGCACTGCAGGGTCACATAGCTGAAGGGCTGCATGGTACCCCTGGCCAGCAGCTTCTCTTCCAGCAGCGTGTAGGCCGTCTTCTTGAAGGCGTTGGTGGCGTCCATGTGGGCCCCTGCTTCAATCAGGGCATTCACGATGGCCGGGCAGTTGTTCTGGGCTGCTATGTGTAGCGGGGTGTTGTTGTCAAAATCCCTGCTGTCCCGGTCGGCCCCGCAGTCGAACAGCACTTTGACCACGTGCAAGGAGGGGAATCTGCCCACGGAGTAGCGGCCCACGTTTGTGGTGTCCTTGTCCACAGCCATGTGCAGAGGGGTGAAGCCGTTCTTGCCCTTGGGTGCGCACTTGAGCGGCGGTAGATAGTCTGGTGCTTCAGGTGCTCCTGGCTGGGGGTGCACTCCACTTTCTCCAGCAGGTAGAGCAGGTGGAGGATGATGACCAGCGCCTTGTTGAACTGGGTCGAGTCTCTAGGCTCCCTGAGCAGCTGCAGGGCCCATTCCACTTCCCGGACCCCTTTGGTGAGGACCCCCATGAGGTCTGCAAAGCCGATCTGGCTGCCCAGGCTGCCTTTGGCAGCCCGGTCCTGCAGCACGTAGGAGAAGAGTTCGGCGAAGGAGAGGAAGCTGCTGGCGGTCATGGGGCTCAGAGGCTCCAGGTTGCTCTGTTGCATGTCCAGGGCATACTTCCACAAGCGGATGTAGCACTCGATATTGCCCGAGTCGGCGTACACGGCGCCCCTGTAACGGATACAATAGGAAGTGTCGGGGTGCGAGGGACTGAGGATGCGCTCCCGGATCAACAGGGCCTGCATACGCATCTCATCGGGGTCGGTGATCAGCGCCTCCAGCTCCTCGGTGGTGTTGACCTCCCTGGAATAGTCATAGGCCAGGACCAGCTATGGGGGCTCCAGTTTGGGCAGGTACTCACCCCCCTGGTGACGCAGCTCCATGGCCCGCCTCCAGTGTTTAAGGGCCCCAAGCAGATCTCGTTTCTTATCCACATACGTAGATCCCAGCAATTTCAAGGCTTCCACGGCAGCTTCCCAGCTGGTGGGACAGCAGCTTTGGTAAGATTCCCCCGTTCAGTACCTCAGGGGAGAAGATGCAGCACGGAGCCCCCTGAGGCTGCGTACACCCCTGGCTGGTGGAGGAGCCTTCTTGGGGCAGCCCAGGCTGAGCCTCTACCCCTGTGACCCGCTCCTGGCCGGGCTGCTCTTGGATGAGGTACTCCACGATGTTGGTGTGGCCCGTCACGCTGGCCGGGAGCAACGGGGTCATGCCGTAGCTATCACGTTCCATGCTGGCCTTGCACCCCAGCAGCAGCTGCAGGATCTCCAGGCTGCTGGTCTCGGCACAGTTGTGCAGGGCCGTGTTGCCCTTGGCGCTGCGCCAGTTCACCTGGGCGCCCTGCTCCAGCAGGTAGCGGGCGATCTCACGGTGGCCCTTGTAGCACGAGATCATGAGGCACGTGTGGCCGTGCCGGTTGGCCAACTCCAGGTTGGCCTGGTGCTCGCCGACCAGGTAGCGCACCACCTCCAGGAGGCCCTCGAAGCAGGCGGCGCGGAGGGGCGTGGAGTTGGTGCGCGTGGTGCGGTTCACCGAGGCCCCGCGGCGCAGCAGGCTCCCCACCACGTCCAGGTGGTCCGCGCCCACAGCGGCGGCGCACCCTCCATGGTCTCGCCATCGAAGTGCACCGAGCCACCGGCCTCCACGCTCGCGCCGCACGGGTCCACCAGGTACTCCACCACGTCCAGGTGGCCGTAGCAGGCGGCGATGAGCAGAGGCGTCCCCCCGCCGGCCACCTAGCCAGTCAGCTCGTCCAGTTCCTCCCGGCTCCGGCCGCTGAGCAGCTTCTGGAGCAGCTGCAGCTTGCCGTCACGGGCGGCGTTGTACACGGCGGTGCGGGGGTCTTTGGTTCGGGCCTGCGCCAGGCCATGAGCCGGCCGCAGGGGGAGGGGGAGACAGAGGATCACAGCCCAGACAGGCGGGAGCCAACCTTCACGGTCTCCCTCGCCGCCATCTTAGGGTGTCCTAGAGACTTTTAAATATGCAGATTATTGACCTGAGAAACCATTTCGTCTCCAAAGGAACATTTGCAGGCTGTCATGCAAATCTGCACTTGAGCAACTTTCACATTATGATCTTAGTGAATTCTTGACCAGATGGACTTGAACAGCTGCCACCCATGCTTGGGAAGTCCCTTTACTCGAGAAGAGAAAATAGCTCATTTGTTTGCAATTCTTTCCTGAAAGTACATAAGGGCAATTTTCTACATTGTGACTAGTATCAGAGCAACATTTTCCCTGAAAGACCATAGTTCATTATACTATTTAGGAACAAACAAACAAAAATATATACAAACATTTTTTGGGGAGTTTTATAATTTGTGCCCAGAAGGGACAAGTTTCTTTTCAGATTAAGTTTTAAAAAATGTTCCTTTATTCAAGCTGACATGGAGGTTATAACTGAGAAAAACCTCCCTCTGAAATTAGAATGCCTTACATTTGTATAACATTTTATACTTTTCAAAGTGCTTTCAGGCACATTATTTCATCTGATCTTCAAAACAGCTCAGTGAGGCAGGTAAAATGGGTGTTTTTATTCCTTACTTTTTAGATAAGGAAATAGGTTCAGACTACAGATATTATCTGAGTATCTACTAACTTCATTGTATTGTGCTAGGTGTCATAGAGGATAAAATAACATGTATTCCTAAAAGAAGAACCTTGGTTTTAGATAAGACATAACAACACAAAGCTAAATAATACATAAATGTACAATATGGTCAAAAGATGACAAAAGACAATATATGGTCAAAGTATTAGAAGCACAAGCAAACTGTGTTCTCAGATTAAGGGAGACTTCTTAAAGCAGGTGCCACCCGAATATATATGCCTGGAAGGAGGTTTGGAATTTGTGGAATATTTACTCTTTGGCATCAAAATCACTTTCTCATATAACCTTAGAATGTAAGAGATTTTGGCATTCATCTAGTTTGTTCTGATACTCGATGTTGGCACTCCCTATGGCCCCCTAAGCAAAGATGTTGGAATAGCTATGAGTCTTAACAATTCTATCTATATGCAGCTGCAATCTCCATTTCTATAATTCTACCCTTTGTTGACCAGAGTAAAACAAGACTAATCTATTTTCTCTTTCTGTGGAAAGCCTTTGCTATGTCTGTAGTCAGCATGATAGCTTGATCTGCCTTTAGTCTTTTCTTCTTTTCATTTAATCTTAAAGCTTTTGGAGATACAGTCATTATTTTACTGCTGAGCCCCTATTTTATTTATCCAAATTATCTATAACTTTGGCCATCCCAAATTGATACACTATTGTAGATATGCGGATTTGAATGAGGCTCTAAAAACTATTGTTATCTTTTTAATTCACTGCCAGCATGTCTGTTAATACTGCTAGTTGTGAACATTTCTCAATATAAAGTAACTTTTGTGTAAAAGTTGCATAATTAATATGCCTGGAATGAGTTATGAATGTCTTCCTAAAGAACAAAGGCCACCTTCATTGTGATGGCTTTTTTCTTTTTGTTTTGTATTTTTGTTAAGCCATTCATGATCTGTGCATGCCTGCACAGATGACACTTGCTTAAGGAACTAACACCAAAGCTCTAATATAGTAATAATCTTTGGTATTTTGTTTCTCATCTTTATTACTGGGAAAGTAAAAATTAATCACTCATGTAAATTAATAATCCAATACTGACCTCTGGTGTGTAATGACGAAATTGCTTACTGGATGAACTAGTGGATGCTTGGGAAGAGTTTTATGTTTTAATATAAGAACATCTTTCTCCAAGCAAAGAAGCTTCCTAGGCTATAATTACAAATGTGGAAATTGGGAAACGTAAAACTAACTAACTGAATGTAAAGAATGTATCTACGGTAGTTTATAGTAGTGGGTAAGTAAAAAAGGAAAAGAGAGAACAACTGACACTAGAACTGCCCCATTCAAAAACTTTTTTTACAATTCGGCCATCTTTTAAGAAACTAAACACAGTGAGTTGAGAATGAATGATGTACCCTCCCTCACTTGACTATATTTGACTTGGACTTAAAAAAAAGAGGCTGTTTTGAATTTCTGTGAGTCATCTCCTCAGGTGGTAGATGTGTTTTCATTGCCTGCCACTCCCCAAAGTGCCTCTTCATTTACTTCAGACACAAGGTCCCAAAGTCATAATTTTCTAGTCTTATTTGCTCATCTTTATGATCTTGTAATTTTCTAAAGCCATACCATATGCCTGCTTTATAATTCAAAGGCCTAATATTTGTTAGGCTGGTTCTTGATTCAGGTTTCTCATTCTCCTTCCTATTTTCAGTATGTGTCCTTCCCTCACACTCTATGCTCAAGCCAAATTATCTATCTAGCATTTCCCCCATTGGCAGCTTCTGAGCAGAGGTACTGCAGAGTGCACAGATAGGGCTGGAATGAGTCAGTCACTTTGCAGACAGAAGTGTAAGCCATGCAGGTTTAGGCCTCTACTGCCACCAGCGACCCTATTGCTGGCCTAATTCCTCCTGTAGCTGTGCTCATAGAACCTTAGAAATTCGTTACCTGTTGAGAGAGTATCGCTGGGCCAGTGGTCAATGAACCCCGATTCCAATTTAATCCTGGCGCTGCCCCTGACTTGCTATGGGACTTTCTGCAATTCAGTTCAACTCCTAGGCTATGAGATTTCTATTTTCTAGTCTGTAACAAAGGGTCACTAGATTAGACGATTTCTGACATCCTTTGTAGTACTCCAATTCTACAACTCTATATGTGTGGATTTAGGAGGCTAGCTCAAACCCTGGGTTCTTCACTTCTTACAATGCTCTCTCAATTCCCTTCTTCTCCCATCCTCTAGTTTGTCCAGATGTTACTGTACTTGTGTACTTCCTATGTATACTAAGCCATTATATGGACTACACTCTACTGTATCTATTTGTCTATCTTTTTTCCTTCATTGAACTGAGATATGGTCGGCTGTTACTAGCTATCAATGGAGTGAATGAGAAAAGACTGCATATCTTGTCTTTATCCTGCAGGTCTGTCTCTGCCACATATTTCTGAGGAGATCCTGGGCCTGGGAAACTTTGGAGTCAACAATGACCTTTTATCCTGGTTCTATAAACCAGATCACATGCAAGAATGTTGCCTCTTAAAAATTTTCAAAAGTGATGAATAGCTATAGTCCACGCTAAAGGAAAATGGAGAACACCAGGTTGTTAGTGAGAGCTGAATCACTCTGAGTTATGGAGTGAGAAGTTTTATTAGGCTGGTGCAAAAGTAATTTGTGGTTTTTGACATCAATTTTAATGGCAAAAAGTGCAATTACTTTTGCTCCAACTGATAGTTCCCAGAGTCAGGTAGACTAGGAAGTGGCATTCAGAAAGCAGAGACTGGGAAGGTGGAGAAGAGTTAGTGGAATGATTTGAGTTTGGAGACAATGGGGTGAAGGCCCAAGGAGAGTTCCACACTCTTGGGGTGGCCATAGGAAAGCATTAAAACTCAGAATTTAATTTGACTAAATTTGTTTGCCAATTCAACTCTCAATTTCTAATTTTCAGTAAACTTTTCTATCCTCACAAATGCTTTACATGGGTAGGTTTTTGTGGAAAACAATAAAGGTGATGAACATTATATCTGGGTCAATGGTTCTTGATCTTCAGGACGCTTTAGAATCACTTGGGGAACTTTTGAAATCTGGATGCTGATGCAGACTCCTGAGTGATTACAACACAATCTCTGCAGGTGGGACCCAGGAATCGGTATATCTTAAAAGATCCCAGGTGAATCCAATATGCAGCTTGCTTTGGAATGAGTTTTTGTGAAACAATAGACTACAATGATCAACGTGAACTCATCTGAGAGACTCCTCGGCAATCATGTCTCCTTTGTTCTTTAATCAGTTCTATTTCATCTTATTGGAAACAACTATTTTAATTTTATAAGCCTCCACTTTTCTCAAAACTTCCAACTCCAATGCCATGTATACTCTCAACTAATGACTTCCCTTCTACCTTTCGGAGATAATTGGAGCTCAACATGAAAAATTTCTTCATTTCTTGTCACCAGATCTGTAAATGTGTTTTTTCTGAATTATGTTTCACTAGTGCCTTTCTATCAATATTTGACCATCCAAAGTCATCCATCTCTAGAAAGTAACAATACAGAAATATAGGCCGTGTGTTTGTTGGAAATAAAATAACACTAACAAAGACCTCCCTGAACCAACATAGAAAAGAGAACACAGTTTATTACTACATGAACATGGTCAGATTTTTATGCATGTAGGTACTACAAAGTGACTAAAATGAATAGGCAGACTTTCACATAATTTATTTAGCAAAGCAGAAGTAAGAATAACTTCTCATCTCCTCAAGAGACAAAGGGCTACATCCTAAGATAGTCCTCTTGTGAAAAACTCCCAAGTAAGTTTTGGAAGCATTTGTTTACAATTCCAAGGGTCAGAAAGTCCCCATTCTTCCATTGCAAAATCAAAAGCGTAAACCTGTTATTTGGACCTATTAAGATTTCAAGGAAATACTCTAAGGAAGACAGGATGGAGAGATAGTGACCTCCAACCTCAAAAAAGTCATCATTTTACCCTTATGGTATGCTTTGCTTGGTATATGCATATGTATTTCTTAGCTTTGTAAAGTGAAAGAATCTAGAAGCAATGACACCCTAGTAGAACACCTAGCCTCTAGACCTTTGTATCCAAACACTATTTCTCCACGAAAGAAACCCACGCTCTTTGGGGAAATGATTAATTTTTAGAATAGGGAAAAATGGTTAATTCCTCCATCTACAGAGGAAGGCTGCCTCATTTGGATTGAAGCCACAACTGAGTAAGGGCTTCAATGCATGTAGGTGACCCACGTGGGGTGTCAGAATCAAAACAAGGTGAGGGAGCATCCAGACAGAAGTATTATCCATCACCTGGTGTCTAAATCCCTCAGGCTAGTGGGAAGAGAACACCCATGTAAGGCAGTGGCACAGAATGGGATAAAAAGGATTTGCATGTAGAAGAGTCAGGTCACTGTGGGATTTTCTGGTGTAAATAGACTGAAAGGGGCATCTGTATAGGAGGGCTCCAAGGTTTCCAGGTATCAAAGCCAAAGAACAGGAGAAGGAGTCCACACAGAAGTGGTGGCAGAACCCAAGCAAGATGAAAAGGGCATCACCGCAGTGATGTAGCAAGGTTGGAGTGTCAGAGCCTGACTGAGCAGAATGGGGTGAGCACCCATGTGGGTTTAACCCAGGAAGGATGAGAAGAGTGTCTACGTGAAATGGATGATAATCTAGGGAGTAGATCAGAGCCCAGGGATGGCATCCAAGAATGATGGTGGCCAAGCATGAGGTGTTGGAGTCAGAGTAGAGTGAAGAAGGTAACTATACCCAGGGGTAGCTTAATGTAGAGTGCCAGGGTCTTGAATGGGGTCTGAGGATTAGACAGTAACAGGGTGTTAGTGGGAATACAACCAATGCTGATAGTTGTGTTGTGAACACGTAGGAGAAACCTGTTTGTAAGGAATAAACCCCAACATATTTGGTGGTAACTGGGAATCAGGTCAGTAACTTATTCTCTAATGGTTCAAGAAATTTCCTTCTGTATTTTACTTGTAAATTTTGTCTAAAGCTCAATATATAAATATATATACTTTTATGAACTGGCAAAGAGCAAATTCATTCTTAGGTGTATTCTCAATATAAATGTATACATACTGAAAAGCTTCCTGTTTGGATGTTTGAAAGGAACCACCACATTCCATAGAACATATTTACATGGGGCTTTTATTTAAAGGCAAACGATACGGTGCAGCAAGTGAAAGAGAGTGCGGGCATGGACTGGGAGTCTGAAAGACATCCCAGGTTGAAAGCTACCCAGGGCTCCAAGTATTCACAGACACAGAGTGTGCATTCTGTCTCCAGTGTCAACCACCAAGATTCTGTGCTAGGAATCATGCTTTCAGGAGGGCTTCGAGGAGAAATTCTCAACAAGCCTTTTATGTCTCCTTGTCCATGTAATCAAGCTAGGTTTGTCAAACCAATTAGGCCAGTTGTAACCCATCAGTGAAAAACTGACCCTGTAGGTTACCAAGAGGCATTTCCTGACTTTAAATCATACATGATAAACGTCATTGCAGTTATCTTCACCAAGAGTAAAAAATCCAGATATCCAGGTTAAAAGACAAAGCTTTTTCTGTTCAGCTATAAATCTGCACATATTTTTACTAAAAAAAAAGAATATTTAAAGCATCATATTCATAATAACAATAACAGAAGCCAACCCAAATATATCTATTAAGAGAAGAAATAGCAAATAAATTGTGATCTATTTCTACATGGAACACTATGGAACAATGAATAAATATGCATTATTGTTACATAAAATAACATAGATCAATATGGCAAATAATGTACTGATAGTCCCTTTATATAAAGTTCAACACCCAGGCAAAACCAATCTCTTGTGTGAGAAATTAGGATATCAGTTGCCTTTGGGGTATTAAAAAAGAGTAATGGGCCAGGCACAGTAACTCATGCCTGTAATCCCAGCACTTTAGGAGGCTGAGGTGGGCAAACTGCTTGAGGCCAGGAGTTCAAGGCCAGCCTGGCCAACATGGCAAAACCCTGTCTCTACTAAAATTACAAAAATTAGCTGGGCATGGTGGTGAGTGCCTGTAATCCTAGCTACTTGGGAGGCTGAGGCATAAGAATTGCTTGAACCCAGGTTGTAGAGGTTGCAGTGAGCTGAGATCATGCCACTGCACTCCAGCCTGAGCAACAGAATGAGACTGTCTCAAATTTAAAAAAGAGTAAGGATTGATAGTGAATATAAAACGAGGTGAGAGTTGCTGGTTATGTTTTATTTCCTCTCTTAGCTGATAGTTAAATGGCTGTGTCAACAATGTAAAAATTCATCAAGCTTAAAATTTGTTCTTAGATGTGCATATGCAATATTTCAATAAAAGTGATTTTAAAATACTTTATATAGGGTTGCACACATACACACACACATGTGCACACACATACTCGACATTTATACCTGCTTTTGGAGTCTTCTCAACAAATCCATTTAACTTAACACTGAGTGGGTAGTGACATTACAGCATGTGTTTCTTTATTCTCTACCTTTTAAAGTTTTCTTCTATTATTTCTGTGAGTATTTGTTTTCATTTTTCATCTTGTATCTCTTGGTGACTCATTTAGATGGATATCACAACTTATGAATTCAAATTCCATTTCACTTAATGTTTCCCTATTTTTCATCTTTTTACATATTTTTAAATTTATTTTATGAAAATAGCTGAGGTTGATCCTCAAATTCAATTTGAAGGCAAAGGATGTTCATGCATAAAGTACTAGGCAGTTATTTTTAAAAATGAGACAGATTTCAGTCTTGTACATGTGCTATAATATAAAAAAATCACATTATCTTTTTTTTATTTTTTATTTTTTGAGACAGAGTCTCGCTCTGTCACCAGGCTGGAGTGCAGCGGCGCAATCTCAGCTCACTTCAACCTCTGCCTCCAGGGTTCAAGCAATTCCCCTGCCTCAGCCTCCCAAGTAGCTGGGACTACAGGCACACACCACCATGCCCGGCTAGTTTTTTGTATTTTAGTAGAGATGGGGTTTCACCATGTTGGCCAGGGTGGTCTTGATCTCCTGACCTTGTGATCCACCTGCCTTGGCCTCCCAAAGTGCTGGGATTACAGGTGTGAGCCACTGCACCTGGCCCATATTTTTAAATTAAAAAATAGTACAATTTATGTAGTACAAGACCTTTAAAAATATCTCTCCATGTGTATGTGGTCTGTGTGTCTTAAAAATGAGTGCAGGCAAATGTATTTCTAGAAACGTACTTTATTAGTTGGGTGCATTGGGTTGCAGGTAACAGAAAACATTCTTATAGTGACTTAAGCAATAAAGTCATCCAATTTTTCTACATAGCAAGACCTCTGGAAATGGAGACTAACAGATTTCCTGCAGCAGCTCAACAATGTCAATCACCCAACTTCTTTCTGTTCTGCCACCACAGCACATTCCATTTTCATTCTATGTAATTCCTCACAGTTATAAGATCACACACAACTAACACAACTTAAATAATTATGTCTTTAAACAATAAAAACCAAAGAAAGAAAAAATTTCATATATTTGGCCATCATTTTCATTAGAGGTCAAAATCCTACTAATAAGCTCCCTCCTTTGGCATTCTTCCTAAATACATTGTATTACCTGGAAACAGGACAAATATTCATCTCTAAATCAATGACAAGCAAAGGAATTACATTAACGTTTGTATTAGTTTGCTTTTGCTCCAATAATGCTTAAGAAACATGACAAGAAGTTACTGACCAATAACAGCAAGCATTTACTCCTTGCTCATGAATTTTGCGAATTGGTTGCAGCAGTTCTACCTTAGACTACAGATGAGAGTCAGGTGTGCTCCAGGTGTCTCTCATTCCTGGACCCATGTTGAAGGACACAGACTACTTAGGGCATTTGATTTTTATAATGCTTTATATATATTGATTTTTATAATGCTTTATAAGCAAGAGTTGAAGAGGAGAAGCTTCTTTAAAGTTCTGCTTAGTTACTTCTATTACTATTAACCTACCCAAATTCTATTGGGTAGAGCAGTCACATAGCCAAGCCCAAAGTCAGTGATACAGGGAAATATTCTCTTTCCTCATTAAAAAAAGGTAAGGATGGGGAGGGAACAAGAATCATCTTTTTAAATTATTTTTTTCTGAGACAGAGTCTTGCTCTGTCATCCAGGCTGGAGTGCAGTGGCACAATCTTGGCTCACTGCATTCTTCGCCTTCTGGGTTCAAGTGATTCTCACTCCTCAGGCTCCCAAGTAGCTGGGATTACAGGTGCGCACCAGCATACCCAGCTAATTTTTTGTATTTTTAGTAGAGAGGGGTTTTGCCTTGTTGCCCAGGCCGGTATCGAACTCCTGAGCTCTGGCAATCTGCCCGCCTCAGTTTCCCGAAGTGCTAGGATTACAGGCGTGAGACACTGCACCTGGCCAGAGAACAAAGAATTATGAACACACAATACAATCTACCACAATATTCATGGCCTAGACCAACCATGGCTCATCCTCTCGGATTGGGAGAGGAATCCATTGTCTGTGAACTTGTTGCAACAATACAAACATAAACAATCTATGGTCATTGTAAACAAGAAATAAGGAATTGTGGTTATTGAGTAGACAACAGTTCAATGTTGACTTCTCACTATTTAAACAAATTAGACTTTTTTCTAATTGAGAAAACACACAAACTTGAAGAAACAACTCCAATATTGATGAAAATAGCAGTGATTTATTTATTAACTAAATATTTTAATTCAACAATTTAGAAAGAGAGTTTTTAATCTTCCACAAACAATTCTACCTTATTTTAAAAAGGCTGCAATTTATATATATGGGACATTCATGTCACAGTATATCAGACAACTCTCTGACACCTTGGGTGCCCAGTTTTCTTTCAGGCAGGACATCAATATTTATCCTCTTTTAATTCTGGCCCATCCACTGGCACAGACTGGTCCCTTATGTTATTATCATGAGCTAGTGATACAGGAAGAGAAGCATTGCTGATCTGTGAAACTGGACAATACATTTAATCTGTCTTGGTATTTAAACCACAGTAGGCACCATGTTTAATTGGGTTTATGAAATGACATCTTGTTCAGGGCAAGGATCAGTATTGAAGAGGAGCTATATTTAATGCTAAATTAAGTGCCCAAGTTAAAGCTAAATTGTTACACACACAAGTCAGTAATTTCAGAACTATGACTTGCAAATAAATCACAAATTGACCTCTTTGAGCACACTGCAGGAAATACTTTGTGTGACATTATATGGCACTAATTGTAAAAGCCAAATCTGACTTCTTTCCAATTATATGTCCAAAAATCATAACTGAGAATTCTCTCTCTTTGGATTTTCTGACATTCTTTCCTTAGTATTAAGGTAATGAATGGCTTCAAAGCTAAAGTTATGGGAAATGCAAGAGCTTATCCAATAGTTAATATCTGAATCTTAGGGTTTATCAACTGTAGCATATCTAAAGACACAAAACCCACCTTCGCTGATTTCCTGGATGCTCTAGATGTGCAAATACAAACCTCACTGCACATGGAAGTGCCCTGTCAGGCACAATTTTCATAAAGGGAATTTAAATAGCTATTTTAATCTCTAGACCAGACTGTGCATTCCAGGAATCTAAGACTAATGAGCCACTTTCTCAGATAATCACTTCTAAATAAACAAGATCTTTTGCACTGACCCAGGAATCTGCATTGTAGCTGAAAAATTAATTATACCAATATTATACTAGGCATATCTACAACAATACAAAAGAATGTTCTCTCCATCTCCAAAGTTAGATGTTCATTCAGATGAAATGCAATTTATTCATCTGGAAAGTTCTAAATGTTTTCCTTTGCACCTCTAAATGAGCAGAAAGATATTTCCTTTTAAGAAGAAAAGAGAAAATCCATGATTTTTACTTTTTCTTTAATATATATATATAAATCAATAAATTCCCAAACTAAATTTCTCCCCTACTAATTTAATTTGGAATAAAATTAGAACCAATCGTTATGAGCAAAATGTTATCAATTAAGACATAATTAATTAAATGTGCAAATGCAGAATACATTTAGATGGGCTATCAGATGACTGATTATACTGGAAATCTAATTTTACACTTAAATTGCCAGCCACACACTTCATCTTGAGCTGTTGATCCATAGCAAGTTACCGTAAGTTAAACCTTACCTCTGGAGGAAGCAGCCTCAGTGGACAAATTTTTCCCGCAGTAATTCTATGACCATGCCATAGTATCTGTCTTTAGAGGGTAATCAGAGGTATCTTGCATGAAGGAGCTTCATTCTTGCCATCCTCCTTGTTTTTCAAACAGCATTTTTTTTTATTTTAAATAAGTAATGCATGTCTTGGCAAATTGTGAAAGAAAGGCCTTTTACTCTTTTCTACTTACTAACCCTTTTCTACTCACTCTTTAAAAGGAAGTTGATAATCAAAGTATTAATGTGTGAAAAGGTACTGAGCTTTGAACAATTTTTGAATTACTTAATATTGCATTTTAAACTGTCTAAATTATAGATACAAATGTCTGAATCTATACTTGCTGTTGGTGTTTATGGGTTAAGTGTATCCTCAAACTAACCAGGATAATGAATTTTATTGCCTCAGAGATAGGATGATTTAGCAAGGTTCGTAATTGATATGCATCCATGTTGCTCTAAAAAATGAAGAGATTCCCATCACATAGTTTAAAAAATGTATAGGTCCAAAAATTGGCTACAGTCAATAAGTCTTCTCTAAATCTGATGTTATTTAAGTTTCCTGAATATTTGAAAAATTTGTAAGATTTTTTCAAGGATTCTAAAAAGTGGGTGATTGAGGAGGAAAGCAAAAGTTGTCAGTGAGAAGCATTTGTTGAATGTCTACCATGTGCCAAGCAGTGCACTTGGTATTCTCATGTGTCATGTCTTTGTGTATCAATTACTAATCCATAGGTTGATGCAAAAGTCATTGCAGTTTTAACCATCATTTTCAAGGGCAAAAAATCACAATTACTTTTGCACCAAATGAATATCATTTCTCAGTCCCAAGCCAATGCTTCTATACCTGTTTTTTTGCAATGTTTAGTTGGACATCTATAACGGCCTTCCATGAGGCAGCCTACTGTCTCTCAGAGCATGATAAGGAAGTTCCTTGGGTTAGATATCTTTCTAGCCTGAAATATTACAATTTGCATTTCAGCCCATTGAATTAGACATTTTTGTCTTCAGATAATTTCTTTGGAAATGCAAATGTTCCTCAAAGTGTAGCTACCTATTGGGTCACTGAAGCTTTAATATTAGCAGGTTTGCTGGTTCGCTTTCTTCAAGGATAGTGGATATTTTGCCAAAAAGGGAGAATAGGAAGCCAGAGTGGAAAGAGGGGAACAAAAACAGGGATGGATACAAGGGAAGGAGATAGATGGTATTAGCATTTACTACCCCATCATTATATGTACCTTGATTTGTTCCTGGAGTTGCTGAAGGATGACTCAGTTTCCCTTTTCTTGTGTAATTCTTTGATTCAGTTGTAGTCTGACTTTTGAAAGCTGACTGTAGAAAGAGGAATATTTCGAAAAATAGGCAAAGTGATGTTACGGTTTAAAATCATCAAGTGGGAAATCCAAAACCACGGTTCTCAACCTTAGCTACTCATGGAAACCACCTGGGAAATTTTTAAAAATACTGATGGATGGGTTCCATGCCCATAGACTTTTAAAAAATTCTTCCAAAGGATTCTGACATCCTAATCAGGGTTGAAAGCTACTGCTCCAAAGAGCTTGACATAATCAAATGAACATTTATCAGGTGTTCACAAGGTTTAGGAAGGCCCAGCACAAAGCAAAACCATAGAGACGTTGAGTACTCTTTTGCTTCAGCATTCAGCATCCAATTCCAACTCCATGCTTTTCCTTACTTCCAACTTCCATTTTTGCCCCGAGCAACCTGTGCAGGAAACCATCAGTTTCCCTGCTCCACTGGACATCTAAAGACTATGGTGGTGATAGAAAATGAGAGTCATCAAAAAGGTCCAAGTTTAGTGAAGATGCGCAAAGGGAACCAGCCCTTCCCAAAGAATTCAGTGAATGAGCCAAGATTCTCCAGAAACCGCTCAGCTTTGCAGTGATAATTTTCTGTGAAGACATAGACTGAAATGGGAATAAGAGATAGAAAGTTGAAAAAGAATTTTCTCAGAATCCACATGTAACCTTACAGAAGGCAAACAGAAGGGTTAGTGAGATAAATGGAATCACGTAGCTGAGGTGAGACAATGTAGGAAAATCAAGCATGAGATAGGAAATCAGGATATTGTGCTTCTTTGTGAAGACTCGGTTCCCTCTAATTGCTCGTAAACCTAAAATCTCTACTTCATTCTTTGTAACATTTTTCCTCATTTCTTTCTGGAATTTTTGGATTCCATGCTTTTTAAGATGGCTTGAGAGAAAGACTTATCAGAGTCAACCTAACAGGCATTTATTAAGACACTACCAGGGGTGAGACCCTGAGTAAATGATTGTCAAATTTGAATATGTGGTTAGAAACACCTGAAGGACTGCTGGGCCCCACACCCAGAGTTTATGATTCATTGAGTTTGAGCTGGGACTTGAGAATTTACATTTCTAGCAAATTCCCAGATGATACTGATATTGCTGTCTGGAGGCCACACTTTGAAGACCACTGCCTCTAGGAATGGGAAAAGAAATTAGATACCAGCAATCTGTCCTTAATGAGATTGCTTAAGGCTTTGTATTAGGGATGTACTTTGTCATGGAACATGTCATATAAATGACAAACTGAGAACACTGGCAACATATTTTAAAAGTAAAATATAGTACAATACACGCCAGAAGTTCTGAGAAGGATAAATAATTAAGTAGTGGTGAGGCAGAAGAGGCTAATTAGAGATGACAAAGAATAATACAAAAACCATGGGCCACAGAGCCAGGGGTGGCCTGGAGCTGAGCTGAGCTTATTAGGGGACAACTGCATAGGTGGACCTAAGGGCAAAACTGAAGGTTTTAAATGCTATGAAGCGTAGGGCCATGCTGCTGGTGCTAATTAAGCACTGAGAACTACCTTTCATACAAGGCTGAGATCTGTACATGAGAGCTGAAACAGCCTCTTGCTACTTGATCATGAACATCTTCAGTTAGATCCAGAAAGGGTCTAGTGAGGGTAGGTGGGTTACTCAAAATCCCTAGTGTTTAATTAGTTTTAGTTAGTTGAGACTGATTGTGATGAAACACAACATTTAACTTTGCTATCTCCTAGGCAAGTGCTGCCAGAAATAAAAAGTCTCCTTTTTACAGAAAAGAGAACATGGAAAGGCGGTCCAGAGTTCAGTCTCAAAGGCAATGCTGGGCAGGGACTGACAAAGGGTTGAGGAGTGTCCATTAACCTGGGTATTGGTGATGGAAAGCATATCCTGAAATTGGAGATAGCAAGACTCTTGGTGAACTGTTGAGTAGACTGGGTTGAATTCAGTGAAGGATCTAAAGGAAAAATAAAAATATTAATGCTTCTATGTAGTTTTAAAAGTTGTGACCATAAGATAGCAAGTATAATCACACACCAAAAAATGACTTTTCTGTCCCAAGTGAGTGGTAGGCTTCAATGTAGTCACCCAGAAAACATTAAATATTTGTCATATGTTCAAGATACATTTTGAAACATCTAAGGAAATAGAAATTATCACTTTGTTACATGTGCATGTAGGTGCACACACAGAGTATTACTCAGCGAATTTTTTCAGCTTTATTCTATATAATTATATATTTTTTCCAGCCTTATTCTGCCTGACTATCCAGATTTTACACTGTTTAGATCTGGCTGTTTCCAAATTGCACAAACTGTCTTGAACTGAAATGGACAGAAGGCAGGCAAATACTGGTAGAAGAGGGCAGGATCTTTGGCAAGGGCTCCACCCACAAGCCTGGACCCACAGCCCAAAGTGAGAACTATCCCTGTTTTCCCACCTGATTGTTGCCTTTTGGCCCACCCCACACCACCCCCTATCCTGTGCCCATAAGAATCCCAAGCCCCAGACTCAGTGGACACACACACAGAAGAGAGAAGTGTCTGGATATTGAGATGAGAAGAAGCAGCTGGAGGTCAGGGACTATGGTCAGAGAGGAGTTCAGCTGGAGACATCTGGGCTTCAGGGGAAGATTATCTTCCTGCTCCATCCCCTTTCCAGCTCCCTTTCCTACTGAGGCCCACTTTTACCACTCAATAAAGTCCTCCACATTCACCATCTTCAATTTGTTCATGTGACCTGATTCTTCCTGGACACTGGATCAGAACTCAGGTACCAAGACAGCAAAGTGTAAAAGGCTGTCACCCTCACCTTCCACTGAGCTGGTTAACACTTAGCCATCCACAGACAGCAAATGTTAAAGGAGCACTGATTGTAACACAGGCCCTCTGGGGCTCTGGGGGTCGCAGACAGCCCCTCCCAGACCGCAGAGCTAAAAGACCATTGTAACACACTTTGACACTGCTGCAGAACCCACACAAAGCTTGCTCCCGCCGGAGAGGAGCCACAGGCCAGTTCCACATTCATTTGCTCTGGGTCCCACACCCATCCACTCATGTGCTTCCTTCCATAAGGGATTCAGCATGGTAAACAAGTAAACAAGTCACTCATGTCACAAGTCCCGCAAAGGGGTCAAGGGAACACTCTTGTTTCAGAACCACTGAAGAAATTCAAAGAATCTGTGATAAGCTTCTTAACAGTGCCCTGGGATCTTGTGATTTCCCAGGATAGAAATCAAGAGAGATCACCAGAGGCAGCAATGAAGAGAGTTTATTACCTCTCAGGGAGCCAGTCATGAGAGAACAAAAAGGAGTGGGCTGTTCCCCGAAGATACTGTGTGGTTCGGTTAGGTATAGGGTCTTTCCATAGGGAAGGATTCCCTCAGGGAATGTATAGGGGGAGTTTTGCTAGCACCTGCACAATGGCTCAACATGTTTCTTCATACATTTCATGTAGCATTAGCATTTTAAATCTCCACCCCTGGGCATGAACTTTAGTGTTAAAATGAGGAAAAGATAACTTTAGGTTGGAGTTTAAGTCTGACTCCACATATGGGACTCTGGGAAAGCCTCTAGCCCCCTGAAATAGAAATTTGCAATTAATAGCTTCCTTGGTCTTTTATTGCTGATTGGCTGAGAGTTAGACAAGCTAGAGCTTGAGTAGAGGGGCTTTTATCCTTTTCCTTCAGACAATCTTAAGATAGGGAACCAACCAGTCGGCCTGTCTCAGGCTCTAAGGAAAATTCTGAGAGGTCAGCAAGAAACCTAATATTATAAACAACAGTGCCATCAGCACTTATTTAAATATATAAATATAAATTTTAAAGGCCCTATTAAAGTCATTCTGAGCCTGTACATTTAAACCGTTCTAAAGGTTTACGGGTATTTAGATACGAGAAGAAATTAGACCCAAATTATGCATCAATATCCAATACGTGTGCACTGTGTATTCAAGATCAATATAATCTCCCACAGACTGTTCTGCTGAGTTAGCTAATATACAAAGACTTAGTTTGTTTTCTATATGTTAGAACATGAAAGAAAAGATATGTAGCTCACTGCCATTCCAAAATCCCAACAAATTATGGAACTGCCTCCATTGTGAAGCTGGCTAGTTTTCTTTTTTTTTTTTTTTTTTAACGGAGTTTCACTCTTGTCGCCCAGGCTGGAGTACAGTTGAGCAATCTCAGCTCACTGCAACCTCTGCCTTCTGGGTTCAAGCGAGTCTCCTGCCTCAGCCTCCCAAGTAGCTGGGATTACAGGCATCTGCCACCACACCCGGCTAATGTTTTGGAATTTTAATAGAGATGGGGTTTCACCATGCTGGGCAAGCTGGTCTCGAACTCCTGACCTCAGGTGATCTGTCCACCTTGGCGCTAGTTGTTTTTTAAAAGCCATCTTTCTAATGAAATGTAACACTGATGATTGCCTTACACATAGATGACATTAGGCCTCACATAGTAATCTCAGTGCTAACTACATGTCTTACCCTTCCTAAAATTTTACATTTTCTCTGTGGTTAAAGTCATCTTACAAAAAGACCCACATTTTACAAAGATTTAATTGTCTTGGATTTCAAATTACAACTAGTTTGATAGCCAAAAGGTTAAAAACAAATTGATTTTATGAAAAATTCTTATAGTATTAAATTCGACATGGATTACCATTAATAATAGAATCCTCTGCTGGCTGTGAGACATGCAAAGTTGCAAAGCCCAGATCCACAGATTAGAAAGGATTTTGACATGTATAATTGTCTTAGTCAGTTTGGGCTGCTATAACAAGATATCATAGACTGAGTGATTTAAACAACAGAGATTGATTTCTGGAGTTCTGGAGCCTAGGATAGTCCAGGGTCAGGGTGTCAGCAGACTGTGACTGGTGAAGACCCCCTTCCTGGTTTGCAGATGCTGTCTTCTTGTATCCTTAGATGGTGGAGAGAGAGATCATCTTTTCTTATAAGGGCAGGAATCACACCTATGAGGGCTCCACATTCATGACCTAATCACCTCCCCAAGGCCCCACCTCCAAATATCATCAACTTGGGGGTTAGGCTTCAATATATGAATTCTGGGGGGACACAGATATTCATTCACAGTAATAGTGAGCACTGTTGACAGCACACACAGATACCCCACATTCTTTTGCTCTTTCTGTAAGCCTCTTCCAGCTGCTTTGTGCTTTGCTTCCGAAGGCCTGCAACTGAGACTTTTTTTTTTTTTGAGACTGAGTCTTCCTCTGTCACCCAGGCTGGAATGCAGTGGCATGATCTCAGCTTACTGCAACCTCTGCCTCCTGGGTTCAAGCAATCCTCCTGCTTCAGCCTCCTGAGTAGCTGGGATTACAGGCACCTGCCACCAAACCTGGCTAGTTTTTGTATTTTTAGTAGAGATGAGGTTTCACTATATTGGCCAGGCTGGTCTCAAACTCCTGACCTCTTGATCCGCCTGCCTCAGCCTTCCAAAGTGCTGGGATAACAGGCATGAGCCACCACACCCGGCTGCAACTGAGACTGTCTTTAAGGATCTCTGCATGGAGCTGGGAGAATGGGGAGTTTTAACCCTCTGTGCAGTTCTTAGGCAATGACTGACTGACTGGTCCAAGTGTCTGACAATCTGACTCCCTGGCCTCAAGCTGGATGAGGCTGAAGCTGGACTTTGACAAAATCACACACTTTCTTGGGTTCTCTCTCTTCCATATCCTTCTTTCCCTTCTCCTTCCCTGTCTTCCTCTGAGATCACCTTCTTAATAAATTACTCCCACATGACTCCTCATCTCAGGGGCTGCTTGAGGAGAATATGACATCAGACAATATATGCACAAAGAGCTTTACAAATTTATAAAATTTTTTAATTAATTTTTTTTTATAGAAATGGGATCTCGCTATGTTACCTAGGCTGGTCTCAAACTCTTGGGCTCAAGCAGTTCTCCTACCTCTGCCTCCCAAAGTGCTGGGATTATAAGTATGAGCCATCGCACCCTGCCAAAATAAGATAAACTTTTGTAACCAAAATATAGGCAGAGCCCTTCATGGCACAGACTCTGCACAGATTTCATCTGAAACCAACAGCAATCCAGTATTCTTTAGTTACCCCTCAGAAATATTTAATTAAGGTTGGGGAGAAATGGCTGTTATGAGACAAGGGACATAAATTGATGCAAGTAGATTTATTACAATGATCCCATTTCTACTCACATGTTACTGAGGCTCAAAGAAGTGAGTACTGCACATTGAGTATATGACATGGGACCAGCCCAACAGGTGAAATAAGTTGGAAATCTGTTTCATGTCTGAATTTGGAATGCAATAGCAGAAATCTGTTTTATGTGTAAATTTGGAATGCACTGCCATAAAGTATATCCTTTAAAGGTTTTATGCCTATGGTTACAAATCTTGTGGAGTGAGGACTTTAACATATCCCTCTTTTCTCTCAGGCAGAACTGTAAGGTCTAATAAACATATTGGATTTAAGTTCTAATAAAGATATAAGCCATAAAATTAATCTCTTGTTAGGCTTCTCTGCTTACATTTGTACACTTGCTTCCAATCTTCAAGCAAGAGAGCTCTGCCCTCTAGAAAGAAGATGTGGGCCCATTCTGCAGGCCCAGAGGATTCAGGGACAGCTGCAGTTTCACATTTATCAATGACATCTATTCACATTTTCTGATTCCAAGTCTTAAGAAGCCATTTCTTCCTTACCAAGGTTCTAGCTGTTGCATGGGATTGCTGAGGATGTAAACTGGGCGTCCCTGAAGGTCCACTGTTTTGTTTTTGTTTTGTTTTGTTTTGTTTGTTTGTTTTGAGATGGAGTCTTGCTCTTGTTGCCCAGGCTGGAGTGCAATGGCGTGATCTCAGCTCTCTGCAACCTCTGCCTCCCGGGTTCAAGTGATTCTCCTGCCTCAGCCTCCTGAGTAACTGGGATTACAGGCACATGCCACCATGCCTGGCTAATTTTGTATTTTTAGTAGAGATGGGGTTTCTCCATGTTGCTCAGGCTGGTCTCAAACTCCCGACCTCAGGTGATCCATCTGCCTCGGCCTCCCAAAGTGCCGGGATTACAGGCATGAGCCACCAAAGGTCCACTGTTCTTATAGTTGGTCCTGGCCTGGTCTTCAGCATGGTCTCCCTTGGCTATAGAAAAAGGGGGTTTGTTTAAGAGCTGCCAAGGGACTTTCTGACTTTCTCACTTTGCCTTATGCTGACCAACTGGAGTCTGTCCTTTTCTCCTTTCCATTTATCATGGAACCCATCCACAGCCTTTGTAATGACCATTTACCTTGTACCATCAAAAGCCAAAGAAAATTGCACAATCTAGCATACCCGTTCTGTCAGAATCCCTTCTGTATTAGTTTCCTAGAGCTTCTATAACAAAATACAATAAATTGGGTGGCATAGAACATGAGGAATTTATTGTCTCACAGTTCTGGAGACTAGAAGTCCAAAATCAAGGTGTCGGCAAGGTTGGTTCTGAGAACTGTAGGGAAGAATCTGTTCCACGACCTCCCTGTTGGCCTCAAATTGTTCTTGTGGATGCCCTGTGTCTTCACACCATCTTTCCTCTAAGCATGTATGTCACCATGTTCAAATTTCACTTTTTTTGTGAGGGCAACAGTGATATTGAATTAGGGCCCACCCTAATGATCTTATTCTAGTTGGATTATCTGCAAATATCTTATTTCCCAGTAATATCACATTCCCAGGTACTAGAGGTGAAATTCAACATCTTTTGAGGTTACATAATTCAACCCATTACATCATCTTAATTCGCTCCAGGTAAAAGTTTTAGCAACTGCAATGCTCTAGTGTGTCAGGGCCCCTCTGGGCTCCACATATCCCCTGTGATGGAGTATTTATTGCCACTTAGCTGGTGACTTAACTCTAGAATCCCATCCTCAGAATCTGCCTCCAAAAATCATCCTTGCCCTCCTAACCAAATACCTAAGGCTGGACCTCCAGAAGCCGACTCTGAGACACAGATCATGAACAAGGTATTTATTAAGGGCCAGGAGAAGAATGCAAGAGAAAAGGAAATGAAGAACAGAGAAAGGCACAATTTTAGCCAACTCCCTGGCCTTAGCCAGATCTTTGGGGAGCTCTAGACCATAAATTATGTCAGAATTTGCCCCATTTTGAGGAAAGGGAGTCAGGCTTTCAGAATCTTGCACAGTCATTGGCTATAGGCTTCCCTAGAACTACACTACCAGGCATTCCAGGCTTTCTCTGGGAGGGATGGACTGGCCCATGGTCAGCCTCTGAAGAAGGTCACAGGGGCAGGCCATTTGGAACAAAGCACAGAGAAGCTATAGGATGCATGCACATGGCTGGTAAAGTGGATAAGAAGGGGTCCGGGGAGAGCATGGAGAAAGTTTACCACCCAAAGCAATACACTTTTGCCTACTTGTGCTGACATTTACTGAGCTTCAACACAGGAATGTTCTAGATAAAATAATATTACTCTGGAACATTGAGGGAAGACCAAGAATGCCTTGAGATAGGACTCAGCATGTCCTGGAAGCAGGGTGCCATTGTGTGGGAGGGAGGTGCCCAGCAGAGGTAATTCTTGGATCCATGGCACCTGCAGTGGACAACTGGCCAGGAGGAGCCACAGGAACCAGCCCCACGGGCTCAACAAGGCCACAGAGCAGCAGCAGGAGGCCCTGAGTAAGACCCTGTTTGTGACAGTCCCCTGAAACTTTAAAAGACAAAGCAAGGGAAGAAAGCGGCGGTGAAGATGGATTAAAGGCCTCACAGTAACAGGTCTGTAGGTAGAGCCAGAGAAATCAACGCTTATTGTTTTTAATGTGTCCCGCTTTTTCTCCTTCCTTTTAATGCTAGATGGGTGTGGCAATCCTTTGTTAAGACAGAAATTATTTTACTTTTTTTCCACAGTGGTACAGAAAAATGTACAGGGCTCATTAGAAATATTTAGTGGATGGAAAGTAGTTTGAAGAAATCAATGAGGTTGAAAATAATAATAAAAGAAGTCAGAAAGGGGCAGAGAAAGATAGAAATTTACAGGTTTCAAAGCAGGGATACATGAGGAAAAAGGTTACATAAGTTCTCTCTTTGAAGCACAGAAGGTGTGCAGGAAGGGAATAACACCCATCCAAATGCTCGTGCTCAAGAGATTCAGGTTTCTCTTAAAGTGAGGTCCTGGGAGTGCAGACTGAATATATTTGAGGAAACCTAGGTTCAGACAGGTTAAGTGATTTTTCTCAGTTACACAGCTTAAAAAATATTATAAAAATTCTTATGAGGATTATAACTGACAAGTAGGTGTCTTTTTTGCTCACAGAATATTCTATGGCAAATCCTAGACTCAGGTTCTTATAGCCATAGCCCCAGGCTGTGCCAAACATCCGCACACACCCACTTTCCCATTCTCTCCAGCAGACCTCATAAGTTATCTTAATACGTAGTCTATGGTCTATTTAGCCAACACCTGCACACAATCATCATTTATCAAATTGCCTAGGCAAACCAACATCGGCTTTGCTATATCTGGGCAAATGTCTCTCCTATATTTAGCCTTTTAGCCACAGTGCGATGATTGGAATGTGTCTTACAGAAAGGAAGCTTTCTCTGAGAGCCATGCAGGGGTGAGGCGGCAAGCCTCTGACGGAGATAACTTCCTGACTTGTGTTTGGGATTTCTCCAAGCTGCTGAAATAGTACTTGAAGTGTTTCATGGACACACGGAGATTTAACACCTGCAAAGTTAAGCCTGATGCCCTAAGGTGGAATGCTGAAACGGCAGAGAGCAGAGCAAGTGTAGGTGAGGATTGCGTTTCACCTTCCTAGTGCCCTCATAGGGCGCTGTTGGATTTATGTCTCACTGAGTGAGGCGCCCTCTCCTGGCCGACGATCCCACTGGCTCAGTCACAGCAGGAAAGCGAGAGCTGCAGGTTGCAGAAAGACAGGGCTCCACTCTCAAGGGAAACTGCTGACAATGCCAAAAGTCAGAATCTTTTCACTGTCTCTTTACATCCCAGCTGTCAGACAAGCTAACTTTAAATTTTAAGTTAGGCAAGATTGTGCTTTTTATAGAATAGTTCAACACTGAGGGCAAATTTCATTCTAATGTGACAAAAGCAGCGTTGGGAAAAGAATTGGAAATGTGTGCTTTTGAATGTGACCTGAGATATAGCTTCCAAAGCTGGCCATTGCTCTCCTGGCCCAGAGCCTGACCCCATCTCATGACAGGAGAAGCTGAATCTCACGCTCTGTAAGAACCTGGCTTACTCCTTCATTAATGTGAGTCCCTGTTCTCAGAAGTGGATCACTGTAGTTTGAAGGATCAACATTGATCAAACATGTCCATTTCTGCCAGTTTTACCCCTCTCTATGCTGTTACTAAACAAGAGAAGTTATTCTACAATTTATGTAAGTTATAAAATAGTAATTAAATATTTTGGAATATGTGAAAAAGTAAACTACCACAATCTCCCTACCTACCTACAGTATTATCATCAATGTATTTCCTTTTTTCTCCTTTTATATGCACATTTACACTAAATGTTTATGTGTACATATATATTTTAGCCTATACTACTATTTTATTTTGATTTAACATGTATTTTATTTACTATGTAATATATGACATATAAATATACATTTTATGTTATATTATCACCTTATATTTATAGCTTTCTTCCGTAATGTTGATTAATTATTACCATGAGTAAATTATATTTAGAGAATATGCTGCAGCAATAAAAAGCTTAATAACAAGGAATCTGGACTAAAGTAGAACAGGGTAAGACCACATCCAATTAAGAAAGCTCTTTGGACACATATATATTCCACCAACAGAGCTACTAAAATGTAACTTACATTCTTAAGTTTTCCACAGTCTGTGTACCCATGTTGCCAAAGATACACTACAGTAAGAAATAAGAGAATTTTATACCTGAAAGATTTTTGTCTGTGCTGGCTTGTAGGGAATATTCTTAAAGACTAGCTTCAACTCTGTCTGTTGTTGTTCCCAATGAATTATCCAAGTATCTAAGAGTTTAGGGTTCATGCTGCCTTCAGCCATTGAGGCCATTCACCTGGTGAGATATGTTTGCCCCAACAAAACATGGACCCCCTGGAGAATATATACGTGCCTGCAGTCATGTTCCATTATGGTTTTGCTTTCAGTTAGCCAATCATATATATAATTCATAGTAAGGGTATCAAGGTCTGTTTTTGTTCCACCAGCAAGCCCATGGCAGTTTGGGAACCAGAGGCATTCAGAGTATCTGAAATCACTCCAAGTCCCAGGATGGGCTGGACCTACCTGAGAGCTCTACAGGGCAAAGGCAAGCTGTTCTGTGTCTATTTTCTCCTTAAGCCATTTCATACACACATCTTTGGTGAGAGCACCTAAGTGTCATAAAATGCTGACTTTGGACCCAAAGACAGATTACCTTGAATGAAATGGGCTGGGATTTCCAATTAGCAGCAGAAATTCCAGGAATTTCCAGATTACTTGGCACCCATATTATCAGCTACATATAGGGAGCCTGGACTTGAAAATTCAGGAGCATGGGGGTGCATGGTAGTGAATTCCTGTAATTTTATATTGCCTTGGCATTCATTTTGAATATAAATTGGACTTTCTCATACAAGAAACATGGTTTAGTCACCCTTGGCACAATTTCCAGTTCTCTATTTCATCCCAGTTCCTTAATATGGTCAATCCAGATATCTCCCTTATACAATTGTCTGCTGTTGACCACCTTCCCTAAAGGACAGTTAGGTACCACCTATTGCCTTACCCCACTGACTCCTCCATCCCCCATAGACTGTACAGATATGCTGCAGCGACAACCTCTCAGTAACAGCGTGGCCACATAGGACTTGGAATAGCTTGCTTTAAACTTGCAAATTAGAACTCCCATGGAAACCCACCTAATAATACCCTGGACTCCAATAAAAGCTTTAGCACACAGGTCCCTCACTCTCTCTTTTGCTCTGCACTTTGTCGTTCTGGTAGAGCATGTAAGTCTGGAATGGCTCCGCTTTCCCATCAGCTCTGCAAGGAGTGCTGCCCTTTTCTCTAATCTGTAAGTAATAAACTCCTCCTATTATTGTGTGGTTTTTGTTGCATCGCCTCCTCTGCATCTCACCTGACTGACACACCTGAACCTAGCTTCTTTCCAAGGGAAAGCTCTCCTAGACAATGGATATCTTGGTAGAAATAAACTGGACATAGGTCAGACAAGAGCCATGAGGGTGCCTGCTGGTATAAGCATGTTTCCTGTGAGTGGGACACCTGGTCATGGGTTGGACGCTTAGGCGCTAGGCAACACTTAGGCATTAGGCCATCCACTAGGATAAAGAAGTCACTGTAGACATCCATGACCCAAATACTGGAGCCCTTTCAGTGCAGGGTTAGAATTCATAGCCATTTGCCAGAGAGAAACCTCAAGACCAAATTAGAAAAACAAAATTCCAGTACTCACCAACAGCCTCCTGCTTTTAGAGAAGGGGGTGCTTGAAACTTCTGATTAGCCTCTCACTCTGTCATTTCCCATCTCCCCAGGAGGTAAAATAGCTCACCCCTGCTAGGGAAGGGTAGAAGTGGGGAGAAGCTAGGCAGATGGTTGGCAAGGATTACTTCTCGTATTTCATCCTAATTTGCATTAATGCTCAACTTTGCATCACTCTTTCTGTGTATATAATTTTTTAGTAAAAAAAATTCCTCTTCTTTTCAATTTTGAGCCTGAAATTGTGAACAATTTGATTGCTATTTGTTAGTCACATTAAGATTCTCTTAAAATATACTCACACATTGTTATGTATCTAGCAGGTGTATACTAATGTATGTTCTTGTAAAAATATGCCTATGGGTATTTAATGCCAGAGACAATTACTGTATTTCATTTGAAGTTCAGTCCACAGCATGGGACCTCTTCTGAAAGTGCATGTACAAAAATGATTATGTCTAGTATAGCTCAAAGTATTATATTCTGTTCTCATTCCTGGAGAATATTACATTTTTCTCCCTCCAGAATTTTGTAATTAGTGTAGATCTTTCAAAACTTCACAGGTAAAAGTGCCACAGAAACATTTTTCAAAATGGTTTTGTCAATACTTTAATCAAAGAATTAGCTAAAGACTTGCTGTTTGAATATGAAATTATGTTATTCTCACAAAATCTTTCCCTCTGTGATTAAAAATTGTAATCCTCATGTTCTTGTTTTATTGCCTGCTATATATAAAATATATTTAGGGCAGGGCACAGTGGATCATGCCTGTAATCCCAGCACTTTGGGAGACCTAGGCAGGAGGATTATTTGAGCCCAGGAATTTGAGACCAGCCTGGGCAGCACACAGAGACCCCAACTCTCTCTCTATGTGTGTGAATAAACTAATGTGAATTTCCTTTCCCTACCTGTACTGGAACAAGTTTAAAAGTCCTACACACATAGGGGAAACATTAAGAAATGTAAGTCATTATCATCATCATGGTCATCTTCACCAAACATTCATTTGGCTGGTGGGAAACAGATTCAAATTCAGTTCTGTTTGACATCTGAATTCAAGACATTCACATCTTGAAAGTTTAATCCTTATCCTTTACTGCCTCATGTATTCTATGTAACCAAGAGAGATGATGGGCTTGTATTTATTTGCACCTTTTCTTTGGTTCTACATAGGCAACTATTTGTCTTCTACATAAAACTTTATTTATCCTGAGCCAGTCTGGATAGGCTTGTGTTCCTGAATATTGAGAGTTCTCTGAGTAAATGCTCTCTCTAGATAATTTTATCCTATATCATAGGTTTTAATCTTACCCAGATGCTGGTTATTTCTAAACTAACACATCCAGCCTTGACCTCCCCCTCTGTGTCCAGATTCAGATACCTGACTGCCAAATTAACACCTCCTCTGGGATATCTGAGAAGCATTCTGAATTTAACCACTCAAAACAGAAACTTTGATTCCTCCCTGCCCCAAATATGATGCTCCCCCTCACTTCCAGTCTTAGTGGAAATATCATCTCTAACTATCCAGTGGCTCTGGCCCTCAATTTAAAAATCAGCCTGGATTCCCTATGTTTTACACACTCCACATCCATTCCATTGGCAAAGCCTGTCAACTTTACCTACACAACTCATCCTAAATTGAGTTCTCACCTTTTTTGTAGATACTACCCGAGGCCATGGTTCCGTTATCTCTCTTCTAAATTACTGCAGTCACTTCTGACTGTTCCCTCTACTTCCATTACTTTTTTTTTTTTCCAACCCAATCCCAGCTATTTTCCAAACAGGAGCCAGAATGATTCTTCCAAAAACGTAGATCAGATCACATCATTTCCTGCTCAAATTCTACAACAGATTTTCATCACATGAAACAAATCCATAAGTCTTCACCATTATCTCCCAGGCCACAGGGAATCTAGGCCCTGCTTATCTTTTGTATCTCTTACTTACTACTTTTCCCTCTGCCACTCTATATCACTTTGGCACTATTTTTCTTGCTGTTTATTAAACCTCCCAGCTCTTGCAGCCTTAAGGCTTCTGATTGGCTATTCCCTCTTGCATCAGATATTGGTGTGGTTCTTTCATCATTTCTTTCACTTCTGAGCCTTCTCTCCAACAATACTCTCTACACACACACATTGTGTCATTCTATATTCAACCACGCTTTATTTTTTCCACATAGCCCTTGTCACAACCTAACACTATATTATGCATTTGCTTCTTAACTTGCTTACTGTTTTTTCATTAGACTGGACACTCCACAAGGGCAGAGATTTCACCAATTTTGCTCATCCTTGTATTAAAAACATTTTTTAAAGTGTCTGGCACACAGTAGGTTCTAAAAATAAGTGTTGAATTTTACCATTATGCTTTTGATATTTTTTCTAAAATAGGTTTTTATGCTCTGTATTCTTAGATTATGCTGAACACCATCGTTTTTAAGATTTGCAGCATTTGTTAGAAATGCTAGTTGTGTTGCTCTGTTAGAAAGTACAGATCTAAGACCAGGCATGGTGGCTCATGCCTGTAATCCCAGCACTTTGGGAGGCTGAGGCGGGCGGGTCATGAGGTCAGGAATTTGAGACCAGCCTGGCCAGCATGGTGAAACCCCATCTCTACTAAAAATACAAAAAATTAGCTGGGCATGGTGGCACATGCGTGTAATCCCAGCTACTCGAGAGGCTGAGGCAGGAGAATCACTTGACCCCAGGAGGCGGAGGTTGCAGTGAGCTGAGATCACGCCATCGCACTCCAGCCTTGGTGACAGAGAGAGACTGTCTCAAAAAAAAAAAAAAAAGTACACATATAAGAAGAGTATGATAAAAGTGTGGGAGGCTTCTGTTGAATATGGCTTTAGTTCTCATTTTGAACATAATGTAACAGTCATGGTACATTAATGGCTTCCCTACTTTTTTTTTTAAAGCATTACTTATTACATTACTCATATTTTTCTTTCGTATCTCTCACATCTTATTCCATGAAATAAGTGCATTTTTTTCTGCCATTTTTTCCTGTTGAATGTTCATTCACACTTCAAAATGCAGGTAAAATGTTAGCTTCATCAGCACTCACAGTTATAACTTTTCCCTTGTCTTCCAGTATATAGGTAATTATATACAATCTTACTATAAAATTTATTATGTTATTGCAATCTGATTATTAAACTAGATTTAGTGAGATGAAAGCAGAAAAAATAGCTACTCACTTTGTCCACTAAATTTCTTTTTTTTATTATTAGACTTTAAGTTCTAGGGTACATTTGCACAACGTGAAGATTTGTTAACTAGGTATACATGTGCCACATTGGTTTGCTGCACCCATCAACTCACCATTTACATTAGGTATTTCTCCTAATGCTATCCCTCCCCCAGCTGCCCACCCCCCAACAGGCCCCAGTGTGTGATGTTCCCCACCCTATGTTCATGTGTTCTCATTGTTCAATTACCACCTATGAGTGAGAACATGCAGTGTTTGGTTTTCTGTCCTTGTGATAGTTTGCTGAGAATGATGGTTTCCAGCTTCATCCATGTCCCTACAAAGAACATGAACTCATCCTTTTTTATGACTACATAGTATTCCATGGTATATATGTGCCACATTTTCTTAATCCAGTCTATCACTGATGGACATTTGGGTTGGTTCCAAGTCTTTGCTATTGTGAAGAGTGCCACAATAAACATACGTGTGTATGTGTCTGTACAGTAGCATGATTTATAATCCTTTGGGTATATAACCAGTAATGGGAATGCTGGGTCAAATGGTATTTCTAGTTCTGGATCCTTGAGGAATCATCACACTGTCTTCCCCAATGGTTAAACTCATTCACACTCCCATCAACAGTGTAAAAGCTTTCCTATTTCTCCACATCCTCTCCAGCATCTGTTGTTTCCTAACTTTTTAATGGTCGCCATTCTAACTGGCATGAGATGGTATCTCATTGTGGTTTTGATTTGCATTTCTCTGATGACCAGTAATGATGAGCATTTTTTCATGTGTCTGTTGGCTGCATAAATATCTTCTTTTGAGAAGTGTCTGTTCATATTCTTTGCCCACTTTTTGATGGGTTTGTTTTTTTCTTGTAAATTTGTTTGAGTTCTTTGTAGATTCTGGATATTAGCCCTTTGTCAGATAGGTAGATTGCAAAATTTTCACCCAATCTGTAGGTTGCCTGTTCACTCTGATGATAGTTTCTTTTGCTGTGCAGAAGCTCTTTAGTTTAATTAGATCCCATTTGTCTATTTTGGCTTTTGTTGCCATTGGTTTTGGTGTTTTAGTCATGAAGTCTTTGCCCTTGCCTATGTCTTGAATGGTATTGTCTAGGTTTTCTTCTAGGGTTTTTATGGTTTTTAGGTCTAACATTTAAGTTTTTAATCCATCTTGAGTTAATTTTTGTATAAGGTGTAAGAAAGGGACCCAGTTTCAGCTTTCTATATATGGCTAGCCAGTTTTCCTAACACCATTTATTAAATAGGGAATCTTTTCCCCGTTGCTTGTTTTTGTCAGGTTTGCCATGATCAGATGGTTGTAGATGTGTGGTGTTACTTCTGAGGCCTCTTTTCTGTTCCATTGTTCTATATACCTGTTTTGGTACCAGTACCATGCTGTTTTGGTTATGGTAGCCTTGTAGTATTTGAAGTCAGGTAGCGTGAGGCCTCCAGCTTTGTTCTGTTTGCTTAGGATTGTCTTGGCTAGGTGGGCTCTTTTTTGGTTCCATATGAACTTTAAAGTAGTTTTTCCAACACTGTGAAAAAAGACAGTGGTAGCTTGATGGGGATGGCATTGAATCTGTAAATTACCTTGGGCAGTATGGGCATTTTCATGATATTGATTCTTCCTATCCATGAGCATGGAATGTTCTTCCATTTGTTTTTGTCCTATTTTATTTCATTGAGCAGTGGTTTGGAGTTCTCCTTGAAGAGGTCCTTCACATCCCTTGTAAGTTGGATTCCTAGGTATTTTATTCTCTTTGTAACAATTGTGAATGGGAGTTCACTCATGATTTGGCTCTCTGTTTGTCTGTTATTGGTTTATAGTATCGGGGGAACCAGCCCCCAATATTTCAATGTAGGTTCTATTTTCCCTAAGTGTCAGCTGGCCCGAGAAATAAAGAAAAAGAGTACAAAGAGAGGAATTTTACAGCTGGGCCTCTGGGGGTGATATCACATAACAATAGGTCTGTGATGTCCCCCTGAGCCACAAAACCAGCAGGTTTTTATTAAGGACTTTAAAAGGGGAGGGTGTGTATGAACAGGGAGTACGTCACAAAGATCACATGCTTTAAAGGGCAATAAAGATCACAAGGCAAAGGGCAAAATTAGAGTTACTGATGAGGGTCTATGTTCAGCTGTGCACATATTGTCTTGATAAACATTTTAAACAACAGAAAACAGGGTTTGAGAGCAGAGCACTGGTCTGACCTCAAACTTACCAGGGCGGGATCTTTTCCCCACCCTAATAAGCCTGAGGGTATTGCAGGAGACCAGGGCGTATTTCAGTCCTTATCTCAACTGCATAAGACAGACACTCCCAGAGAGGCTGTTTATATACCTCCCCCCAGGAATCCATTCCTTCCCCAGGGTATCAATTATTAATATTCCTTGCTGGGAAAAGAATTCAGCGATATCTCTCCTACTTGCACGTCTGTTTATAGGCTCTCTGCAAGAAGAAAAATATGGCTCTATTCTGCCTGACCCAACAGGCAGTCAGACCTTTGGTTGTCTTCCCTTGTTCCCTAAAATCGCTGTTATTCTGTTCATTTTCAAGGTGCACTGATTTCATATTGTTCAAACACCCATGTTTTACAGTCAGATTTCATATTGTTCAAACACACATGTTCTACAATCAATTTGTACAATAGTGGTCCTGAGGTGACGTACATTTTCAGCTTAGGAAGATAACAGGATTAAGAGATTAAAGTAAAGACAGGCATAAGAAATTCAAAGAGTGCTACATGGGAACTGATAAATGTCCCTGAAATTGTCACAATTTATGTTCAGAGATTGCAGTATAGACAGGTGTTAGAAATTATAAAAGTATTAATTTTGGGAACTGATAAATGTCCATGAAATCTTCACAATTTATGTTCCTCTGCTGTGGCTCCAGCTGGTCCCTCTGTTTGGGGTCCCTGACTTCTGGCAACATTATAGGAATGCTTATGATTTTAGCCCATTAATTTTGTATCCTGAGACTTTGCTGAACTTGCTTATCAGCTTAAGGAGATTTTGGGCTGAGACGATGGGGTTTTCTAAATATACAATCATGTCATCTGCAAATAGGGACAATTGGACTTCCTCATTTCCTAATTGAATACCCTTTATTTCTTTCTCTTGCCTGATTGCCCTGGCCAGAACTTCCAACACTGTGTTGAACAGGAGTGGTGAGAGAGGGCATCCCTGTCTTGTGGTGGTTTTCAAAGGGAATGCTTCCAGTTTTTGCCCATTCAATATGGTGTTGGCTGTGGGTTTGTTTTAAATATCTCTTATTATTTTGAGATACATTCCATCATACCTAGTTCATTGAGAGTTTTTAGCATGAAGGGCTGTTGAATTTTGTCAAAGGCCTTTTCTGCATCTATTGAGATAATCATGCGGTTTTCGACATTGGTTCTGTTTAAGTGATGGATTACATTTATTAATTTGTGTATGTTGAACCAGCCTTGCATCCCAGGGATGAAGCCCACTTGATCATGGTGGATAAGTTTTTGATGTGCTGCTGGATTTGGTTTGCCAGTATTTTATTGAGGATTTTCGCATTGATGTTCATCAGGGATATTGGTCTAAATTTCTCTTTTTTTGTTGTGTCTCTGCCAGGCTTTGGTATCAGGATGATGTTGGCCTCATAAAATGAGTTAGGGAGGATTCCCTCTTTTTCTGTTGATTGGAATAGTTTCAGAGGGCATGGTACCAGCTCCTCTTTGTACCTCTGGTAGAATTCGGCTGTGAATCCGTCTGGTCCTGGACTTTTTTTGGTTGGTATGCTATTAATTATTGCCTCAATTTCAGAACCTGTTATTGGTCTATTCAGAGATTCAACTTCTTCCTAGTTCTGTCTTGGGAGGGTGTGTATGTCCAGGAATTTATCCATTTCTTCTAGATTTTCTAGTTTATTTTCATAGAGGTGTTTATAGTATTCTCTGGTGGTAGTTTATATTTCTGTGAGATTGGTGGTGATATCCCCTTTATCATTTTTATTGAGCATATTTGATTCTTCTCTCTTTTCTTCTTTATTAGTCTTGCTAGCAGTCTATCTATTTTGTTGATCTTTTCAAAAAACCACTTCCTGGATTCACTGATTTTTGGAACGGTTTTTTGTGTCTCCATCTCCTTCAGTTCTGCTCTGATCTTAGTTATTTCTTGCCTTCGGCTAGCTTTTGAATTTGTTTACTCTGGCTTCTCCAGTTCTTTTAATTTTGATGTTAGGCTGTTGATTTTAGATCTTTCCTGCTTTCTCTTGTGGGCATTTAGTACTATAAATTTCCCTCTACACACTGCTTTACATGTGTCCCAGAGATTCTGGTATGTTGTTTCAAAGAATATCTTTATTTCTGCCTTCATTTCATTTTTTATCCAGTAGTCACTCAGGAACAGGTTCTTCAGTTTCCATGCATTGTGCAGTTTTGAGTGAGTTTCTTAATCCTGAGTTCTAATTTGATGGCACTGTGGTCTGAGAGACAGTTTGTTGTGATTTCTGTACTTTTACATTTGCTGAGGAATGTTTCACCTCCAATTATGTGGTCAATTTTAGAATAAGTGTGATGTGGTGCTGAGAAGAATATATATTCTGTAGAGTTGGGGTGGAGAATTCTGTAGATATCTATTTAGGTCCATGTGGTGCAGAGCTGAGTTCACGTCCTGGATATCCTTGCTAAGCTTCTGTCTCATTGATCTACTATTGAGAGTGGGGTGTTGAAGTCTCCCATTATTATTGCATCAGAGTCTAAGTCTCTTTGTAGGTCTCTAAGGACTTGCTTTACGAATCTGGGTGCTCCTGTATTAGGTGCATATATATTTAGAATAGTTAGCTCTTCTTGTTCAATTGATCCCTTTACCATTATGTAATGACCTTCTTTGTCTCTTTTGATCTTTGTTGGTTTAAAGTCTGTTTTATCAGAGATTAGGATGGCAACCCCTGCTTTTTTTGCTTTCCATTTGCTTGGTAGATCTTCCTCCATCCCTTTATTTTGAGCCTATGTGTGTCTCTGCATGTGAGATGGGCCTCCTGAATACAGCACACTGATGGTTTTGACTGTTTATCCAATTTGCAAGTCTGTGTCTTTTAATTGGGGCATTTTGCCCATTTACATTTAATAGTGTTATATGTGAATTTGATCCTGTCATTATTATGTTTGCTGGTTACTTTGCCCCTTAGTTGATGTAATTTCTTCATAGTGCTGATGGCCTTTGCAATTTGGCATATTTTTGCAGTGGCTGGTACCAGTTGTTCATTTCCATGTTTAGCGCTTCCTTCAGGAGCTCTTGTAAGGCAGGCCTGATGGTGACAAAATCTCTCAGCATTTGCTTGTATGTAAAGGATTTTATTTATCCTTCACTTATGATGTGTAGTTTGGCTGGATATGAAATTCTGGGTTGGAAATTCTTTTCTTTAAGAATGTTGAATATTGGCCCCCACTCTTTTCTGGCCTGTAGGGTTTCTGCTGAGAGTTCCGCTGTTAGTCTGATGGTTTTCTCTTTGTGGGTAACCCGACCTTTCTCTCTGGCTGCCCTTAACATTTTTTCCTTCATTTCAACCTTGGTGAATCTGACAATTATGTGTCTTGGAGTTGCTCTTCTCGTGGAGTATCTTTGTTGTATTCTCTGTATTTCCTGAATTTGGATGTTGGCCTGCCTTGCCAGGTTGGGGAAATTCTCCTGGATAATATCCTGAAGAATGTTTTCTAACTTGGTTCCATTCTCCCTGTCACTTTCAGGTACACCAATCAAATGTAGATTTGGTCTATTCACATAGTCCCATATTTTTTGGAGGCTTTGTTCATTACTTTTTACTCTTTTTTCTCTAATCTTGTCTTCTCACTTTATTTCATTAATTTGATCTTCAATCACTGATATCCTTTCTTCCACTTGATTGAATCAGCTATTGAAGCTTGTGCATGCGTCACGAAGTTCTCATGCTGTGGTTTTCATCTCCGTCAGGTCATTTAAGGTCTTCTTTACACTATTTATTCTAGTTAGCCATTATCTAACCTGTTTTCAAGAGTTTTAGCTTCCTTCCAGTAGGTTAGAACATGCTCCTTTAGCTCAGAGAAGTTTGTTATTACTGACTTTCTGAAGCCTACTTCTGTCAACTCATCAAAGTCATTCTCTGTCCAGTTTTGTTCTGTTGCTGGTGAGGAGCTGTGATCCTTTGGACGAGAAGAAGTGCTTAGGTTTTTGGAATTTTCATCTTTTCTGCTCTGGTTTCTCCCCATCTTTGTGATTTTTACCTACCTTTGGTCTTTGATGTTGGTGACCTACAGATGGGGTTTTGATGTGGATGTCCTTTTTGTTGATGTTGATGCTATTCCTTTCTGTTTGTTAGTTTTCCTTCTAACAGGCCTCTCAGCTGCATGTCTGTTGGGGTTTGCTGGAGGTCCACTCCAGACCCTGTTTGCCTGGGTATCACCAACAGAGGCTGCAGAACAGCAAGTATTGCTGCCTGATCCTTCCTCTGGAAGCTTCATCGCAGAGGGGCACCCACCTGTATGAGGTGTCTGTCGGCCCCTACTGGGAGATGTCTCCCAGTCAGGCTACACGGGGATCAGGGGCTCCCTTAAGGAGGCAGTCTGTCCATTCTCAGAGCTCCAACACCATGCTGGGAGAACCACTTCTCTCTTCAGAGCTGTCAGGGATGTTTAAGTCTGCAGAAGTTGTCTGCTGCCTTTTGTTCAGCTATGCCCTGTCCAAAGAGGTGGAGCCTATAGAGGCAGTAGGCATTGTTGAGCTGTGGTGGGCTCCACCCAGTTCGAGCTTTCCGGCTGCTTTCTTTACCTACTGAAGCCTCAGTAATAGCAGACCCCCCTCCCTCCACCAGGCTGCAGCCTCTCAGGTCAATCTCAGATTGCTGTACTAGCAGTGAGCAAGGCTCCATGGGCGTGGGATCCACTGAGCCAGACATGGGAGGGAATCTCCTGGTCTGCTGGTTGCTAAGACCATGGGAAAAGCACAGTATTTGGGCAGAAGTGTACCATTTTTCCAGGTACAGTCTGTCACAGCTTCCCTTGGATAGGTAGAGGAAATCTCCTGACCTGTTGCATTTTCCGGATGAGGTGACACACTGCTCTGCTTCAACTCGCCCTCTGTGGGCTGCACCCACTGTCCAACCAGTGCCAATGATGATGAACCAGGTACCTCATTTGGAAATGCAGAAATCACCTGTTTTCTGTGTTGGTCTCACTGGGAGCTGCAGATCGGAGCTGTTCCTATTCGGCCATCTTCTGTCCACTAACCTTCAAATTCCCACACCCAGAGGTTAGTTTCAGAAGATCACAGACTTTGTCATTGTGTTCAGGTACTGAGTATCTCATCTTTAAATAATAAAAAAGCATTGTCTGACACTGTTTTAAAACTATATTTAGAAATACCAAGAATTTAATAGCCAAGATAACTTTGAAAAAGAACAAAGGTTGAGGATTTACATGATTAAATATCAAAACTTGGTATAAAGCTAAAGTAAATCAAATAGTAAGGTATTAGAACAAGCATGGACACCTAGAATAATAAAACAGAAAACAGATCAGAAACAGACCTTTCTATATACAGTCACCTGATTTTTGACAAAAGCAGTACTACAATTTAGTGTGAGGAATGGCCTTTTCAATAAAAGGTGCTGGATCAACTGGATATCTATGAGGAAAAATTTATTTTGACCCCTCCTCAAACCCTATACAAAAGTGAGTTTGTGATTTGAAAAAATCACATCAACTAGATCTGAGACCCTGCTGAGAAATGTAAAATAATGTAACCTCTTAAAAAAGAATGTAGGACATTATTTTTATAATGTTGGGATAGGCAATGATTTTCCAAATTGTACATAACTATAACTAACCATAATTGATAAATTAAACTTTCATAAAATTAACAATTTCTGTTCATCAAAAGACACCATTTAGAGAGTGAAAAGCCAAGCCACACACTGGGGAAAATTACTAAAAATACAAAGATTAGCCGGGTGTGGTGGCACACACCTGTAATCCCAGCAACTTGGGAGGCTGAGGCGGGAGAATCGATTGAACCCGGGCAGCAGTGGTTGCAGTAGCCGAGATTGCGCCATTGCACTCCAGCCTGGGAAACGAGCGAGACTTCATCTCAAAACAAGAACAAAAAAGTCTTAGCACTTATTATGTAGTCATTGCTTCCATTTGTGTATACTGACATATACACAAATGAAATACATATTACATTTATAGTAATATGTATTTCAATACATATTACTATATATGTAATTTTATATATAAATTAAAATTTATATATAAAATTTTATTTATTATATATTTAATAAATATATGTAATTATATATATTTGTATATATACAAATATATAATAATACATTTATTATATTACATATAATAAATGTATTACTGCTGCTATCTATAAACACACACTGTGTTGCTATTACTCCTGTAATCCCAGACGGGCAGGGATTTACTGTGAGAAAGTTGAACCTCAACTGGAAAAGTATATGGTTTTGGGGTTTTGTTTGTTTGGGTTGTGGAAAAATAGATGTCAGAAAACAAAGTGGATATCAAGATACTAGAACAGTAAGAATTTAGGCCTGGGTCTGGAAACGACATTTGAATATCAATATGTAACAGTAGTTCATGTCCAAAACTCACAAGTGAGATGATCAAACTCCAGGGGAGTCTATTAATGTGGCCATAAAATCTACCCCATAATTTTGACATAATTTTTCCCGCCCAAAATACAACTGACATCATCTTACAGGTCCGTAAGTGCCATACACCAAGCAAAATTTCTACCGCAGAAATAACACTGTAATCGTTTGGGGAGCAGTCTGACCAGTGTTCCCTGAGTTACGCCGACCGCCCCCAACCATCCTTCTCACCTAACTATTACCAGGTCAGGAGGACGTCCTGCTGCACGCTCGGGCGGTCACTCCTCCTTTCCACAAGGCCCATGTCCGCACCGTTCGCCCCGGGGCTCCCATGGCCCCCGACCTCCAGTCTCCGGCAACAATGGACCCCCACAGACCCGGCAGGGAGCGAAGGGCGCACACCCACCTCCCGGGAGTCAGTGGGAATAACCCCGGGCGCTCTGAGGGTACGTCCCACACCCGGAGCCGCACGGGCCCATCCCCGCCAGGTCCGGGCAGGCAGCCCGAGCCCGGGACCCCGCCTCCCCTGCACCTAGGGTCCGGGCCGAGCTTGGCAGCTGAGGTCCCGCTCCCACTCCCACTCCCAGCGCCTCCCCCTGGCGGCGGCGGCCGCCTGGGACGCCCCTCCCCGGGCGCTGCCTCCTCAGAGCGTGACTGCCGCCGGGCCGGGCCGGACAGAGGCCGGCCCCTCTTCCAGCTCCTCCTCACCCCCAGAGGAGACGGGGGACGGGGATGGGGTTCTAACCAGGCAGCAGGACATAGCAAGGCCAGCCACGGCACAGCCTCCTCCTCCACCATCTCACCAGGCTCCCTGCCAGGGCCGGCGCAGTGCAGCGCCTGAGCTACTAGGGAGTCTGGTCCGGCTGCTGCTACTCCGCCGCCGCCTTCTCACAGCCACAACAACACTGCAGCAGCGGCCACACAGAGCGCGCTCCCGACGCCGAGCCGGGCGAAGAGCGGGGACGCGCTCGCACGCTCGGGCGCTGAACCCGGTGTCCGGGAAAGGGTGCTGGTCTCCGCGGGTTGGACGGGGGCGGGGCCTGGACAGGTGGTCACGCCCCAGGAGATGGGCGGGGCTGCAGCCCAGACGAATACCTGCGGCTGGGGAGAGGCTCGCGAAAAAGCCCAGCGGAGGCAGAAGGGCTAGACAGATGGGAATTGGGCGCAGGAAAAGCGATGACAAAAAAAAAATCTGGAAGAAAACCAAAGGTGGTCCTACAAATTTTTAGGAGGCGTCTTTCCCTGGGCAAGACATGGCTCACTCTACTTACCAGAAAAATAGAACAACAGTGGTATCTTTCACCTGCAATTGTGGTCAGGATAAAACCAGTTTAATATAGTACAAGTAAATGTAGTGTTTTAGAAGATGTATTCAGAATACAATTTCTTTTTTTCTTTTTTTTTTTTTTCTTTTTTTCTTTTGAGACAGAGTCTGGCTCTGTCTGCCAGGCTGGAATGCAGTGACATCTCAGCTCACTGCAAACTCCGCCTCCCGGGCTCAAGCGATCCTCCCACCTCAGCCTCCTGAGTAGCTGGGACTACAGGCGCAGAACATCATGCCCGGCTAATTTTTGTATTTTTTGTAGACATGGAGTTTCTGCCATTTCGTCCAGGCTGGTCTCGAACTCCTGGGCTCAAGCAATCCACCCACCTCGGCCTCCCTAAGCACTGGGATTACAGGCATGAACCACCGCACTCGATCCAGAATACAATTTCAAACTGATTCAACTTCAGCTCCTAATCAAAAGCTTAGCGGGAAGAAGGGAATTTTCAAACAAAATAAAGCCCTCCCGCCAAAATTGTAACCTACCCACACTAGCCTGCGGAATTCCACAAACCAGGATCGCATTACCGCAGGCCCTAACAGATTCACCTCTGAGTTGCCTTTTAACATTCTACCCTTGACTTTTCTGGGAACTGTCTGGGAGAACTAGTCAAATGAAATCTATTCCTGCATCTGTCGTAAAGTTTTTCCACGGCACTTTCTGAAATTTATTTTCAATGTTTATTGTTTTTTCACTCCACTTAGAATGTAAAAGCTACTTGAAGATAAGGATCTTGTTTGTCTTGTTCATCGCTATTTCCCCAGCACCTGAAACTGTGCAGGCTAAGTAGTAGGCAGTCAAATTTCTTGAAAGCTGGCTGGGCGCAGTGGCTCACAGCTGTAATCCCAGCACTTTGAGAGGCTGAGACGGGTGGATCACCTGAGGTCAGGTGTTCGAGACCAGCCCGGCCAATGTGGTGAAAACCCGGATCTACTAAAAATGCAAAAATTAGCCGGGCATGATGGCAGGCGCCTGTAATCCCAGCTAATTGGGAGGCTGAGGCAGGAGAATAGCTTGAACCCGGGAGGCAGAGGTTGCCATGAGCCAAGATTGCGTCATTGCACTCCAGCCTGGGCGACAGAGCGAGACTCTGTCTCAAAAAAATAAATAAAATAAAATAACAGCTAACACTTATTCATACAACTCATCTAATTGAATCTTCACAACTTTAATAGGTAGACGCCCTTATCTCCATGTTACAGATGAAGAAAGTGAAGCACAGAATAAATTGCACGTATTAAAATTCAAACCCAAACCCAGCAGACAAACAAAACAAAACAAAACAAAAAAAAACCACTGTGCTCTCACCCACCAGGCTGTACTGCCCAGTGCATGACACAGTAGCCTGAAATAAAATCTCAAGTAAGAAATTACTTTAGGCCGGGCGCAGTGTCTCATGCCTGAAATCCCAGCACTTTAGGAGGCCAAGGCAGGTGGATTGCTTGAGCTCAGGAGTTCCAGACCAGCCTACGCAACATGGCGAAATCCTACCTCTACAAAAAATACCAAAAAACTGGCCAGGCATGGTGGTGCGTGCCTGTAGTCCCGGCTATTTGAGAGGCTGAGGTGGGAGGATGGCTTGAACCTGGGAGGCAGACGTTGTAGTGAGCCCTGATTGTGCCACTGCACTCCAACTGGGTGTCAGAGTGAGAAAAAAGAAAGAACAAAAGAAATTACTTTAGAGGTAAATTCTTGGAAAACCCTTGCTTTACTACCAGGAAAACCAGCGCTCTTCCTGCTTTTTGATAACTCTTATGCAGCTGATTGTGTCTCTCTTTTCACTCTGGCTTCCAGAAAGCCCAAGGCTAAATGACCAGGGCTCAGCAATGACCTCGGCTTGGCCCTTAAGGTCCACTCCTGCCTCACCTTTGCACCTTTATTTATATGTGGCTGTCCTGATTTTCCCTTTCTGTTATATGACTGTAGGCTTTATGGAATGGGAGAAGAAATAGTAAATACATAAAATTGATGAATGACTTAAAGTCTTTTATTTTATTTTTGAGACGGAGTTTCGCTTTTGTTGCCCAGGCTGGAGTGTAATGGCGGGAACTTGGCTCACCGCAACCTCCACCTCCTGGGTTCAAGAGACTCTCCTGCCTCAGCCTCCCGAGTAGCTGGGATTACAGGCATGAGCCACAACACCCGGTTAATTTTTTGTATTTTTAGTAGAGACAGCGTTTCTCCATGTTGGTCAGGCTAGTCTCCAACTCCCGACCACATGTGATCCTCCTGTCTCGGCTTCCCAAAGTGCTGGTATTACAGCCGTGAGCCACCATTCCTGGCTCATTTTTATTTTTATATTTTATTTTATTTTATTTTCACACAAGGCCTCACTCTGTTGCCCAGGCTGGAGTGCAGTGGCTCACAGCCACCAGGTGAATAGGGCCCACAAGTCACCCTTGCTAAGAGGGAGAGTCCAGAGCAGGACATGGGTAGATGCCAAAGGCAGCACTCCCTACTCCACACATGGGTTTCTGTCAAGTAAATCACCAGCCAGGTGAGGTGCATAGAGCATCTCGGGAGATGGGACACCGTGTTGTCCGCTCCTTCAGCCAGGAGGCCCCACACTGAGCGCCACTGCCTCCACTGTCCGATGCTACAGGAGAGACGTTTCCTGCTGGTTAAGGAAGTGGAAACTGCAGATCACTTTTCATCTTATTGGAAATCACTCTTTGACACTTTTGCCTCGTCTTCACTCAGTACACATTGACTCTACCCGCAATAGTGTAAAAATAAACACAGCTTAAGGAAATAGGAACCCTTCACTCCTGGGACTTAAAAGCTTGACTTTCTCCAGTAAGTCAATTACCAGTGTCCATGGCAGGAACAGCTCTGATGCCAGGGTTGACAGCACACTGGAAAACAGGAGGGTGTTTGCATTTCTGGGGCCTCAAGTAATGAGAGGTTCTTCCAAGAACACTGACAGGGGTATTGTTGCCCTATTTTAGAATTATTACTGTGAAGATCAGGGAATTTCAGTCAGTTGAACTCATGCCACAGCACCTGTGCTTTTCCAGTATGGGAGGGATGGAGTCCCTCGCAGGGGTCCCCCGTCATGGGGGAAAGCTCTGTGATGGGATGTCTGTGGGGGAATTAGAACCCTATAGCAGATGGGATAGGGTGGGGAGTCTACATATTTTTATTTGGATGCTTTGATGGAGTAAAGTTCCAAACCAAGTATCAGGCAGATGGCAGTCCAGGCTGTGGTGCTGTGCTGTGAGGCTGGGAGTCCAGGCAGGTCCTGTGTTCACTGGTCACTTCCACAGCCTGAAGCCCCTCGAAAGGACATCTGCACAGAGGCCTGCAAGTGACTTCAGGATGCTGATGATGCCCTCAAGGTGAGAGCCAGAGAAAATCCCGTCAACTCTGCCAACCAAGGGCTTCAATGGGCATGTGTGTGGTTTTCTCCGGCAAAGAACAAGCCAGTTTGCAAACCATGCTTTTGAGGCTAGAAAAAATGTCTGTATTCCTTCAGTGTCTCCTGAAGGCTGGGTCCCCTGAGAGTGGATTCAAATACTGTATTCTCATATAAAATACGGTAACATTTAGACCTGAAAAATGGCCTGGGGGATAATCTTATCAAACCTCTGATGTGGTTATTTTGTAACTGAGTATATTGAAGGCTGGGGAACAAAGCCATCTGGTGCCAGCATCCTAGCTGCTCTCTCTCCTCCAGGGGCTTGCCTTGGTTTGGGGCCTTTCCAGCAAAATTAGGCTGAAGAAATGAGATTTTAGTTAAACAAGGCCCACTGTTGCTTTAAGACAAAATGTCAAAGTTTTTAAAAATGTATTAACTTGTTCTTTTGGCCAAGAAATCAATAGATGCACTTCCTTTCCACTGTGCAGGCACTGAGCTGACAGAGGAGTAAGAGCTTGAACCATCTACGTGGTCTGAGTGACCACATCCTTCACTCGGAGCCCTGTTCTACAACAGATAATTCTGAGTCACCCCAGCTAATGGCCGTGCACAGCATCCTGATGCTCTGATTAGGCTGAAGGGCATGTGGCGTGGTGGCTAGGCTGTCTCAGAGAGCACCTCAGGCTGGGTGGACCAGGCTGACCCAGAAAAGGGCAATGGGCCTTTGACAGGGACTAGCTGGCTACTATCTGCCTCTTCTGCAGTTTGGGACACTTACGGTGATGGGTGAAAGTGTTTTTCCATATATAGTGGCCTGAAAGGAAAGGATACTCATGCCAGTGTTCAGAAAGTGTGTGGGTTTCTCAGGTAACATTACTGCAGCCACTGATGTCTAATCCAAAGAGCTCTGAATGCTTGCTATAGAGATTTGTAGTTTTAATACTGAAGCCCCGAATATTCTGATTTCCTCATTAAGACCGACCTAACATGAGCTATGTAGTCAGCTAAGGTATCAACGGAAGGAAATTGCCAGTGGTTTCCCTCTTATTTTCCTCTGAGGTCATCTGAGAACAACTGCAGTGAGGACAGAGTTCGTGCAGCACTGATGGCTGTGTGTTCCCAGGTCCAAGCATGCACTAAATATTTAATTCATTTGAATATAAATAAGTTAATAAATATGAATACATTAATAAATTAATTGGCATATTTTTAGTCCTGTTGCAGTTTCAAACTCACCAATTTATCCAACTTCTTTGCACTGAGTTCTTATTCAAGTGAAGTATTCCAGTCTTGTGACTAGTACTTCTGACATAATAATAGTAACAACTAATATTTATTTAGAACTTTAGTTTACCAAGCACTCTACATTTAAGTTTATTATTTGTTATTTATTTATTTATTTTTTTAGTAGAGACAGGGTTTCACCATGTTAGCCAGGATGGTCTCAATCTCCTGACCTCGTGATCCATGCCCTCGGCCTCCCAAAGTGCTGGGATTACAGGCATGAGCCATCGCACCCAGCCTACATTTTATTTTTACATTTTGTCTTTACAAACCCCCACGGGGCAGGCATTCTCCTTACACACAGTGTTAATTGGTGACACAGAGGCTCAGGGGTTTAAATGGTTTCACTGAAAGCAATGTAATCTAGTAGGATGTTGCTTTCCTATTTTTCCTAATACTACCATGTTTAGATGCAGGCGGCTAAGTGAGAGTATATGATTTCCTGTGTATGTATAGATGTAACCCACACTCACAGGCGGGAAGTTCTGCAGGCTGAGAAGTGAAGCCCTTTGCTGAACAACCACCACCAACATTCTAGGACCCCCACACCCTTGGTTCTGCAGGCTACACCCCTCCCATCTGCTTAGAAGCAGAAAGAAAACTCTGTGGTTACTTTTCCCTTTGACAATAAACCGTGGTTCTCTTCAACGTTCTCCTGGGGACTTGGGTCAATGTTCCCCCACGCAAATGTTAGCCAGGCCCAGAGTTATTTTTTCCCCTACCCCTGCAGATTGATCATGGCATGCAGCTGCCCCATACTGTATTTTGGTCTCCCCCATCAGCATCCCATCTGCTGCTTGTGCCTCTGGCCAGCTTCTTGCATGGTCCTGACATGGTGTGGTCACTCTCACATTATTTGCACACATTGTTTACCTATAGCTGGACACATTGTTCATAGGAGCCCAGCTGGTAAAGTAAAAATATTCCAAGACTGTGCTGATAAGCTACTTCTTCCCTGCATCCTGGGCTGGTGAGAAGCTAAAGAGGAATGAATGCTCTGCCTGTGAAGAGGCCGCACTGCAGAGAGGAGGAGGCAGAGATGCAGTCGTCACGGCCCCAACACCCTGCCTGGCCCTAGTTTTGTAGATCCAGGGAAGAGTTTTGCACAAATTCTCACTGGGAGCATTGTCAGGGCTGCAGCACATCACTCTTTTTTGACCTGAGTCATTTTAACGTTAGCTCTAATGCCAAAAAAGATGAAATTGAAGTTGCCAACATCTGAGGGAAGGCAAAAACCAGCGAATTTCTACCCAGGGAGAGTTCCTCTGCAGGGCCCCTGCTCCTGGTGGCCTGGAGTTGGGGAGGCCTCTGGAGCAAGTCAGGGGATGGGATTCTGGGTTTTCTTCCATTTTATTATTTTCCTATTTTGACATCTTTGAAAAATGGCTCAGCCTCATGGTGTATGGGTCTTCTGATTGCTTTTGTCTTGATTTTATTCTGACTTAGGGGCAATGGCCACTGTGGGCTCCTCATCCAGGTTGAAGAGGGCCCCTCCATGGCCTGGGTCCGTCCATGCTGTTCACGGTGGCCTCATGGATCATCATACAAAGGATGATCTCAGTGATGAGCTTGAGCCTACACAAAATTAAATTATATGGGTTTATAAGATGCTTGTCTCAGGATCAGTGACATCAGGCCTGTCCCTGCTGCTAGCAAGGCCGACTTTATAATGTGCTATCATGGTGGTAAAGGCATCACCCACTTGATGGAGATCCCAAAGACCAGCTCTACTCGAGAGAGATTTAAGCTAAGTTGCCTGGGAGTCCCTGGTGCTTTTTCAAGGTTCTACTGAAGACAATGCCATCATCCAGGTATCTCTGAATGCCTACGTAGCTCTTGCCTCAGGAGCTCTGAGACCCCATGTTATCTATTTTTGAATTGGCCAAGGCCCCTAGCCAGGAAAGGGATGCTCTTCCCATCCTTGTCAGCCCTCGTGTCTTGTATTCCACCCCACAGCCTCCTAGCAAGCATCTCAGTGTCTGCAGGTGAGCATGGCTGAGTTCAGTCTTGCTTACTGCAACTACAGACATGAGGCCTGTGGAACTAAGAATCCTCTCATTTGCTGACTGGCATTTTGTTTAAGTCCCAGATCACTAATCTCTGGCAAGACAATCTTCTTTGTGTTTCCTGGTGATGGACTTGAGTGATTTCAATGTAAACAGTGGCTCCACCTGGGAGGATATCCCCTTCCCACGGTGGGGGGTGCATAGCCCCTGCCAGGTTTCTGCTGTTATCTCATCCTCCCACTGGGCTTTTCCCCTGCAGATGGCCTGGTGCCCACACTGCCTGCAAATGGCCACTCTTGCTTGTCCCAACCCCACCTCCACTGCAGCTTCCCAGAGCCCTAGAAGGGCCGGGCCCTGGCTGAGCACTATTCCTAGGCCCTGGATGGCGGGTGTGGAACTACATACTTGTCAAGGTCATTTCCTCTTCTATTTTCATCATGTTAAGTAAATCCCTCTCTCATCATAAAATGCCCTGGAGAGAACAGATGCATGGCTGTGGAGTCTTGTTCTGGGATATGTCAGGTACGGGCTCAGGTGTGTGGAGGCTGCAGGGGGTGGACATGAGTGGTCTTTCTCTCGCTGTGAATCGCATGTTTTGTGCCAGCCGAAGGGTTCTGTGGAGGAGAATCAGCTGGTCACCTGGCTGAGTCTAACTCTGGGATGGCGACAGCCGAAGCCCCAGCTCCATTCCCTGACTTTCCCTAGGCTGCTGCATGGGTTCCCTGGCACTGTCACTGGGCTAATGCATTCTATCTCCTCCTGGGGTGAGGCCAGCCTTTACTCATGGTTTTTGCCCATTCCACATCATTCTGCCTCCCACCCTTGGCTTTTTCAAAAATCTGATCCAAGAGTGTGCAAGGGGGTTAGAAACATGCTGTCCACAGGGAACTAAAATACACTGAGATGAGAAACCAGAAGCACGTGCTTTGGAGCTGTCACACCTTCTGGGAACTGAGAAGCAAACTCAGAGATGCCTGGAAACCTTGGGAGCACACGAGGTCTCTGCATATATTTCGGTTGCAGATGTGTTTCTAGTCAAAGTAAAAAACACACGAAGGGCATTCATGTTTCCAGGAACAGAAGCATCCTGTCTGATTTTTCAGAGGTGAAGGGGGCAGTCTGAAGGGGCCGTGGCATAAGTGTGTCTACAATCAAAGCTCACAGCCAAGGCCCTGGGGGAGGTTCAGGTGTGCCCCAGGGGGTGCGCCCCATCCAGCACTGCACTGCCAGGGGCCTTGTCTTTATTAAATTCTAGGCCTTTTTCTGGGCACTAGTTACAAAAGGGGGGTTCAATGAACCCTAGGTTCTGTGGCTGCCACCCACCTCAGGGTCACACAGGTAATGATCACCACCCCCTCCACCTTCTGCTGAGGGTCCTGGTGACCCCCTGGTGGTGTAACCCAGGCCCTCACCCCTAAGGGGCCCTCAGCCTTGCTCACCTCAGAGTCCTTGGTCTAGGGCTCCTGCACTTGTCCACATGCCATCAAATGCTGTGTACTGGGAGGTACTTGCGTGGAGCCCCTCCTTCCCCAGGCAGCACAGCTCTGCTCCTGCTGACACCATGGTCCAGGTGGTACCCATTTTTCTGCCCGCAGGTCCCATGGAGGAGCAGCCTGAGGACAAAGCAGCACCCAGAGCTTGTGTTTTCAGAGAACCTGGCCCTGCCCTGGCTAGAAGCCCCACAGCTGTGGAAACCAGGACCTCCTGCTTTTCAGAACCTAGATATGCAGATATAGATGCACCTCAGAGGTCCTGGGTGTGATGTGGAAGGTTGGGGGACACTGGGCTTCCTACTGCTGTGCTCTCATTGCCACATCTTCTACCTAGTGGGACAAGGCAGCTAGCAAAGGTGACAGATTCCTGCAGACACTGTGTCCTCCCACATCCTGACCTGGCACCTGAGCCACACTGCTGGGTCTGAAGCTCCCAGGAGCATGTGTGTGCTGTGACCAGTGGACCTACTGCATGTGCCCTCTTCCTCCCTCTGTGGCATGAAATCAGTTCCTCTGATGGTGTCATGTGAGGTCTTGTCCTGATGGGCAGAACTTTCTATAAACCATCCGATGGCCCCGGGGAAAAGCAAGCTCATCCTTTCAGGTTTAACTGTTTCTGTTAAATGCAACCCTGTCCTTCCCAGGGCATCAGGTCCCGGTGCAGTTGTCCCAGCCTGGCAGGAAATCTCCTTGAGGATTGTGTGGAGGGTGCAGCCTGGGCCTGACTCGTGACCCTGGCAAAGGGCAGGTGAGCCCTGGGGCTGACCACCTGCACTTTCTGTTTGTGGTGGGAGACGTTGGGCAATATTTCTTGCCTTTCCTTTAGAGAGCATCTCCCAGCCTGCCCAGACCACTAGACCCCTAAAAATGTGACTTGTAGGCAGGGCCTGGCTCTCTGTGGTGCTTTTCTCTCCCCTCCAAGCACCTGTGACTCTCAGGCCTCCAGCCCTGCTGGCTTCCCCGATCTGAGCTCCTGATGCAGGGTGAGGACTGTATTGTGGCAGACAGCATGCCGGTTTACACAGTTCTGGGAGAAAACTATAGGTATACATTATTTTATGTCCCAAGTAAATGAATCCCATTTATGGATACTTTTTTTGGCACAGAGGGAAGAAATGCATTGGTGAGATCCATGGGCCAGAGCTCAGGCCTGTGCTCAGGCTCTGGCAGCAGCTGTGCAGCTCTGGAGCTGTTGTGGAGTGGGGAGGTGCTGTGTCTTTGCTCCCGGGTTAAAGGCTTCATTTGTTTCTTTGTTCAGTTTGTTTTCTTTGACCCCTGTTCAGCAATGCTGAAAATCAAGCATTCCTAAGAGGTGGAGACATGGCTTTGGAGCAGGGGTGGGCCATTGGGTGGAAATGGAAAATAGGTTGATAGTGGGAATTTCATTTTCTGGAGCACACGTGCAGCCTCTTGATGGCCTCATCACAAGTTCACCTGATGACCTGAGTGGACACTGTCCTTCTCCTGAGTAGGTTACATGCTTGCCAGGCACATGAACAGTGCATGCTCACATTCTTCAAAGTGAACGAACTAAGAAGGATTTGTCAGCACATTGTAAGCCTGAAGCTGCCAGTGTTTGGTCCACGGTAAACCACATGTGGAGAGCTTAAAAAAATGCCCTCATATCTGGCAAGAAAATGACAATAATAAATTAAATTATTACTGTAATACACGTTTCTTTAGTTACGATTAGATATATTACACATATAACTAACAATTTTGCAGAAATTTCTCATCTACCAGTATTTATTTATTTTTTTCATAAGTTTCCAAGGAACCCTAATGATGCGGACTGTCACTTTTAAAATTAAATTTTGTAAATAACTCCCAGAGCCATACTGATAAGAAACAAAACAAAACAAAAAGAACTAGAAATGTGAACAAACATTGGATTTCTGCTGGAAAAAAGGTTGCAAAGCAGGCCTGCCTGCTGCACTTCCCCAGAGCTAATCCTTGAGCCGAAAGAGCTTCCTGGTGAAGCCTCGCACTCTCTGTAACAGGGCGTGGGGGGACCGAGACATGCGGGCTCCAGATTAGACCATCTTTACCTAGTTATGGGATTTCAGTCATGTCTTTTAAATTCTTTGAGCTGCAGTTTTCACATACGTAAAGTGAAAGTATTTTTAAAATTTTAATTTGTGTTATGGCCTTGTATAAAGATAGAATAGTACATTTGAAAGCATTTTAGCTGAAGTCAAACATTCACGTGTGTGCATGCAATGGCTTCTTAATTATTTTAGGGCTTAACCTGGTTTTACTAGTACTGTTACTAGCACTGCTACTTCTCCATGTCTCTGAAGACTATGAAATACTTAGAATTGAAGCAACAAGAAGCACCTGTCAAAGGGTTCTATGGCCGATGACAGCTTTGACACAACTGGATATAATAATATGTTAGATGGTACCCAGAGATGCTGTTCAAAGTCGAAAGTGTCCCTAGAATTCTGAACCTGCTGAAGCAGCCTTCAGAACTGAAGTTGAGAGAAGTACATTTTCAGTTAAAGAAAGTCTGTGAGACTGTGTTACCAGCACACCCAAACCACGATAAATGCAAAAGAAACTTGTTCAGGATGAAGAAAAATAATAATTGGAAATTCTAGTTCACAGAAAAGATGAAAGTGTGCCAAAAATAGTAAATATGTGGAGGGGAAATTACTGTTTTAATGACATCCTCCAGGAATTACAACATGTACAGAAGAAAAATCTATGACAACATGGCACAAAAGATGAGAGGATGGTAAGGTAAGGATTTTATATTTTATATACAGTGTTATGATATTTAATATACATTAAGTATTTATAATTTCTGAACAACTCACCAAAAATAAATAAATGAAACAAAGTCATAGTTAAAAACAAATAACAGGGTACAAAATCCATACTAAAAAAAAAAAGAAAACCCCATAAAACAAACAAACAAACCAAAACTGCAATAATCCAGAAGAAGATCAGGAAGGCGGAACAGAGACTGTCAAAGTAGGTAAAAAGGAAACCTCAATATCCACTTTTAAAAAGAAATACACTTATGAGATAAAGATATAAATAGATTCGAACTGAAAAGATGGACAAATATACACTATGCAATCTTTGTTATCAAAAACTGCAGCCAGTGTATTAATGGCAGATAAGACACACTACAAGAAAGGCAAGCATCACCAGGGATAAAGAAGGATGTTTTATACCAATAAGCCCATTTGCTTAGAAAACCTAATAAGCATAAGCATGCATGCACCTAAGAAAAACAGCAAAATACATGAAGCAAAAGTTATTGAATTAAAAGGATAAATGCATAAATCCACAATTTGACAATTCTAATTATTATAACTCAGAAATCAATAGAAAAAATAACTACAACAATAAGACTACAGGTATTAATAGGAGAGATTATAACCAGAGCACCAGGAGAAAAACAGCCATATCCAATATGCTTACAACTATTGGTTGACAACTCAAAAGTTCCCAAAAGAATTTTTGACACTAAATAAAGGTAAATAGCCTGGAAAGCCTGCAAGCCAGCATAGGAAGGAAGTGGAAAATGAAATGTTGATTGAAAATAAATCTGGAAGTCCGGGCACGGTGGCTCATGCCTGTAATCCCAGCACTTTGGGAGGCCAAGGTGGGTGGATCACCTGAGGTCGGGAGTTCGAGACCAGCCTGACCAACATGGAGAAACACTGTCTGTACTAAAAATACAAAATTAGCCGGGTATGGTGGCCCATTCCTGTAATCCCAGTTACTCGGAGGCTGTGGCAGAAGAATCGCTTGAACCCGAGAGGCGGAGGTTGTGGTGAGCCGAGATCTCCCCATTGCACTCCAGCCTGGGCAATAAGAGCAAAACTCTGTCCCCCCCAAAAAAAGGAGAAAAGAAAAGAAATCTGAAAAAAGGAAAAGAGAATTGAGGATAAAGCTTTGCAAATACAAAATCCAAAATCAAATGATAGAAATAAGTTCAAATATATCACTTTTTCCTACCAAACATAGAGGGATTAACCTCATATATTGAAATACAAAATTATCAATAACAAAGCAGCACTTTCAAATTAAAGAAATAAAAAAATAAAAATTTTATAAAAATTTTAAGTAAATATTCACAGAAAGCAACCTGCTATCACAAAATTAATTTTAGTTCAAATAAAATTTAAGGAAGAAATAATAAACAACAGGATAGACACTGCACATGGATGGACAATAGAACCGAGTAGGTGAAGCAATGTAAGTCCAATGCTGGCCTCGCCTCCAGGACATACAAAGAAACTAACAGGATAGAGCAGGTCTAGAGAGGGACGCTGGAACTCATACTTCTGAATTTAAACGGGAAATAGACAAAGATGTTATGTGTTTATAAAAGGTTTTAAAATCACAACAAATGCTGAATATACATCACTTTCTAGTATATGTAATACTTACCAAATGGGACGCATATTAGGTTGCAAAAGAAATTACAAAAAACTGGAGCTAGGGACCAAAGGACTAACATAACTCAAAACAAAAAACATGCCCCATATAGTTTAGGAAAAAAACGGCACAGTGATTTAATGGTAAATCACTATAAACATGAAGGGATTCACCCAGAGTTCAAGACGACAACATGTGTCAGCCTGACTTTCCGAATGACTGCACAGGAAAGGCTGCCATCCAAGGAAGCACAGAAAAGGACACCCCTTAGGTCCTGGATGGAGGAGGATGACCCCCAATACTGGATGGAGAAGGATGCCCCCCAGTCCTAGATGGAGAAGGATGCCCCCCAGTCCCAGATGGAGAAGGATGCCCCCCTCAGTCCTGGATGGAGATGGATGCCCCCTAGTTACTGGATGATAAAGGATGTTCCCCAAGTCCTGGATGGAGAAGGATGACCCCAATTCCGGGATGAAGAAGGATGCCCCCCAATTCTGGGATGGAGAAGGATGCCCCCCAGTCCTGGATGGAGAAGGATGCCCCCTAGTCCTTGATGGAGAAGGATACCCCCTAGTTACTGGATGGAAAATGATGTCCCCCGAGTCCTGGATGGAGAAAGACGGTCCTCCAAGTCCTGGATGGACTCCAAGTCCTGGATGGAAAAGGATGCCCCCCAATTCCTGAGTGGAGAAGGATGCCCCCCTCAGTCCTGGATGGAGAAGGATGCCCCCTAGTTACTGGATGGAAAAAGATGTCCCCCAACTCCTGGATGGAGAGGGATGCTCCCCAGTTCCTGAATGTAGAAGGATGCCCCTAGTTCTACATGGAGAAGGACAACCCCCGGTCCTGAATGAAGAAGGATAACCCCCTAGTCCTGGATGAAGAAGGATGCCCCCCAAGTCCTAAATGGAGAAGGATGCCCCCAAAGTCCTAAATGGGGAAGGATGCCCCCCAAGTCCAGTTGAAGAAGAATTTCCCCCATTCCTGAATGGAATACGATCCCCTTCAAGTCCTGGGTAGATAAGACATCTCCCAAGTCCTGGGTGGAGGACACCCCTCAGGTCCTGGATGGAGAAAGGATGCCCCCTAGGTCCTGGATGGAGAAGGATGTTCCCCAAGTCCTGCTTGGAGAAGCTGGCTCTGGGGACCGCATAGGGAAGGATGCCCCTTTTCCAGCCTCCCCATCCATACTTATCCTTACCTGTTAATGTAGAACAAAGAGATTTGGAGGAAGAAACATGGGACTAAACTTTACTCAGAATGTTTTCCTTTTAATCAACACTTTATACATTCTAATTTTTATTTGATAAAAATAAGTGAAATGTATGACATAAACACAGTGTAACAACCGATTAGACCTATTTTTCCAATCTGAGTCCTGGCTACCGGCTCTATTAGTCATTCTACTTTTCTGTATTTGTAAAGCTTCTCAAAATTAAAGATAAAAGAGTTTATTGCTAGTAACATGTATAAATAGACATTGAATAAAATGTGACTCTTTAAAAATTAGTTTATTCTATGGGCTTCTTTTGAAAGGTTATGGTGTACTAAAATTACTAGCGGATCTTTATTACAAGCTCACTGGTAAAAATAGACAACGTGGAAATGTTCTAATTTGTTAGAAATTCGTGTTGAATGAGTATTAATCAAAACTTTAAAACCAAAATACATGGACATAAGAATAAATTATTCAACTTAATTATCCACTGACTTTAAATTCTAATTGCTAAATTTACTTTTTGCCCATTTCACCTCCTTCAAATCTCCAAGTAACTCTTCATTTTTCTCTCCTGTCAATATTTTATTCTCCCTTATTTTTTTTCTATTTCCTGATTTTTTGAACAACTCCAAGGGAGTTGTGTTTTGCTTGTGTTGAATGACATCATTACACCAACCCGTTAGGCAACTAGACCCTCATCAAGGTGAGCACCAGGAGACTTCAGACCACAGAGCCTCTCCTGATTTTTGACTCAGGCTACCTGGCAACCGTGTTTAAATTATGAGTTGTTTAATTTTTTAGATCCCCTATAGATAAAGAAGGATTTTAGTAATCATCAATTTAAAATGCACTGGGACACTTTATGACTGACATTTCTTGCAGTTTCTGTGCTGCGGCCTCATGAGTAACTGTCTGTAAGAAACATCATGTTCCTCATTCTGCCCTTGCTTCTTGGGCTCCAAAGGGAAAAACCAGAAATTCTGTGGATATAAAACATGGAAACATTCATTCTTTAAAGAAAAAGGCGGTAAAGCAGAGACGAGAACAGGGAAAGGATGTTATTGAATACATGCAAATGGATAAAATATGAATGATCATGTTCTCATGTTCAACTCAATTTTTAAAAGTGGATGTATGAGCACTGCCAGCATTTAGTCAGGCCATGGTGGGCCTGTGGGCTAGAACAAGAGGCCACACTCAAGGTCAGATGGCACTCACAAAGCGGGGCCTCTGCTCCTTTATGACTCCCCTTCCTCAGTGACCCAGAGCACCCTCCTATCACAACCTGTAGGGGAGAGGAAGGTGTTAGGGCACTTTGAATCACAGCGGAGTGTGTGTCTACATGCTCTCCTCACATGCCACAAATCTGCATCACTTTACAACATTTCAATAGATTATGAGTAAGGAAGATCACTGCAGAACCAGTAAAAGCTGTTCTCACAGACGATGCGCTAAATTGGGTTTTACAAAGTATTGTGAGAGATCTCGGGAGAGGGGGAGCAACCTGCTCATAGATTTTGCCAAAATCAACATTTAAACACCTCCGTTAGGCAGAAGAGCAGTGCTACTGGAATTAGTTAGCAGCTCTTTCCTGCTGGACATCTGTCAGCCTCCGGACCCTACAGAGAAGAGGCCATGACCTAAAAGCAGTTTAAAAGCTTGAAAAAATAGAAGCTAAGGATTAAGCAAATATCGAAATTTGGAAAAGGAGAGAAGACTTTATTTCTTGTAGAGGGTTACAGCCTGCAAGGCCACCCCACAGGCTGGGAAGAACAGCCTCCTGCTGAGACCAGAGATGGGCACTTCCAGCAGGAGGGGTTGGGGCAGGAGCTTTGGGGTGAAAGGGTTGGCTAAAGATACACATTCATCAGGTGACAGGCATAACAACATAAAACCAGCTGTAGGTAACACAGAATGATTCTGATATTGATGTTCAATTCCACACACTAACAGACGTGAGAACCTCATTCACCGCACGTGGAGAAGGCACTGTATCTGCTCCGTGGTGTCCAGATGACTTATGTTTATCGTTGCCTGGGTCTGCATTTTCTCTTCTGTAGATTTTGCTTATCCTGCAAAGCTTGTGCTGGGACTTCATTTCTAGGATTGAGTTTAAGCTGAGCCTCAGAGTTTTTATTGCAGCTACGGTGGATATGGCTTGGTTCCCTGCAGTACTCTCTGGAAAGTACCTTCCTCCATTTGAAATCCCTGACATGGTACCTCCTACAGCCTGCACAGCTCTGGCCTCTGCCATGGGTCTCATGGCCTCTGCTGCTAAAACTAGAGAGGAGGTTCATCCCCTGCCTCTTTATGGAGAAGAGCCACTTGCTGACTGAGCTGAAAAGGGACTCCCCACTGAGCAGGCTCACCAGTGTCCCGACAGCTGGGCAGATCATGGGGACGGGGAATTCTGAGCAGAACCTCTTCAGAAATTGAGTCTCAAGGGGCCTTGGGGAACTTGGTCAGCAGATGGCAAGACTTCATCTGTCAGTGGGCGGGTCAGCTCAGCGGGACTCCTGTCTTTGGAATTGAGACTCAAGTCTCTACTCTGTACCAAGACAGAGTTGGAGGCTAGGAAACAAGACACACAACCATTTTCCATCATCTAGGGGCAAGGCAGGGCTTGGCATGAGGCAGAACCGGGCTCCATCAATGCCACATGTCAGGAGGAACCCCTTTTCTGTTTCAATCCCTCCTGCTCATTTGTGGGAGGCATTAGAGAGGCCTAACATAGTTTTTTTTTCTCCACGGCCTGAGGACGTGACAGGATTTCATTCCCGCCCCACCTTGTGGTTGGATGGAATCATGCGCCCAATTGTGGTCAAGACCAAGAAACTGAGGTATCATTTTTGTGTGTGTGGGACCAGGAAAATGGCTCTAATTTGGCTTTGTGTTTGTGCATGTGTGTGAGAACGGACAGGTAAATGTGTGTAATGGAGAGTGGGTAGGTGAGTGTGTACATGTGTGAGAGTGTGTATGTTATTGTGTGAATGTGAAGAAATGTGTGATAGTGGTGTTTGAACTTGGCAGTATGAGTGTGTATGTGGAATATAACTGCATGTGGATGTGTAAATATAAGTGTGTATGTGTGTTAATGTGTGTAAGTGTGTGAATAAGCCATGTGAGTGTGGTGTGTGAGCTTGGACCTATGAGTGTGAGTGTGTGCGTCTGTGTGAGCATGACAGAGTGTGTGAGTTTGGGGTGTGTGCAGGCCACAGCCAGTCCCTCCTGGGGTACTAGATCTTTCCAACCCAAGCACCTCAAGTCGTTCTCCTTCCTCACTCCATCCTGAGCTTCCCAGCCAACTGCCTCTCATCCAAACTCCCACAGGGAAACAGTCCCTGGGACCAGGGGCTCTGAGCATGGCACAGTGCCAAGTCTCCTCCCTGGCCACCTCCTGAGAACCTGGGTGTAGCACAAAACAGTCAAATATGTTCCTCTTCTGTCATCACTAACTAGAGCTCCACAACTTCCCAGATTGCCCTGTTAGCTCTTCACCATAATTAGCTATTTTCTGATATCATACTAACATTCCTTAATTATTCCCTCAGAAACAAAGCAAATCCGTGGGATGCAGAGGGTACGCTGATGACTTCTGCTGGGGAGAGAAGCCCAAACACACGTCCTGGGCAGAGCCCAGAGACCGGGAGTGTGGCTGCCAGTGAGCACCCGGCTGAGGGACAAGCAGGTGGGCCTCAGTGGTGGCTGCCAGGTCCCTGGAAGCCGGGGGCCACCGGCCTTGCCTCTCCTCTGCCTCGGAAGCACCGGAGGCTTTGGGGATCTGGTGGTCCTCCGGCCCTGAACGTGGACCTGGTGTGACAAAGGGAAGTTTGCCATCTCCATCCTCCTCAAGCTGCCTGTGCACCCCAGTAGCACCCACCCTCTCTGTGCTCCCGTCTGCACTGCATGTCCTGGGGTCCTTCTTTGTGCTGCACCCAATGACAGGAACCAGTGCCCTGACTGTGACTTGCCTCCCCCCTCAGGGACACACAAGCACTTTCACATCGAGGCTACTTTTCACCCCTTCTGCCTCCTGCAGGGACGCTGCATGCATAGGCAGGAGGACAGAGGGGCTGGTCTCAGGTGTGGCTTCTCTCACACCTGGCGCAGGTGGCCACTCCCCTTCACCCCCCCCCCCCCCCACCCCACCTCAGCTCCCCGGGTGTGAATGAGAAAGGGGAACCAAGAGATCATCCTTACATGGGACACGCCACAAACCCCAAAAAGACCCATTTGGTGAAAAGAAGTAAAACAACCACAAGGCTATTTTGGCCTGAGGTGGTCTCATGGCTGAAGCAGACCGCTGGTCTCTTGCCTGGGCTACTCAAATAATAACCCAGTGTGTCCTTCCATGTGCATTTTCCTTCAGGTTGAGCAAAAACACTTTGTCATCCTCCCACTCCTCAATAGAGCAGAAGGGAATGAAAGGCAACTACAGGGCCTTACAGAGCTGCTCCGGGGGCCGCGGGAAACTTATCAGCATCCTAGAAAAGACAAAACCAGTGGGTTGCATGTGGCCTCTGACACCTGCCACCCTGACTGCAGGGAGTGGCCTCCCCCACCTTTCACCTTCCCATCATTAGTAAGCGAAGTGACCCCCTACGCCTGGACAAAGCGCTCGAAAGCCCAGGCCCGCGGGTTAGCTCCAGCCGCTGGGCTTGACAGGGGTCAGGGAGGCGGGCCGGCCCCACAGCCAAGTCACAGCTCCAGGGCCTGGTCGCACCTGAGCAGCGCGGCCTCGGGCTGCTGCTGGCGCTGCAGGCTCCGCGCCTGACCCTCCAGCCTGCGCAGCGGGCACTCGGCCGGGAAGAACCTCTCCAGCAGGCGGCTCAGCACTACGTTCACGCGCCCGCGCCCGCGCCCGCGCCCGTGGCCGCGCGGGCCCCAGCTCCACGCAGCGCTCACAGACCGTGAGCCCGCAGGGCAGTGTCACCGGCTTGTGCAGCAGCCCCGGGCAGCCAAGCAGGTCGCGGGGCGCGCCGGGCGCCAGGGCCGGCCCTCCCTAGCCTTGAGCTCGCCGCCCGGCTTCCTCGCCAACAGTGGCCGTTCGCGCAGGCCGGGACACACCAGGCCGCCCGCCAGCTCCCCCAGCTCCTCCGGCCGCAGCGCCTCCAGCCTCCCGGCTACACGGAACGCGCCCAGGGCCACCGGGAGGCGGCCGGCGCGGGTCAGAGCGTCCCCCAGCCTCAGGCACCGGCCGCGGTCGGGCTGCGCCAGCCGGGCCAGCATGGAGCGGAAGAGCCCGACTGCTTTCTGGTACTCGCTCGCGCGGAAGGCCTCGTCGCCCTCCTCCAAGCGCTGGGCGATTGGCTTCCCGCAGCAGCAGCCCGTCACTGGGGCGGCGGCGGGACCGGCTCAGTGCTGATCCCCGCGGGGCTGAGACCGTGCGGGCCTGGAGCGAAGGCGCGGAGCAGGGGCGATGAGCTGCTGCTGGGAACTGGCCGGCGGGAGCGCGGCCACAGCCTTCGCCTGCAGAACCAAAAAAACGGTTTTAAAAATCTTTTTAACATCTGCAGAACGTGAAGAATTACATTGCAAATTAGTTAGAGATTGTATTGGACCTATAGATTGATTTGAGTATGATGGTCATTTTAACAGTATTAACACTTCTAATTCAAAAAATGGGATAACCTTGTCTTTATTTGTATCTTTTCAATTGATTTTTATCAATGTTTTATAGTTTTCATTTTAGACGTCTTTATTTTGCCAGGCATTTTATTTTTTTATAGCTATTTTCAATGGGGATTCCTTTTTCAGATAGTATGCTGTTGGGTATAGAAATGCACCTGATTTTTCTATGCTGATTTTGTATTCTAAAACTTTACTGTATTCATTTACTATTTCTGTTTTTCAGTATAGGGTTTTTTATACATAAAATCATGTCATCTGCAAACAGGGACAATTTGACTTTCTTTTTGTTTTTCAATTTGGATGTCTTTTCTTTCTCTTTTCTAATTGCTCTAGCTAGGACTTCCAGTGCTATGTTGAAGAGAAGTTATTAAAGTGAACATCCTTGTCTTGTTCTAGATCTTAGAGAGACAGTTTTCAATTTTTCCTTATTCAGTATCATGTTGGCTGTGGGTTATCATATATGGCCTTTATTTTATTGAGTTATATTCTTTTTATAACTGATTTGTTAAGAGATCTTATGTTTACAAAAAACATTGAATTTTGTCAAATGCTTTTTCTGTATCTATTTAAATGATTATATGATTTTTATCTTACCTTATCGAATATGGTGTATCACATTTATTGATTTATATATCTTAAGCCCTCCTTGCCTCCCTGGAACAAATACAACCTGATTATGGTGAATCATCTTTTTAATGTGCTTTCAAATTATGATTGCTAGCATTGCTGGTTTTGAATTTTTGCATTTATGTTCATCACTGATATTGGCCTGTAGTTTAGTTTTTCACTGTTCTTGTCGCATTTTGGAATAAGGTAATTCTGTCTTCATAGAATGAGTATGGAAGAGTTTCCTCCTTTTCACTTTTTTGGGGAACAGTTTGTAAATAATTAGTATAAGTTCCTCTTTAAATGTTTTGAACAATTCAGCAGTATAAGCATTGGATCCTCAATTTTTATTTTCCTCTCCTTCCGTCCTTTCCTTCCTTCCTCCCTCCCTCTCTCTTTTCTTCCTTTTCCTTTCTTTCTTTGTCTTTCTTTCTTTCTTTCTTTCTTTCTTTCTTTCTTTCTTTCTTTTTCTTTCCTTCCTTCCTTCCTTCCTTTCTTCTTCTTCTTCTTCTTCTTCTTCTTCTTCTTCTTCTTCTTCTTCTTCTTCTTCTTCTTCTTCCTCTTCCTCTTTCTTCTTTCTTCTTAAATATTTTTGGTTTAGAGACAGGGCTTTCTCTGTCACTCAGGCTGGAGTACAGTGGTGCAATCATAGCTCACTGCAGCCTCAAATTCTTGGTCTTAAGTGATCCTCCTGCTCCAGCCTCCCAAGTTGTTAGGACTACAAGTGCACACCACTACACCTGGATAATTTTTATTTTTATTTTTGTAAAGACTGGGTCTCACTATGTTCCCCAGGTTTTCTTCTAGGTTTTCTAATTTATTGGCATATAATTTTAGTACTTTCTCATGATTCTTTATATTTCTGTAGTAACCATTTTAATGTCTTTTTTCATCTCTGATTTTATTTATGTGAATCTTCTCTCTTTTTTCTTAATCTGACTAAAGATATATCAATTGTGTTTATCTTTTCAAAAAATAACTTTTTATTTCATTGATCTTTCATATTTTTGTCTCCATTTGGTTTATTTGTGCTCTAGTCTTCATTATCTATATTCTTTTACCAATTTGGGGCTAAGTTTGTTCACGTTTTTATAATTCCTTGAAATGCATTCTTAAATTATTAATGAGAGTTTTCTTTTTTTCATATAGAAATTCATTTCTACAGACTTCCCTCTGAGGACTTTTTCTGCTGTATTTCATAAGTTTTTGTATGTTCTGATTTCATTTTCATTTGTCTTAAGAATTTTTAAAATGAAACAAAATTTATTTTTAACCCATTGTTTAGGGACACGTTGTTTAATTTGTATGTATTTGCACAATTTCTGAAGTTCTTGTTGTTTATTTCTAGTTTTATTCTATATTGTCAGAAAATATGTGATATAATTTTGATTTTTTTTTGAATTTGCTAAGGCTCATTTTGTGCCTAATATATGATCTATCATGGAAAATGTTCCATGCGCAGTAGAGAAGACTGTGAATTATGCAATTGTTGGATAACATGTTCTGTAAATGACTGCTAAGTTATTTGGTCTAGAGTTCAGTTTAAATATGATGTTTCTTTGTTGATTTTCTGTCTTGATAATCTGTTTATTGCTGAAAGTGGAATGTTAAGGTTTCTGACTATTATTTTATTGCTTGCTGTTTCTCCTGTTAGATCTATTAATGTTTGTTTTATATATTTAGGTGCTTCAATATAGAGGGCATATATATTTACAATTATATTATCTTGTGATATTGATCCCTTTATCATTATATGATGGCTGTATTTTTCTGTTTTTATAGGATTTTGCTTGAAGCGTATGTTATCTGATATAAATATATCTATACTGGCTTTCTTTCGGTTTCCATATTTATAAAATATATTTTTCCATCTGATCACTTTCAATTTATGTGTGTATTTACAGATGAAGTGAATTTCCTGTAGAAAGTTTATAGTTAGGTCTTGTTTTTAATCAGTGTAGCCATTATATGTCTTAAATGGGATAATCCATTTACATACAAGATAATTATTGATAGGCAAGGACTTGGTCCTGCCATATTATTACTTGTTTTCATTTTTTTTTAATTTGTACTTTGATTGATTGATTGATTTCACTGTCTTCCTTTGTGATTAAGTGATTTACTCTATCAGTGTGTTTCGGTTTCTTTTTTTTTTTTAATTTTTAGAGTATCTTTTAAAAGTTTTTGCTTTGTGGTTACCACAAGGCATGCAAAGAACATTTTATGGTTACAATAAGTTATTTTAAAGAGATAGCAACTTAATTTTGATTCAAAAAAGGGGGAAAAGAAACCACTCTACTCTTTAACTCCCTCACTCCCTCACATTTTACATTTTTGATGTCTTAATTTACATCTTTGTATATTGCGATTCCTTAACAAATTATTCTAATTATTATTATTTTATTTGTATTGAATTTTAACCTTCCTACTAAGGATATATAAGTGGTTTACATCCAATTATTACCATATTAGAGCATTCCAAATTTGTCTGAACCCTCACTTCTATCTGTGGGTTTATACCTTCAGATTTTTTGTGTTACATATTGCTGCTATTTCCTTTCAGTTCGAAGAACAATATTTAGCATTTCTTGTAAGGCTGGTTTGATTACAGTGAATTCCTTTGCTTTTTGTTTGTCTGAGAATGTTTCAATCTCTCCTTTATTTCTAAATGATAGCTATGCTGGATAGTTTATTCATGGTTGACAGTTTTTTTAATTCAGCACTTGAATCTATTATCCTACTCTCTCCTGGCCTGTAGTGTTTCTGCTGACAAGTCTGCTGCCAGGCATATTGGAATTCTCTTATGTGTTGTTTCCTTTTTCTTAGTCCTTTCAGGGTCTTCTCTTTGTCTTTGACCTTTGAGAGTTTAATTATAATATGTCTTTGGTTGTCTTATTCAGATTAAATATGATTGGGCACTTTGACCATCCTAAACATTTTAATCTTTCTCCAGATTTAAAAAGTTTTCTGTTATTTCTTTGAATAAACTATCTCTTTTGCATTCTTAGTTCCCCTTTAACACCAATGATATGTAGATTGGCTCTTTTGTTGGTGTCCCACAAATCTCATAAACTTTCTTTGTTTCTTTTCATTCTACTCTGACCATGTATTTTCAAAGAGCCTGTCTTTGAGCTCACTGTTTCTTTCTTCTGCTTGATCAGTTCTTCTGCTGATGCCTTCCATTGGATTTTCAAAGTGTCCATTGAACTTTGCTGCTCCAGGATTTACATGTGATTTTTCCCATTATTTTGATTTCTTTGTTGAATTTCTCTGGTACATTTCTGAATTGTGTCTCTGCTTTCTCAGTGTTCAGGCTCTTCTTAAAACAGCCATTTTGAATTCTTTGCCTGCCAGATCGTTCATCTGTATGTCTTTAAGTTCAGTTGCTGACACCTTGTTTTGTCCATTTGGAGAGGCAACTTTTCCTAAGCTATCATTATTATATGTAGATATACATCTGTGTACACATTAATGATTTAGATATTTATTTGAGTCTTCTCAGTTTGGTTGTGTTTGTGACTACTTTTAAGCGGGCTTATTAAGAAATTTTGAGCGGACTTATCATCGTATTCCATTTTAGCGTTAGAGAGAGCCCAAATCCCACGTTAGACGTAAGTCTTCCAATGGCTCCATCACTGATGCAACATTTGCTGGATGGGCCCATGGGTGATCCACAGGGAGCCCCTGGCTATGGGGGAGAACAAGTCAGGCCGTCAAGCCTGTAGAGTCTGTGTATTATGTTTCACATGGTGGCTGTTGCTGGCCCCACCTCCGCTTATGTCCTTAACATGCCTCAGGTGGTTCATCCCTTTTGGCACTCATGGTGCCCCCTGTGGGCTGATACAGGAGTGAGTCTACTGTGAAGGCACTCAGTATAGTGGAAAAAACAAATATCAACCTCCTGCTTTTTTTCAGTGTAAAAACTATAAGCTCTATGGGAGTTTCTGCAGATGGTACCATAATGGCCTGAGGGAGGAGTATCACAGTCACAGAGTATTGGTTCTCTCACTGCATAAGCCATGGTTTTACCCACCTTCACAGGCTAAAGGTGCTTCATAACCTTGTTCATGTATTGAGGTTCTGTTGGCTCTTGTAATGGTAATTTCACATGTGGGCAGTTGTTCATATTGATGTTTCTATAGGGGTATGATAGCTGGAGAGGTCTGCGCCACTGTCTTGCTCTGCCTTGATCATTTTTTTTTTTTAACAAGAATTTGTCTCCTCCTAGTTTTTCTTTTTCTCTTAACCGACCTAGGTTTAGCCTTTTAATCCTTCTCCCTCCTCTGCTTCTAATGTCATTGTTTCTTTGTATGCCTATCATATCTACATGCTACATGACCTTCAGCTGGTTATGTATAATATATAAGACTTAATATCCTATAAAATAGAGGTAATAATAGCATCTACTTGATAGGAAAGTTAAGAATATTAAATGACACCATTGATGTTAAATGGAAGTAACTTTCTGAAATGTATTAATGCGACATGATTCTTTGTTCTAGTCTTCACTTTATAGACTAGACTACTTTGTTTGAGTTTTCTCTTTTCAGTCAGAGAAAGCAATAAAATTGTAATAGTAAAAATTAAATAAAATTTAACTTAAAATTGTGTTCTGGTCTTCTTGTTGTTCAGCCATGGAAAGCAATAAAATTGTGATAGCAGAAATTAAAAGTGAGCAGAGACTTATTTAAAAATTGGTATTCTCCTTTTCGATGCCAAAATAAGAACTAGAAAGTTTTAATAAGGCAACAGTCTGAAGAAACAATTTATTGAAGAGAATATGGGTTTCTAAATCCTAACAAGTTTTTTTTACATATGTGAGTCAAGTTTGGCTGCCTTGAATCCTACTATGACTTTAATGGAAGTTCTAGTTAGGGTGGAAAGTGTCAAAGAAAACAATTGCACCAGACAAAGTTAAACACAAAAAAGCTGTTATTGAAGGCTATTGCAAAAGGACAAAGAGGCCAGAACTTAGTCTGAACTCAGCTCCACTGAAACAAACAGCAGTAGAGATTTTAAGAGCTGGGATGAGGGGGAGATCATAGACCCCTTGTCTTTGCTAGTTGTCTTTTTCCAAAGGAATATTAAACTATCTTTTATCTTTATGACAGAAGGTAATTTTACAAATTAGAACAATATGCCTACCAAAATTTGGCTCTTACTCTTTCATGGAATCTGGGAGATAATGGTGTTATCTTTCTTGAGGATTACATTTCAAAGGCATGGCTCTGAGGTCCTTGAAATGGACATTTCTGAAGTGTAAAACTGGCAAGTGGGCTCTTAAAAAATTTATTTATCAAAGAGGCAGAGAAAGAATTTACAATGATAACATTTCTAAAATATGCTAAAGAAAAAAAGAGGCCAGGAGCCAAGAATCAGAAATAATCCTGTCTAAAATTTTATCAAGCTGAGGGGATGGTTTTAGTCAAAGGTTTAGTGTAAGGGGAATTTCTATGAACAAGAGGAAGAGAAGAGCTTTTAACTACACAGGAAGAAGAAAGTTCCCAGGAGATGTGACTATGGCTCTGCCTGTGTCTCTGATCAGGTATTCAGCCCCAACATTCTCCTGGGACTCGCTCAAACAGATAGATAGGAAAAAATAGACAGTTAAAGATGAGAAAATATGCAGGCTGGTGTCTTACTTCTCTAGTGCACATAGTGTGTCCCAGGAATGACAGAGTGGCAGGACAGGGGGAAGTGCCTGAGAGATCAATTCCCTTACTCTCAGCTTGTGAGTGCTGTCTGAAAAGCCAGTCTCTCCAAGCTTGGTGGGAGGGGTACTCACAACTGGTTTGACAGGACCAGTGGAGGCCCCTGGTGGGACATGCTGGCCTCAGAATGTGAAGTCTTGGAGGCTAGAGGAAAATGGCAGTGGGTGACCAGAAACTTCATCAGTGGGTACCAATACATGCAAAATCAAAGAGAAGATGAGCCATGTCAGCAGATATCAGTGAAGAATGCCCAGAGAAGACTCCACTGACCATGCACAGCACAGATCAGCCTGTTCCAGAGGACAGTGCAAATGGCACGCTGCAGCAACAGAGGCGACTTCGACCCCGCCCACGCCGTCAGCAGCTCGGACCCTAGGGCCAGATACCACCACAGAGGCTAATTCCAGTGGTCGCCCCGCATCTCAGGAAGACGGGAACCTGCACTCAGCACCATCCCTGTGGCTGCACAGGGCCCAGGACCCGTAACCCGGCGCTCTGGGTGCGGGCCAAGAAAGAGCATAAAATAGGGTGGCATGTCGGTGAACTCGGTGACCCTCTGACAACCTGGGAGCAGCCCCAACAGCCTCAGTTGTGGGCTCAGCTGCAACTGCCACCTGCCGATGGCGCACGGGAGCAGCAGTGGCAACCCTTGACCCTGTCCCCGCCACCAGCAGCGTGGACAGCAGGGACAGATAGCGCCGCGGCGCCTAAGACCTTAGGCCACGCAGCTACAGGAGGACGTGAAACTGGCGCTGACTGCCCGCCAGAAGCTATGCAATCCCCAGCGCAGGCGAGCCCGCAGTCTGGGCGCGGGCCAAAGATCAGAGACTACGATGAAAGGACGGTGAACTTGGTGACCCTGAGTCTCGCAATGGGTTTAGCTTCAGCTGCCACCTGCAACCAACCCTGACCCTGCCCGCGTCACCAGCAGCAGTAACTCAGGGCCAGATGCCGCCTCAGCGGCTAATTCAGGTAATCGTCCTCCAGCTGCAGCAGGGCGGAAATCCGCTGCTCAGCCCCATCTCCGCGGCTGCACGGAGCCCAGCGCCCGCACAGAGCCCGGCGCCGGCACAACCCGCTCTGGGTAAGGGCAAAGGAAGAGCGGACCTAGGGTGGGAGGACCCTGCACTCCCTGACCCTCAGGCCGTCTGGGGCCAGCCTTGCCAGCCTCGGTCTAAAGCTCCGCTGCAGCTGCTACCTGCTCATGGCGCACAGCCGCTGCAAACCCGGACTCCGCCCGCCGACACCAGCGGCCTCGAAACCCTAGAGCCAGACTCCACCTAGTGGCCAAAATCAGGCAGTCGGCCCACAGCTGTAGAAGAGCGGGAACTTGCCCTTCAGCGGATTCCTGGAGGCTGCACAGTGCCCAGCGCCAGCCACCGGGTGATCTGGGCGCAGGCAAATGACCCTCAGGCCGTCTGGGACCGGACCAGCCCTGCAGCGTCAGCGGTGGGCTCAGGGGCGGCTGCCACGTGCACACGGTGAACTATAGCAGCTGTGGCAGCCCCCAACCCTGTGCAAGCCACCGGCAGTGCGGACCGCATGATCAAAAGCCGCCGCGGCGCCTAACTCAGGCTGCCGGCCCCCCAGCAGCCAGAGGGCGGAAACTTGCAGCTTAGCCCCATCTCCCAGCGCCTGCACTATGCTCAGCGCCTGCAATCCCACTCTCTGGGCGCGGGCAAGGAAGACTGGACCTTAGGGTTGGAGGGCGATGCATTCGGGGACCCTCAAGGCTTCTGGAATAAGCCCTTCCAGCCTCCGACGCGGGCTTAGCTGCAGCTGCCAGCTGCACACTCCTGGAAGCAGCAGCGGTGGCAGCTCTGGTCTCTGCCAGCTCCAGCAGCAGCGCGGACTGCAGAGCCAGAGGTCACTGCAGCGCCTGTTAGGAGGTTGGCCTCTCAGCTGCAGGAGGGCGGGAATCTGCGCCCAACCAGATCCTCATGGCTGCACAGTGTCCAACGCCCACGACCTTGCAATCTGGGCGCCGGCCTAGGAATAACGGACCCTGGGGTGGAAGGGCGGTGCACTCAGCCACCTTTAGACAGCCTCAGACCAGCCCTGACAGCATCTGCCTTGGGCTCAGCTGCAGCTGGCACCTGCGCATGGCGCACGGCAGTAGTAGTGGCAGTCCTGACCCTGCCCGCAGACACCAGCAGCAAAGACCCCAGGGCCAGATGCCTCCAAGGCATCTAAGTCAGGTGGTCCGTCCCATAGCTACAGGAGGGCGGGAATCGGCTGCTCAGCCCCATAGCAGCTGTGGCAGCCCCCATCTCTGTCTATGCCACCAGTAGCACATACCCCAGGGCCAGATACTGCGGTGGCGCCTAATTCAGACTGTAGCTGCAGCAGGGCAGGAATCTGCCGCTCAGCCCCATCCTGGAGGCTGCTCAGAGTCTAGCGCTCGTACACCGCGTCCTGGGAGCAGGTTAAGGAAGAGCAGACCCTAGGGTGGTAGGGCGACGCACCCAGACACCCTCAGGGTGTCTGGGACCAGCACTGCCAGTCTCTGCCACGCGCTCAGCTGCAGCTACCACCGCCAGGTGGCTCCCTGCAGCAGCGGTGGAACCCCCGCTGACCTTGCCCGCCGCCAACAGCAGTGAGGATTCCACGGCTGGATCCCTTGCCAGGGCGGGAAGCTGCCGCTCAGCCTATTCTGGGCAGCTGCACAGGGCCCAGCTCCTGAAACCCCGAGCTCTGAGCTCGGGCCAAGGAAGAGTAGACCCTAGGCTGGGAGGGCGGTGCACTCGGCGATCCTCACGCTTTCTAGGACCAACCCTGCCGGCGTCTACTGAGAACTCAGCTACAGCTGCCACCTGTACAAGGGCGCCGCAGCAGCAGAGCAACCGGGCACTTTGCCTGCACCACCAAGAGCCAGGACACTGGGGACAACGCCGCCTCAGCGCCTAATTCAGGCAGTCAGCCCCGCAGCTGCAGCAGGGCAGAAACCTATGCCCTCGGCGCAGTCCCCTTGGCTGCACAGTTCCCAGTGCCCGCGTCCCAGAACTCTGGGTGCAGGCAAAGGAAGAGCGGACCCTAGGCTAGGATAGTGGTCCACTCCATGACCCTGAGGCTGTCTGGGAAACGCCTTGCCAGGTGATGGGCTCAGCTGCAGCAGCCACCTGCACATGGCGCGGGCAGCAGCCTTGGAGGCAACCCCAGACCGTGCTCCTACACCAGCCAGGCGGATCCCAGGGCCAGACGCCGCCCAGAGGCTAATTCAGGTGGTCAGGCCCCAGCTGCAGGAGGGCGGGAACCGGCCGCTCAGCCATTTCCTGGCTGCTGCCCTGTACCCAGTACCTGCACACCCCGCTCTGGGCTCCGGCAAGAAAGAACTGACTCTAGGGTGAAAGGGCCGTGCACTCAGAGATCCCTAAGCTGTCTGGGACCAGCCCTGCCTGCCTCTGATGTAGGTTCAGCTGCAGTGGTAACCTGCACAAGGCGCGCAGCCCAGAGCCAGGGCCCAGTCTTCTAGCGCAGGTTGTGGAGGGGCCAGGGGCCACCCAGGCTGGAGGGCAGTGTCATGATCACAGCTCACTGAAGCCTCAATCTCCCAGATTCAAGTTATGCTGTCACCTCAACCTCCTGATTAGCTGGTAGCTGGGACAACAGCCAGGTGCCATCGTGCCTGGCTATTATATTTTATATATATTTTGGAGAGACAGGGTCTCACCACGTTGCCCAGGCAGGTCTTGAACGCCTGGAGTTCAAGCGATCCTCCCAACTTGACCTTCCTCAGCGGTGGGATTATATGTGTGAGCCACTGTGCCCTACCTGCCGCTTTTCTTATAAGGATACTTGTCATTGGATTTAGGGCCCATCCTAATCCAAGATGAGATGCCCTCATCTCAAGGTGCTGGATTTAATTACATCTGCAGATTGTTTTCCAAATAAAGGCACATTCACATGTTCCAGGTAGACATATCTTTTGATAGACCACCATGCAATCCACTCTAGGAGTATTAAAGTGCCAGTATGGACTGAGGCACCAAAGAATCACATTATGATGTCATATAACTTGTCTTATTTGTAGTGACCCATGGGCTTGGAAACAGAACCATTTGCAGCTGTCAGGGAAGTGCACAGTGCCTGACCTTTCCCGCAGCTTCCTCCCCACTGGCCTTCCATGAGAGGATCACCCCTTGGAGTGTCCAGAGATTCCTGTTAAATGCTAAAGACCACAGGAGAATTTGTGAGGGGGAAGATGTTTGGGGAGCAACTTAGTTGTCCTGAGGTGCCCATCACCCTTCACCATTTCAGCAATATGGATCTTCCAAGGATCTGGGAATGGGAACCAGGCATAAGACAGATACATGTAGATGAGAAGAGGCCAGAGTCTTCTCTGTGTAGGCACCATCCAGCCCAAGATGAGCATTGCTCCAGAAACACATGCACTCATAATGCTAAACCCAATCTATTGAGGACTTAATACAAACTGCAATTTTTTTTAAGCATTTAATTCTTACCACTGTCCTTTGTCATCTTATTATCTCCATTTTACAGATAAAGAAACAGGCACAGAGGGTTTAAGTAACATGTAGGAGGTCACACAATCACAACTAGTAAAACCAGGATTAAAGTCCAGTCAGTCTGCATTCAAAGCCTGTGCTCCTGCCCCAAAATGACAAGTAATGACTTAAAGGCAAGAAAAACAGACCCTCCTCTACCCACCATCCTCATACACAGCGTTCCAGCCCAGGATCTGAGCCATTCATTCATTTGCTCTCATATTCATTCATTCATTCATTCATTCATTCATTCATTCATTCATTTCTTCATCACCCATTTAGTGAAGCTCTGTCATGGAATGTCCACACAGAAGTTACAAAGATGAGGCAGGTGTATTTTCTCCCATCTGAAGGGGGATGACGACGTGAAGAGAACTGATGGGCTGTGTGTCCCATGGCCTTACAGGGCAGTGGTGGAGGATGGCCCAGGTCATCCACTCTCTGGGGAGGCAGAACCAGAAGCACCAGTTGGACAACTGCTAAAGAGATGTTTATGCAGCCTCATATGTTAAGTCCTATATTTTGAAAATTTTTTTAATTTTTTATTTAAGATCTTAGATGCTTACCACTGAGTACCAGAGGGATGTAGCCTGATGCCCTTATCAACAAAGTCAGGGATGGTGGCACACAAGGTTTGACTACTGCATACACGGTCACAGTGCTACCTCCAGATGGCCTGAATTCCCCTGCCCTCTCTGGTGGGGAGAAGGGCTGGCAGAGCCATTAGCATGGGCTTCAGCCAATCCTGGCCACTTTGATGCTCCTGGTGCTGACCCAGGGTCCTGGAGGATGGGCTGAGGTGGGGGGGTAGAGATGTTCAGGGCAGCAGCAGCTCCTTTCGATCCACACTGGAACTATTTCAGTATTTCACCACCAATTCATCTATTCCCTTGTGCGCTGACTGAACATCAGCCCTGCTCCAGGTCTCAGTTTCCCCTTTGTAAAGGGAAAGCTCTGGATTCAGGGGTGGTGAGAGGTCATCATGGTCTTGAGATTTCAGGCCTGTAGGCAGGGGGTGAGAGGTTCACTAGGAGTGCAGAAGACCAAGGCTGGGGAGAGGCAGAGGAGAGAGTGGCCTCCCTTCGACCCAGGTGGGAGGTTCACAGAGACACCGTTCCTTCTTCTCCAAGGCAGGACTTGTTAACAGTGAGCTTCAGGCAGTCTGGCACTTGGGACTAACTAGGATGTCACCCTCCCTGCAGCCTCCACTCCATAGACAACATGAGAGGAGTGTGTAAGTATAACTAGGAACAGGCTAGTGTCCTGATATTCTCTGTGATGGAAGGGACAGCCCTCCTCAGAGACCCGGGGGAGCCCAGAACCATGGACAGCCTGAACACAATTTACTTTCTCAGCAGTGACAACCAGAACCCTGGCCTACTAAAGCAGAAATTAGGAGGAGAAAAACCTAAATTCCTGCCTGTACCAGGCTGACTCACTCCAAGGTCCTGCTAGGACTAAGCTAACTTTATATACAAGGCCAAGCAGAGCCCAGAAGGAATGGACTCCAGGAACGGGGATTAGAAGAACAAGTTCTTCTTATCAGCTTCCCCCTTTGAGATTCTTTCCTAGGCCAATATGTCTTTGCTCTGCTCTCATAATTATTTTTGTAACTATTTCTGTAAGTTTGTAAGGATTTTGAAAGTTCCAGTTTTCCATCTGTGCAACACCGAGAAGGTCACAAGACATGTCTGAGCCAGCCTAAAATAGTGACCATCTGCTGAGAGCCTGCTGGGTGGCCCAGCAGAGGTCACCAGGCAGGTTTGAGTCATACACTTGTCACTGTTTGATTAACTGCCTTTGTTCTGCTTCTATAAGCTTGCTAAGTCCGCCCTGTGAGTTTCACGCAGCTGCATGCTTAAAAACCAGGCCCCATCTTTGTTTGGGGCTCAGCCTTTTGGATGCGAATCCACTAGGCCAGCGGCCACTTTAATAAAATCCTCCTGTCTCATCTATTGGTCTCTCCAGTCTCTCGAATCCCACAACACTACAATGGCTCCAAGACAGCATGTGGGATCTAAGTAATAACTTTTTTGTTTGTTTGTTTTTATTTTTGTACAAGACTGGGTCTAGCTTTTTCACCCAGGTTGGAGTGGACTGGTGCAATCACAGTTCACTGCAGCCACCTCCTGGTCTCAAGACACCCTCCCACCTCAGCCTCCCAAGTAACTTAGGACTACAGTTGTATACTACTATGGTTGGCTAATTTTTGTATTTTTTGCAGAGGCAAAGTCTCACTATATTGCTCAGGTTGGTTTCAAATTCTTGAGCTCAAGAGATTTACTAGTCTCAGCCTTCTAAAGTGCTAGGATTACAGGCATGAGACACCATGCCTGGCCAGTAGTTTTGTTTTATTATATTAAGGTGAGGTTTCTACCACATTCTTCTGGTTACAGAAGTAATACATGCTCATTGTATACACTGAAAAATGTAAACAGTATAAAGAAGAAAATAAAAAAGAATATGAAAATCACTAGTGGTCCCATTGCCTACCGTAACATTATGTGCTGCTTCCTAATCTTTACTTCCTCTCCCTCCATGTGTGTCTTTGTGTGTGTGTGTCTGTCTGTCTGTGTGGTTTTTTGTTTGTTTTTTTGGCACATAGTACAATAGCTGACATTTATATCTCCCCGACCAGTGTTGAGCATGGTGTTAAGCAATTGACAAAGTGTATTGTATTTAACTCCTACAGAAAACCTAAAAAGGGAAGGGCAGTATAATTAATAGAATTTTCCAGATGAAAAGACTGGGGCCTGAGTTGAGGTCACATTTTATATATGGCATTATATTGTACTTCAGACACGTAATATAGTAAGTGTCCTGGAGAATCTTGGTCTATTAGTCTGTATAATAACATAAGCATCTTTTGTGGGATTAATAGTTTTTCCAAAGCATGCCTGGGATGTTTGCATTATATTCTAGTGTTTAAATATGTTGTTTATTGCCAGGTGTGGTGGCTCATGCCTGTAATCCCAGCATTTTGGGAGTCCGAGACAGATGGATTGCCTGAGCTTAGGAGTTTGAGTTCAGCCTAGGCAACATGGTGAAACCCCATCTCTACTAAAATACAAAAAAATAGTGAGGCATGGTGGGGTGTGCCTGTATTCCCAGCTACTTGGGAGGCTGAAACAGGAGAATTGCTGGAACCTGGGAGAAGGATTTTGCAGTGAGCTGAGATCGTGGCACTGCACCCCAGCCTGAGCAACAGAGTGAGACCCCGTCCAAAAAAAAATGTTATTTATCAAACCATTTTCATCTTTGAAACATTTTAGTTCTCTTCTTTGGCTTTTTCGCATTATTAATAATACTGTGATAAACATCCTTCAGCAGAAACCTTCATAGGCTAGCTTCCTAGAAGTAGAGGTATTAGGTCCAAGGTTTTGAATTGTTTTAAAGCTATTGATTTATCTGGATAAAATTGCTTCCAGAGATATTGTCCCATTTTGCATTCCAATCAGTGGATCTCACCTTCAGTATTTTGTGCAATTAAAAAAAATAATGTTTCTCCTTTTAAAGATTATATTTAAAATAGCTTTTAAATATGAAAAATTTGTATCTACAAATAAGAGATAGTGACAAAAAATAAATAATAAAATAAACACAAGAGCAGAAAGTAGATTGAAACATTAAAATTCAAATCACAGACCTCTGTTATGGAGAAGACAGCTGCAATAGCTTTTCTGTTCTTTTATCTACATTGGTAGAGTCTTCTTTTAATTAATTTTTACCCCAACTTAAGTGCTGGCTGGGTTGGCAATTTGTTGCTGGGATGGAAAGAAGAAATGTGCACCTTGTCTTTTGCAGGTTATGAGAGCCTTGTCTGTCCTTGTGGTTGTGTGGGTGTCTGCTAGATTATTGTGAATATTGAGCTTTGAAAATAACCTAACAGTCAATCAATTGCTGAGCTTCTATTACCAGTAGTGGGACACAATGTACATCATGTAGAGAGGCAGACTTGTCACTGACAAGGGGGCTGACCCCTGGAAAACCAGCACAGAGCCAGCTCTTCTGTGTGAATCCACTCTCTCCAGAATATACCATAAGTCATGGAAAGAAATAAGAGTCTCAGGAAATGAGACTCTTACCACGATGAGAGGTGAACCTTGAAAAGCTATTTTAGCAATTAGGAAGAGAAGTCCCCTTTTGCATCCCAAATCAAGTAGAGGCCTGCTAGTCCAAACAATTTCTGAATAACCTGAGTCACCTGGGCCCTGAGGAATCCTGGCCTCTTAGTCCACATTTGCAGAAATATCAGGAGGTCAATCAGGAAGCTGGTTAGGCAGCTCAACACAGAGTCAGAAAGCTCCTAGGTATGCAAATAAATGTGCACACTGGAAATTGAGTTCTGTAATTTTTCCATGACCTAGAAAACTATGATGATGAAAATGTTCTACATTCATGCTGCCTAGTTCAGTAGCCACTAGCCACATGTGGCTATTGAGTAATTGAGATGTGGCTAGTACAACTGACCAGCTAATGTTAAATTTTGTTTTATTTGAATTAATTTTAATTTTAATAGTCACCTGTGGCTATTGGCTACTGCACTGGATGGCACGGAGATAAGAAATAATAGAAACCTTTTTTGTTGTTGTTTCAATGGCTAACATTGTCAAAAGCTGAATTCCTGTTTTATGTAAAAATTTGGTTTATATTTTCTCAAAGAAGTGAAGTACAAAAAACAAAACAAAACAAAAGGATGATCAAGCAGAACTTTGGTAAGGAAGGGTGAAGCAGAGACACTTAACTCAGAGTGGGGACAACAGCAATGACCTTGTTTGAAATGCAGCTCCTGTCTGTGTGGCTCTCTGTGCTCTGTTGGGGTGTCAGTTCTTTACTTCTTAGTTAAAGCAGTTATTTCGGTGGTGCAATGCTTTTTTGTTCAATAAGCATGATTTTTTACACAGCTGGTTTATCTCCAGTATGGAAACTCTCTGCTTAATCATCTTGATTTCTCTGGGCTTGTTCCTACTCTGCAGATGTAGGCATGACACTTGTATCTCTCTCTCCAGGCTCTGATCTAGGATGACAGTTTCTATGATGTGCCCACCTACAGAAATATGCAAATTGCAACTTTAGGAAGATTGAAAGAGGGCCCTGCAAAAGGCATCTACAGGCTCCATGTGCTGTTCGCCTTTCTTATTTATTGGTGAAGTGAGTCCTCATCCATTTATTGGGCAGTTGCAAGCAAAGGAATTAACTGACTATGACAATTCACCTTGATGTACAACAATTTAGTCTGTTTGGAGTTTCCACTCTTGGAAAAAACCTAGTTATCCTAATTAAGAATAGTTATAGATAGTATAGTGATAGCTTTTTTTTTTTTTTTGAGACAGGGTCTTGCTTTGTCACTCAGATTGGAGTGGAGTAGCATGATCATGGCTCACTGCAGCCTCAACCTCCCTGGGCTCAGTGATTCTCCCACCTTAGTCTCCTGAGTAACTGGGAATACAAGCACATGCCACCATGCCTGAATATTTTTTCTATTTTGTTTTCTTTTATTTGTTTTGTTTTGTTTTGTAGAGATGGGGTTTTGCCATGTCATCTAGGCTGGTATTGAACTTCTGGACTCAAGTGATCCTCTCTCCTCAGCCTCCCAAAGTACTGGGATTACAGGTGTGAACCAGCATGCCATGCCTATAGTGATACCTTTAAGTAACCCTCTCTTTTCTTCTTTTGAGCAATTTTTCAAAGCAACAGGCACTTTATTAAATAAGAAAGTTGATGTGCTTTCCTAATGCCTGCTAATAAAGAAAAGAACCAAGGAACCTCTGGGATTTCAATGAAATCCCTCCAGATATTATAGGCTACTTGTTACTGACAGGTGTGGTAGGAACTGTAGGTCAAGCTGTGATAGGCAAATAGATCTTGCTGAAGAGGAAGAATGATTGGCTAAGATAATGCCCCAGGACAGCTGGCATACCTTTAGACACACCTAAATTGAATGCTTTCTGAGGAGGAGTGTATTAGTCTGCCTCACATGCTATAAAGACATGCCTGACAATGGGTAATTGAAAAACAAAAGAGATTGAATTGGCTCACAGTTCTGTGGGCTGTACAGACTTATGCTTATAGGGAGACCTCAGGAAACTTACAATCATGGCAGAAGGTGAAAAGGAAGCAAGCACATATTCACATGGCTGAAACGAGTCAGGGAAGGTGCTACACACTTTTTAAACAAGCAGATCTCAGGAGAACTTTATCATCAGACAGCACTAGGGGGATGAGGCTAAACCATTAGAAACCACCTCCATGATGCAAACACCTTCCACTAAGCCTCTCCTCCAACACTGGCAATTACAATTCCACATGAGATTGGGGATGGGGGGTGCACAAATCCAAACCATATCAAGAAGCATTTTAAAAATTGAGGGAAGTTCTAATCAGATGGCAAGTCAGGACAGGGCATTCCATCAACATAACACTCCTCTCAATACATGTCAGAATGAGAGAAAGGAAAAAGTGCAAGGATGAAGAGGGGACACAGCAAAATGACAAGATGACTAACAAGATGACCCCTGTGGAAAGCATTTACTGATTCAACAACCAAATAATGAAGAAAATAAGAGCAAACTTGCGGAGTTTCTATGCTCTTTATGTTTATTAGGGAAGGGCAAAAGCCAGTCCCTCGACATTGTTACTGTTAATTAACATCATCACTGCCTGCTCTTAAGTGTCTAGATACTTTCAAGAATCTAGTATTATCTTCACTTAAATGTTTCTTGGATGTGCCCTGTCATGCATGTGATATTGCAAAAAGATTCTACATTAACCACAGCAAGATGGCTATGTAATAACTGGGATCACTTTAGGGGAGCATATTTCTACCACATTTTGAGATGGAAAATGAAGTAAAGATATCCATTTGTCAATTTCTTCTACATTATGCCAAACATTCAAAGAGATTATTTTATTTATTTCAAAGATGCATACATGTTGAATTAAAATTTAAATTAAGAAAATTTATAAACTGAGTCAAAAGAAAAGTAAGCGAGGCAGTTCTGCATGCCCTGGAAGTGTCAGGCATATATGACTAAAGTATTCGGCATTTGGCCAGGTGTGGTAGCTCATGCTGTCATTCCAGGATGTTGAGAGGCTGAGGCAGGTGGATTGCTTGAGCTCAGAACTTTGAGACCAAGCAAGGCAACGTGGTGGAACCCCATCTCTATGAAAAATATGAAAATTATCCAAGCATGGTGGTGCCCGCCTTTTAGTACCAGCTACTGGAAAGGCTAAGGTGAGAGGATCATTTGAATCCAGGAGGTCAAGGCTGCAGTAAGCTCTGGTTGCACCACTGCACTCCAACCTGGGTGAAAGAGGGAGACCCTCTGCCGAGGACTCTTGGGCTATGACTATACCCATAGGGATTGCCCTCAGTAACCTCACATTTGAGTGGAAGTGGAGATCATATGTACCTATACCAATATGTAGTGAAAAAGGAAAACATAAGAAATCATGGCAGAAATGGCACAAAGTATAAAAGAGGCTTGGTATAATTGAGAGACGCTTTCTGGTGATAAAATTTGAACTGATTTCTGGAGAATGGGTTGAATTCCAATAGAGGGAGATGGACCAAAGTTAATTCTGATGAGGGAAAAGTCTTGAGCAAAATCTAGAAAAGGGAAACATGCCCATTTTAAGTGTTAATGAGGGTCCAGTTGGGGTACAGTGCAGGAAGAGAGTTCTAGTGAAAAGGTAGTTGGTCGGATAGGTCAGGGTCTTGCAGGCAGAGGCAGATACTATCATTATTCCATTTTTCAGATTGGAAAACAGACACAGAGAGCCCAAGGTCACAAAGCCAGAAAATGAATCTGGGCAGTCTAGCGGTAGCACCCTCTTCTTAAATGATCTATTAAAGGGCCTCTTCTCCAGGCACTCTAAAACTCTTCTCCATCTTTAGCTTCCCCAGAGTACAGTGAGGCCCCCTGTCTACCTCACAGGATGGGGTCTCAGAAAAGCAACAGATCCCAAATCATACTAGCTTTTAAATAAAAAAAAATGTAACCCTGCAAAACAAGAAGTGCAGAGGTTGGGAGAGAGCCAGCACTGGTTAATTCAGCAGCTCAACAATAAATCCAAGACCTGGGTACTGGTTCACCTCTCCACACCACCATCCTCATGGGCCAGCTTCTACCTTCTCCTGAATGCTGTGTCCTTGCCTAGTTTTCTCCCTGATTGTAGCTCAAGTGCTACTTCCTGGGGGCAACCTTTCCTGTCTCCCTCTTGGGGTAAGTCTGCCTTCCCAGGCTCTTGCAGCACCCCTGGGTCTGCTGAACTTTCCCTTATTACATAATTCTATGACTAATGTCAGCTTTTTCTGTTAGACTCTCAGCTCCACTAGAGAAGAAATTCTGTGCATTTTTGCTCACCATTGAACCCTGGAGCCTACTACTCAAATATTTGTCAAATGAGTAAATGGTAGCTCTGTGCAGGGCCAAGGAACACAAGAACCACAAGAAACATGCAATCTGCCAAAATACTCATTACAGCTCACTCTCCTCTGGTGACATTTCCCTGAGGCACATTCCTGTTGGTTTCTTCCCCTCAAGAAGCATTCGTCTTTCTCCTTCCTATAAAAGCCAGGATTTTCTCAGATAGCCACACCATGCCCCATGCAAAGAGATTTGGATTATTCTATCATCTTGAGGCATTTCTGTGGAAACTGCTGTCAGTCCAAGTGGCCCATGACCTAAGCTGACCCAAGCCGACTGAAGGGAGGACGTATTCTATGCATGCTATGCAGTTCCACAGGGTGCTGGTTGTCCCAGCTGCTGCTGGTGGTCTTCATGTAGCCAAGGTATCACTAGTGCATATGGAGAAAACAGAGCAACTGGAGAGAAACTGAGTAGGTAAAAGTGGGCAGGGCTTGGTGATGTTTGGGGATATGATATGAGCAATAAGACAGAGGATGGTCTTAGGAAAATCTCCTGTATTTTCCTTTTGGACAATGGTATAGATGAATAAAAGTTCCAATCACTGGGACAGAAAACACTTGGAAAATATGAGATTCATTCAGGCAAGCCTTTTATACACTATTCCATAATCAGTTTCATAAGTGAAAGGGAGTCAGAACTCATTTCTACCTTGTTTGCTCCTATCATACTGTGTTGTACCCTGTTGGATCTACTTATCACATTCCTCCTGCTAGTGGACTTACCTACTAATGTTTGCACTTCTTCCTTGCCAGCCTGGAACCTCTGAGACAGCAGGAGCAGTGTGTGTGCATGCATGTGTGTGTGCACTTTTGTGTGTGTGTGTGTGTAATTGGATTCCCCACAGCACATTATTGTTTTATCCATAGTAAATGGTGGATGAATATTTGCATGATTTAGCTGGACTGCAGCATTGTGGAGGTCAGATAACCACATTTTGATAGACAAGTTGCATTCTAACCTTGAAGCAGACAAAATGCCCATCTTATCAGCCTCGCTCACACCGGCTGTGCCTTTCCTTTGTGGTTGTATGTTTAAGGAGCTCATCTAACAAGCTTCTTAAAAAGGGGATTGGACCTTCGCCAGCCTCAGGCTGCATGGCAGGGTGACTGTGTCTTTGAATATCCCAGATGGAGGCTGGTCACCCTTTTGTCTTTGGGTGAATAGACTACTCAGGAAGGCAGGGAGGCATGCACCCCCCTTTCTTGTTAATGAGTTTGCAATTTATTTTGGCAGATATAAAATAATAATTCAAAGGCAGTGTAGAAGAAGATGGGGACATTACTTTTAATTGTTTAATATTGTTATGACATGACATTTGCTTACAGAAAGAGAGGCAAGCCACCATCTTCAAGGGAGGGCATAGTCATCGACTGTGATCCTGGTGTCCATGTTGGAATATCATGGCAACTATCTCCCAGCACTGAACTCGATTACTTCTGCTGCATTCCCAGTGTTAGCTGAGTTGCTTAATTTACTTTCTTCAATGCCATGTGTGAAAGGGAAGCTAGAAAACTGCACTATGTATGGCTTCGTGCACTGAAAATTTGACATTATCAAAGGAGGCATGATCTTGTCTCTCTCTATCCCTCTCCAAATGTTTTCTATAATTATATTCAGAGGCTCATGGGTCTTACCATGGGTGATCAAGGAAGGGCTGGTAACTCTTTCAACCACAGGTAAAATATTACAAACATCTGAAACCTGTATTTTTACAGGTGAGAGAAATGAGGCCAGAAAAGTTAAGTGCATCGTGTTGAGTACAATTTTATTTGGTGATCAGGCAGCCCTGGGTTCAAATGCTGGCTCTGTTGCTACCAATTAAGCCACTTAACTCCATCTGAGCCTCAGGTTGCCCATCTGCGTAATAAGCAGTAACAGCAGCTGTCCTGCAGGACTACTGTGAGAATTACAACTCAGGCAATGATCATGATATTTCTTGGCAGAGGTGTTCACTACCTAGGTAGTGTTATTATTATTATGTCTAAAGTCACAAAGGGAGATTTTGAGAAAGCTGGAATGAAAACTTGTTCCTCCCAACACTGAGCTTATTAGAGCACACCGTTTTGCTTGAATAAAGCAGCCCTGGAGTCTCTCAGGGGAGGGTGTTTGTAACATCTGCTCAGGCACAGTTTCATTTACTATATACCCAGAGACTAGCACTGTACAAGTTGTGGGGAGATACTCATGTGAGTTGGCAGACTTTTGGTCAAATATTTTCCCTAAATCCAGGTCTCTATGGCATTCTACAGAACACTCTGCATCCTTCTAAGGGACACTGGAAGAGCAAATGGATTGTACAGTGAGTTACAAATAAAATGGCTAATCTCAGCATGAAAGGCTGAGGGTGTTACCTGAATGAGGATGCAGACCCTCCATCTACATACAAGCAAACCTAAGTGACCATGAGCCTGCCGGAAAGAAATCACATGCTATGTAAAGGCTTAGTAACAGTGATGAATATTGAACCTGAACTCCAGCTCCAGAGCAGTTCAGTGGCCTCTCTTCCAGGAACAGAAACCAAAGCAGCTCAGGATTCTTGAAGGCTCTGAAAGGTCAATGAGAATCCTGGTATATGTCAAGACTTTCCCACCAAAGAAGGGCTCCATGTGTAGAGACTTAGAAAGGATTCCCAACCTTGGCCCCTCCAAAACCAGAAACAAAGGTGGGGGACAGCCCAATTAAGTGGCCCTAGAGATTTGCCCAGGAGCTGGAGCCCTCCGGAGAAGTCCAGTTTTCCTATGCAGGGAGAGGACTGGGAGTTCTCTGGTCACAAGTGTTCTCCCTTTGTTTTCATGAAGCTTTGTCTCTTACCTGGTAAGAAAAATGGAACCGCATGCAGCTGCTGAAAACTTTAACCAAAAACTGGTTAAAGATGCTGGCACAAAGAAAGGAGGCCTGAAGAAAACAAGTGACCATGAAAACACATTTAGCTCTTAATCTGACCCATTTCTCATGGGCCAGGCCTGGTGCCAGGAATGCGGTGATGAATAAGGCCTGAGCTGAGATTGTGAGGATGACAGGGAGTCCACCCTGTGGGGATCTGGGATGATAGAAGGGCCCCGCAGATAGGGGACCCCATGGCCAGAAGTTCTGCCGAGTGGAAAAGGGCTTGGAGTAACTGAGGTCAGCTGGATTCCTTAAACACTGCCCAGAGCCCTTGAAGCCATCTAAGGGCACACTTCTCAGGCCTGCTCCGAACCACACTCAACTGGGAATCTTTTAAGGACAGCTGCTCTGTTAGGCTTGCCTGAGATGGTGCAGTTTTCCCCCGCGGCGGCAGAGGCACAGACAGTTAAGAATGCAGGAGCGGGGCCTCACAATGCTTTGGACTAGGGCAAAGGCGGACCCCTGCCTCTCCCCTCCCGGGGCTACGACATGGGAGGACCCAGACCCGTGGATCCATTGACTCTGGCACCAGAGGATCCCCGCTCTCCAGCGCCCTAGACTGAGGCAGGAGAAGACCTCAGACCCGCTCCGCCCTGAACTAGAGCACAGTGGGACCCGCGACCTGCCTTGGCCTCAGGCACTGGAGGACACCTGCAACGCCGTGCGCTAGACTATGCTACTGGAGGACCTCTCCCGCGGCTCAGCCCTGGACTAAGGCACCGGAGGATCCCCGCCCTGCCCCGCCCCGCGGTGTCCTGGACTGTGCCACCGCAGAACCCCCACCCCTCCACACCCTGGACTCTGGCTCCCGAGGACCTGGGCCCTGGCTCGCCCTGAACTACTCCTGCCCCTCAGCGCCCTGGACTGTGGTTCCAGAGGACCTGGTCCTGCGGCAACTTGGGCTACCGCGTGGACTCCAGGACCCCAGTCCTGCCAGGCCCTAGACCAAGACACGGGAGAACCTCTGACTCGCCGCCCCCGGACTAGGGCACCAGAGGACCCACACCCTGCAGTGCCCTGGACTACAGCACGGAAGGACCCCCGATCCGCCAGGCACTGGGCTCCTGCACAGAGGGACGCCCGCCATGGAGGTCTGGACTACCCCTGCCCCACCGCACCCTGGACTACTGCACGCCAAGACCCTCACCTGAACACGCCCTACACTCTGGCATGGGGGAACCCGGCCCCGCAGAGCCCTGGACTCTGGCATTGGAGGACTCCTCGGCTACGTCCTGGACTCCTGCACAAGAGGACTCCTGCCCCGCCACACCCTGGACACTTGCACTAGAGAACCCTGCCCCGTCGCCCCCTAGACTATGGCACGGGAGGACCCTTGCCACCGACTTCGGCACGGTAAGACCCCTGACCCGCCTTGCACTGGATTCCAGCACTGGAGGACCCCCTGCCACGGCGCTCTCTGGACTACCCCTGCGCCACCGCGTCCTGCACTACAGCACAGCAGGACCGCCGTCCCACCGCGCACTGGACTGAGGCACAGCAGGACCACCACTCCCACATGCCCTGGACCACTGCAGGACAGGTCCCCCACTCCGCCGTGCCCTGGAATATGGCACTGGAGGACCCCCGTCCTGCCGCTCCGCGGACTCCACCACCGAAGACCCTCGCCCCCCTGCGCCCTGGACAAAGGCATGGGAGGACCCGGCTTCACCGACCTGTGGGCTATCGCATAGGAAAACCCTCACCTCCACCCCCACCCCGCGCCAGAGACTCTGACAAGAGAGGACCCCTGCCCCCTGCTCCCCGGACTACAGCAAGGCAGGAACCACCCTCCTCCAAGATCCTCACTATGGCAACTGTGGACCCCCGCCCTGGTACGCCCTGGACTAAGTCACCGAAGGACCCCGACCCCACAACGCCGTGAACTCCAGCATTGGAGGACCATTGCCTTACTGCGGACTCAAGCACTGGACTATCGCAGGGCAGGATCCCTGTCCCGCCATGCCCTACACTATGGCACGGGAGGACCCAGCCTCACTGTGCTCTGGACTCCAGCACCGGAGGACTCCTACACGGAGGACTCCGGCTCTGCCACGTCCTGGACTCCTGAACAAGAGAACCCTCGCCCCGCTGCACCTTGGATATAGCAAGGCAGGAATCCCGCCCTGTCGCGCTCTGGACTGTGGCACCTGAGGATCCACGCCCCAGCGCGCCCTGGACTACTGCTCCGCAGGACTCCTGTTCCACCGCACCCTGGACTATGGCACCAGAGGACCCAGCTCCCCGCGACCTGGACTAAGGCACCAGAGGACCCAGCTCCCCGCGACCTGGACTATGGCACCAGAGGACCCAGCCTCCCTGCGTCATGGACTAAGGCACAGTAGGACCCCGCAGCATCGTGTACTCCTGCACAGGAGGAACCTCGCAGGGCTGTACCCTGGACTGAGCTACTGAAGGAGCCTCACCCCTGCCTCACCCTGGACTAAGGCACTGGAGAACTCTTGCTCCGCAGAGCCGCGGACTCTTGCAGGAGAGAATCTCCGCCCAGCCGTGCCCTGGACTGTGGCACAGCAGGGCCCACACCGCGCCATGGACTCCTGTACTGGAGGAAGAGTAGTAATAAATGTCCAGGTTTACAAGTTGAAAAGTAGCAATCAATGTGTTACAATGGATGGATTTGATGTAAAATTACAAATGCTGAAAACATTATGTGTAATTGCCTAGCCAGATCAATTACACAAGACAAAGAAATAAAAGAAATCCATATAGGGAAGGAAGAGGTAAGATTATTTCTGTTTTCTGAAAATATAATCTTAAGATACAGAAAATCTTTTTTTATTATTAATGTTCTGTTTACTTATTTTTATATTTTATAAATAAACTTTATTCGTATAAAACAGGCCAAACATCTGACATTCAAAAATGGCTACTGTTATAAAATCAGAAACATAGAGTGTTGGGAATATTGAAATTTCTAAATCTTTATGAATAACACAATCACTTACGTTATATCCACAAAGAACAGAAAAGAGGCAAGCTTGAAAATGTGAGGATAGAAAGGTGTCACAGTGATGTGTTTTTAGAAACAGTACCTTCACCTCTAAGCACCTTTCGGGTAGGTGATAGCTAGCTCATAGGCACCAGAAATTCATAACAGAAATTAAATTACCCAAAAGGCACAGAAGAAAATGTTAACACAAGTATAAAAGTAATTTTATGTAAGATTAAAACCTATTTTAAAATGCTTCCAAATATGTAAAACTATAGACAAATCCATTACACATTCAGCTTAAGTTTACCATTAAAAAGTGCACACACGATACTCTAACTGTAAATACATGCCACTGTTTATAATGTAGCATTTACCACCACAACACCCAAAGATATTAACAGAAACCAACTCCCTACTAAAATCTAGGGAAAGGTTTTACAGCTAGTGAAATAATTTATTGCAGACCGTATTTATTATAAAGAAACTGTTGGCTCATTCTACTGTATCCACACTCCCTCACAATCTTAAGGGAAATACAATAAATCCACTTTCTTCTCCTAAAATGATATTTAGCACATTTGGCAAGGAGTAGTCCCTTTACTCCTTCTTCTTATCTTTTTTTCTTTTTCTTTTTCTTTTTTTTTTTTTTTTTGAGAATAAACCACTTTCACAAAACTAAGACTCAAACTTTTTCAAAGCTCAGCTTGATTTGCTGGAACTACACAGAGACATGCTTGATCACACAACAGCAACTGTACATCTTCCCATGTCTGGAATACAGAACTGATGGAGGACACTTACTTGCTTAAAATATATTTGATTATTCTGCATTTATGATAAAAATATCATCCAGGGATCATATTCAAGAGGGTAAATTTAGGATTACATGTTTCTAGAACATATAATATGTAATGCCATGCCAAACCAACAACAAACAACATAAAGCACTGAAACTGAAGAACCACTTAAAATTTAGAATTAGGAAATTTCAATCTATAATTGTCAAACAATAAATGAGTTATAATATTTTTCTAATAAGAAAAATATCACCTAAAGTGGAAAGCCAGTATTTAGTCCGGAACTATGAGATACTACATCCTTGATCTGGCTGGCCACCATTTTAAAGACCACCACAGATCTCAAGGCATGAGACCACTCACCAGCAAAATCTATCCCTGCTATTACACCTAGTGTCATCTCAATATGTGGCTGACAGCAAATGTTCTAACTTAATCTGATAGATGCTCCTTTAGCATATAAAAGAGCTTGCTAAGTCCCTATTACCTGTAGCAGTCTATCAACTAAATATTTAAGAAATCATTTCATAGACAAGGTTTATGAATGACTTAGAAGTAAAATTAGTAATTTCTAAACCACTGTAGTGTTTTCTATGTTTTTAGAGATATTCCTAACACAGAGTTTTCCAAGGAGCTGTGAAAACAAGTACAAACACACATGTGTAATTTTGTCATGGATGTTTCTGTACTAATTTGGGGGAGACTGGTGGGCCATAAATAAATGAGATACACATCCTAAAAATAATGGTAAAAATTATCAAGTACCACTTTCAGATGGTTACTCAAGTATCAACTTGGTATGCAAGTAAGTTCACCAATGTCTTCACTTATGATTTCATATTCAAAGTGCTACATCTTACTTAGGTACTGATAAATTTAGAAACCTTTATAATCAACCTCTTAAAGAAAATCCAGCTTTTTCAGATGGTAAACTTGTCTTTACTAACTTTAATGCCTGTAACTATTTCGATATAACCAAAGAAAAATTTTAAAAAATATATTCCTTACAGCTCCTGATTAACTTATTTTTGGATACATTTTGAGGCTAGTAACAAAATTTAGACCAGAATAGGTTTTCATATATCAAAAAAGGAAAGGAACACGGAAAGCACAGATGAGACGTATGGAGGCTCTATACTATAGACCCATCCTTGCTCTGTGCGGGAATCATCACAGGAATCACGCCCATTCGACTTAGATTAGGGGCAGCTACCTTAGCAGGTGGGAGAGTTGGACTCTGAGGAGTGCGTTCAAAGTCTTCACTCGGTACTTGTTTATACTGAGTCTTGGAATATCCCTCCATGTTGGAAGGAGACATGGATTCCAGGGATGAATGATTACTGCCTATGCAGCTTCTGGCAGCGGACGTACGGCTCTTTGGAGGCGGCACATCTTCCCTGATATCGTGATGAACTTACTTTTCGTATTTTTCTTCTCTGCGCTTTTTACGACAGCAAAAGATGATAAGACCAATGAGCACTAGAGCAAGCAAAGTTCCTATAATGGCTCCTGCAATTAGTCCAGCTTTATTTGAAGGAGGGACAACGTTTACACGCAACAGGCACTGATCAGAGCCCACTCCGTTTCTGATGTACAGCTGTATGTCCCAGAGTACTCAGAAGAAGCATTTTTTTACAGATATAAACAGATGAAGTCATTTCTGCTAACCATGAAGTGGGCATTTTCTGTGAGTCAGACAATTTTTGCCACTCATACTGTAATGGAAGTGAACCTTCTTTTGGTTCACATTTTAGTTTAAAGTCACTTCCAATTTCTTCTGATCCATCAACATAACATCTTGTACCTGAAGGCTTAACAAGAACTACCAGCTGAATCTTCTTATTTGCAACACCAGGAGCTTTTTTTCACTTTGCACTGATCTGTGCCAATATCTGACAGCTGTAAATTCGTTACATTTATTGATGCATCACCAGATTTGAGATCATTACTCTTAAAATGTACTCGGCCTTTCAGTTCTGGATAGTAATCATCATAAATTTTGTTTCCAGAATATAAAATCATCACTTGATCCACCTTCTGATTATCAGCTGGTGATATCAGCCACTCGATGTCCAGTGGTCCCTGGTCTTCAGGACTAAGCGTAAATTTGCATGGCAGATAGGTAGTTTCCCCTTTGGCTTTTTCAATCATCTGCTCAGGAGTAGTGATACTCAAACTTCTGGTGAAATCCGCGACTCCGCACAGGAGCACGAAGCGCAGCAGGAGCGCCATGGTGGCTGCCGTGCCGTGGGCGGCGGCTGAGGTAGGCGGCTCTCGCTCCAGGTCCTAGGCTCCCCGCGCCTCGCGCACTCAAGATAGAGAAAATCTTAAAGACTCCACCAAAATAAATGGTTAAAGCTGATAAAGAAATTCAATAAAGTTAATAGTTACAAAATCAACATACAGCTAGCATTATTGTTTCTATACACTAATGACAAACTATTACCTGAAAAATAAAGTAATAAGGCAATTCAATTTATAATAGAATCAAAACAGATATAAAAATATATAAAAGACTTAGGAGTAAATTTAATCAAGAATGTGAAATATTTGCACACTGAAAACTATAGCACATTGATGAAAAAAATTAAAATGGCATAAATAAATGGAGAAACATCCTTTACTGATGGATTCAAAAATTAGTATTGTAAAAGTGTCAATGCTACCCAAAGCAATCTACAGATTAAATGCAACCACTATCAAATTCCCCGAAATAGAAAAATTACTGCTAAAATTTGTATGGAACCACAAAAGACCCCGACTAACCAAAGCAATCTTGAACAAAAAGAACAAAGCTGGAGGTATCAGACTACCCAATTCCAAACTATATTACAAAGCCATAGTAATTAAAACAACATAGCAGTGGCATAAAAACAGACAGGTAGAACAGTGCAAAGGGATATAGAACCCGTAAATAAATCCGTGTGTCTGTGGTCAATTGATTTTTTGATAAAATGACTAAAAATACACAATGAAGAAAGAAAATTATTTTCAATAAATGGGGTAGAAAAAACTGAATATCCACATACAGAAGAATAAAATTTGACTTTCCTTTTGCTCTTTATACAAGTATCAAATCAAAATTAAAGACTTAAATGTAAAACTACTACAAAGAAATATAGAAGAAGACTGTATGACATTGGCCTGAGCTATGATTTTCTGTAGATTATTCCAAAAGCACAGGCAACAAAAGCAAAAACACACGAATGAGATTGCATAAAACTAAAAAGCTTTTCCACGGAAAAGAAGCGATAATAGAATGAAGAGAACCCACAAATGGGATAACACTTTTAAACCATACATCAGATAAAGGGCTCATATAATAATATATAAGTAACTCAACCTACTCAAAAATAAGAATAAAACTATGCTTATTAAAAAAAATAAGCAAAAAACCAGAATAGACATTTCCTAAGGCATACAAAAGGCCAATAGGTACATGAAAAAATCAAAAACATTTCTAATTATCAGAGAAATGCAAATCAAAGCCACAATGAGATATCACCTCACACATTTTACTAAGGCTATTATAAAAAGAGATGGAAGATAAGTGTTGATGAGGATGTGGAGAAAAAGAAACCCTGTACACTGTTGGTAGGAATGGAAATTAGTACAGCCATCTTGGAAAACAGTATGAAGTTCCCTCAAGAAATTATATTTACCCTATGATCCATCAATCCCACTTCTGGATATATGTCCAAAGGAATTTCAATCGGTATGTCAAAAAGAGACATCTGCAATTTCATGTTCGTTGCAGCATTATTCATAATACCCATGAATTAGAAACAACCTAAGTGCTTATCAACTGAAGAATAGATAAAAATATGTGGAAAAATTGGAACCCTTCTACACCACTGGTGAGACTTTAAAATGTAAAACAGTCTGGCAGTTCTTCAAATGGTTAAACATAGAGTTATCACATGACCCAGCAATTCCACTTCTGTGTGTTTACCAAAAAGAAAATAAAACAAATGCTACACAAACAGTAGTACACAAATGTTTATAGCAACACAAAGTAGAAAACAACAGAAATGTTCATCAGCTGAGGAGTGGATAAATAAAATGTGGTGTGTCCATAAAACAGAATCTTATTTAGCAAGAGAAGGTAAAAAACTGTTAATGCATGCTCCAAAACGGATGAACATTAAAAATACGTTAAGTGAAAGATGTGAGTAAAAAGTGACTATGTGTTATTATGATTCCATTTATGTGAAATGTCCAGAATAGGCAAATTCATAGTCAGAAAGTAGACGAGTGGTTGCCTAGACTAGGAGGGGTTTAAAAAAGGCTGGAGAAAATGGGGAAAGATTGCTAATGGGCGCAAGTCTCTTTTAAGGAGAATTAAAATGTTCTAAAATTATATTATGATGATTATTTGTCCATCCAGTTAATATACTAAAAGAATTTGAAGTTTGTACTTTAAATGAGTGAATTACACAATGTATAAATTATATCTCAATAAAGCTGTGGAAAGTTAAAAGTATATGTAGGATGCATACAAAAATACTGCTTATCTTTATAAATGAATGAAATTCTGTCATTTGCAAAAACGTGGATGGATTTAGAGGACATTATGCTAAGTAAAATAAGCCAGACACAGAAAGACAAATATCTCTTAATATCACTTATATGTGAAATCCAAAACTGTGCACTCATAGAAGTTAAGAGTGGAATGGTGGTTTATCAGAGGCTGAGCAGGGTGGGGGGCAGGGGTGGAAAAAGGGGAAATATTCAATGGGATAATGCTTCAGTTAGGAGAAAGACATTCTGGTGATATGGTGCACAGCAAAGTGACTGCAGTTACTTATAATGTAGTGCATATCTTAAAAGTGCTAAAATAGTACATTTTAAATGTTTCACCATAATGTAATAAATATCTGAGGTGAAGGATACGTTATTTAGCCTAATTTGTCCATTTCACAATATTTACATGTATCGTACCACATTGTACCCTATATATATTTATTTATCAATAAAATCAACATTTTAAAAAGTGAGAAACACAGATGTGCTAGATCTTCATCTAAAGACATTTCTGAGAAAAATGTATCTGTTTTCTTTCAAAAGAAATTTACACTTAATAGATATTATGGTAACTAAAGTAAGGCAGATAATTTTGGCCATCAGCTTATATTATGGGATAATCTCTTTTTGCTGACCTTGTAAAAGCTGTGGCATATTAACAAGTAGGAACATTTTTTTATCACGATCAGGTAAAGGTTCTGCATGTTTCTATTTTGAATAATATTTTCCCCAGGAATCACAAAGTGTGAATGCCTTTTCTTTCAGAGGTCTAGCCCTAAATGGTTTAGTCAATTACATCATGCATTCTGAAATAAGTACTGGTGCATTTGGGAAGGTACTATATACAATTGTGTTTTAAATTTAACTATCATATAAGTCTACTTTTCTAGTTAAGAGTCTATATTTTATAGAGGCCCTCCATATATATAAGAGATTTTCTGATAGTATATCCATTAGATTTCAAAGATAAGTAAAGGAACAATTTTGCTTTTATTTATTATTATTATTTTTTAAGGCTAGTCAAGTGAAGCAGTGGGAGTGGAGAAGGAACTGCTTTAATTTTTATATGTTGGTGTTACAGGCTATATGTGACAGGCTATATATTTTTCTGCTGAATTTTAGAAACAAAATGAAATATTTATTTCATATTTCATTAGATTTAGGGATGATTACATTGAGGGGTTGGGACTAGACTGAAGGCACCACATCATCAATCACTTGGAAACAATATTTTGCCTATGTGTTATGTTATATTGACAAAAACTTTTATTGTTGCAGGCAATATAGCTCCCTATTGAAATATGTGAAAAATGTAGAGAAAAAAAGACAATATTTGCTATCAAGGGATATTTAGGCCTGAGATGCATAATGCTAATATTCAAAACATACACTTTTTAAAAATTAGATTTAAAATGTAAATTGAAGCAGGACATTTAGAAAAAGACATAATGTCTACTACAAAAGTCCTGGGTTAGAAAAGTTAAAATGCTAAATGAAAAAATAATGCTTCTTGGGTGGCTTAAAATCAAATATGAGACAAAAGATTACTCAGAAATTTTTCTAAGATTAAAAACATGTATACAGTTTCTTTGATATAAAATGAAATAAATGTCTGGATATAACTTTAACAGAATAGAATAGGGAGACAAGGGCAAAGAGCAGGTGTATGCAGAATAAAGTGAACATATTATTGTAATAATGAGAGGGACAGAGTTGAATGATTGCTCTTGGAGACAAGGGATTTTGATGTCTAAGTTAATGACAAATCTTTTGTTTGCAAGTTAAAAAATGTAACTTAAACCTGGTGAAGGAATAAAGGGTGGTTGGGGGGATGATTCTTTGTACACTAAACTTATTTTAATGACTAATGAATTAATCATAAGTTCAAATGATTTTATGGAGGCCCTTTCTTTATTTGATATTTCTGGACTCCTTTTTTCTTTGTATGTGCTCCATTTTTACCTACTTCAACAATTTTTACCCTCAAAGTTTAGGAAACACTGTAACCAAATGTTCCAACATGATGTAATCCCTGAAAGCATTTGCAGCTGGGGGAGTAGGGGAAAAGGGGTTTCTCTTTCAACAAATGCATGTTAATCTCAGTGAAAACTCAGAAGTTTAAACATGGTCCCCCTTGGGTCATGTGGCTACCCCAGGACCAATCATTGCACCAGACATAGGAGATAATCTCAAAAGTCAGGTTGGAGTCAAGGTTCTTCAGTGGAATTTCCACTTTAGAAATCAGTTTTGTCAGGCTTTGTGTTTGCATATTACAGACATGATAGCCATATAGCTATCTATTCCACTTCCGGTAGAGATGAAAACCTAAGAGCATATGCCCATTCAAAGGATTTTACATGAATCTTCACAGCAGCTTTACTTGCAACAGCCAAAACCTGAAAACAGTCCAAATATCCATGGACAGGTGAATTTGTGACTTATAAACTTACTATGGTATCTGTATATAATGAAATAATACTCCCTAGTAAGAACAGAACAATTGATAGATGTAGCAACATGAATAAATCTCAAAAATAGTGATGCTGAGTGACCAGAAAGTATACATACCCTATGATTTTATGTGTTTGGAAATAAAAACTCATGGATAGTGACTGGAAGTGGATCAGTGGTTGCCTGTGGATGGAATGGGGATAGGCAGGAAAAAGTGAGTAGAAAAAGCACAAGGAAACTTTGGTGGTAAAGGTAATGGATATGTTTGCTATTTTAATATGTTGTTGGTTTTGTAGAGCTACAAATACCAAGAATTATCAAAATGTACAATTGAAGTACGTGCAGTTTATTGCATGAAAATAAACCTTTTAAAAATTAACCGATAACAAATTTACTTACATGACCAGAAAGGTCTTGAAAAACTCTCCTGTTTTCTCCCCTATTTTTATTCTTGCATGCCCTTATAGCCTGTGTTAACACATTTCTCATCTTACCATTCTTTAGTGTCTACATTTCTCCAGGTCAATATAACTACCACCATAATTTCTTGGTTTCTCTTTAGTTCATTAGTAATTATGAGTAATGTATTGAAATGTTAAAGATATGTTCATGCATTCAGAATCCTCTGCTCTCTGATCCACATAATAGTGAATTATGCTGTCAATAATTACACAGTATAGTGCTTTTTTTTCTTTTTTGAGACAGAGTCACACTTGGTTACCCAGGCTGGAGTGCAATGGTGCATTCTGGGCTCACTGCAACCTCCACCTCACAGGTTCAAGTGATTTTCCTGCCTCAGCCTCCTGAGTAGCTGGGATTACAGGCATCTGCCATCATCCCCGGCTAATTTTTGTATTTTTATTGGAGACAGGGTTTCACCATATTGGCCAGGCTGGTCTTGAACCTCTGACCTCAGGTGACCTGCCTGTCTTGGCCTCCCAAAGTGCTGGGATTATAGGCATGAGCCACCACACCCGGCCAGAATATTGCTACTTTTGCAAATAGCTACAATTGACCCTGATCTGGACTTTGAGTTGATCACAGCTTTGTAAAAGAGGATAGCATTGTAAAACTACAAAATTAGCCTAATAATAAATAACATAGAATGCTTTCAGTATAAGAAATAATACTATCCTAAGCAAAAATAAATAAATAAATAAAAGTGGAGGAATTATATTATCTGACTTCATATTATACTACAGAATTATAGTAACCAAAAGAGTAGGGTACTGGCATAAAAAGAGACCCATAGATCAATGGAACACAATAGAGAACCCAGTAACAAATCTACATACCTACAGTGAACTCATTTTTGACAAAGGTGCCAAGAACATACACTGGTGGGAAATGATGTTGAAAAAACTGGATATCCATATGCAGAAGAATGAAATCAACTTGCCAGAATTATATCATTGTGCTTTGCATCTAGTTTCACTTTTCCAAAAGCCTATACAGATTTCAGATGTTTAGAAAATAGCTCTTGTTTTCCTTCTGGGTAATCTTTTTCATATTTCATATTTCATTAGATTTAGGGATGATTACATTGAGGGGTTGGGACTAGACTGAAGGCACCACATCATCAATCACTTGGAAACAATATTTTGCCTATGTGTTATGTTATATTGACAAAAACTTTTATTGTTGCAGGCAAATTTCCTAGGACCTCCCTTCTGCGTCTTTTAAAAAATGAAAACAAAATCAATGTAGCGCAGCAAGCCAGGGAGTCTGCTTTGATTGACTTATGGCCATAGTCACCCAGCAGTTCCTTCAGATGTGGCTTCCCAGGTCAGCCACTGAGCCCACCCCTGTCTTCCTGCCTGCAGAAGTGGCTCTGTGAGCCATTTGAGGAGAAAATGGGGGACTTTGGGCTTCAGCCCGAGGAGAACAGGGTGGAGATGGAGGAGCCCCTGGGCGTCCGCAGGTTAACTGAAAACATGAGAAAACACAAGCACGGGACCAAGTCTGTCACTAACCTGTAAAAAACTCTCACCAAGCCGACTGGGCACTTTGTCTGAGCGCCTGCCTTTGCCACCACTGTGTGCGGGAATGCCTGGGGCACGACTGGGCCATCCCAGTGTTCTTATGTCTATACATTCCGAGGTTACCCCTCAGCAAAACGCCAGAGGCTGGCAGACACAGCGGAGCATCCTGCAGTAGGGATCCGAAGCCGTGGAATCTCCAAAGGACCACTTGACCGCGTCCCAGAATCTCCAGCTCAGGCCGGACATTGCCCAGAAAGCCCACATCGTCTTTGGCAAGACCTCCCGGATTGTGGTTTTGATTTGCATTTCTCTGATGGCCAGTGATGATGAACATTTTTTCATGTGTCTGTTGGCTGCATAAATGTCTTCTTCTGAGAAGTATCTGTTCATATCCTTCCCCCACTTTTTGATGGGATTGTTTGATTTTTTCTTGTATATTTGTTTAAGTTCTTTGTAGATTCTGGATATTAGCCCGTTGTCAGATGGGTAGATTGCAAAATTTTTCTCCCATTCTGTAAGTTGCCTGTTCACTCTGATGGTAGTTTCTTTTGCTGTGCAGAAGCTCTTTAGTTTAGTTAGATCCCATTTGTCAATTTTGGCTTTTGTTGCCATTGCTTTTGGTGATTTAGACATGAAGTCCTTGCCCATGCCTATGTCCTGAATGGTATTGCCTAGGTTTTCTTCTAGGGTTTTTATGGTTTTAGGTCTAACATTTAAGTCTTTAATCCATCTTGAAAAGTTAATAATAATAAAGATAATAATATGGAAGAAATTTAAAAAAAACCTCCCAGAGAGCAGGAACTTGGTCGGGGCGCGCGGCCTGAGATCACCCCAAGCTCTGGGTGCCTTCCTATCCTTCTGCTTCTTCCTTGGCCGCTTTAGGGGGCGCGCCTCGCCGTGGGTCTCCCTGCGGGTGGTGCAGTGGTGCTCCTGGATGTCACCTCCAGGCGCTTTTGAGACTGCGGCAGGCACCGGGCACCAGGCACCTGCGGATTGGCCTCCCCAGACCGGGCTCAGGGACCTCCAGCGCTCCGCGGTGCGGGCTGCAGGCGACCTCAACGTGGAGCTGCTGCCAGCGCCACAGGCCCCAGGGGAGGCCCAGGATGCTGCTTCCCCGCCCCAAGAAGGGCAGTTTGGAGGAAAGTCTTTGGCCTGATGGAAGGCGGCGCCCATCGGGGGCGGGGCTGAGAACTAGGCTGGCGCCGCTGCCTGGTAAGCGGGGACCAAGAGGCCCACGGCCTCCATCAGGAAGCAGGTGCTTCTCCAAATCCCGGATTTCCAGGAGGAACAACGGCGTCAAGCTGGCTGACACCAGGAACACCCAGAAGTCCCCGCTCCTGTCTGTCCTTCCGCACTCAGGAGCGGGGATGGCCACAGGGACACCATCCGCCCACAAACCGCTGGCGTTTGTTGCCATGGTGCGCGGAGATGCGGTCCCCGAGGAGGCCACTTTCGGCCAGGACGCCGGGATCGTATCAGCGGCAGCATCCCGCGCTGACACTCAGTATTGACTTTCCCCGGACATTGCTGGATTTTTTGCTTTTTAAAACAACTTTGCAGTGGGAGAACAAAAAAGGGCATCCTCAGAGCTTTTGCAAAATTCTCCTGGACCTGTGGTTCCATGGTGTTCACCTCTGCGTTTTACGGACCACTAATTGGCCAGAGCTCCTAAGGCCTATAAGGGCCCCACCCAGCGCTTTAGACACCCCTGAGGGACATTCGCGGCTCAGGAGGATAAAGGTCCTCAGGGGCCTGCCGCGAGGAGGACATGCAGCCCCTCAGCCACCACATCTTCCTCCATTCCAGCCTGGAAAGAGAGACCTTGCCCTCCACCTTACAGGCCTTCATGACCTTGGGACCCACTCTAGAGGCCACGCGCATTTCCACTGCCAAAGCAATGACACGAGATGGAAAGAAATTCTTGGCCAGGCGCGGTGGCTCACACCTGTAGTCCCAGCACTTTGGGAGGCCAAGGCGGGCAGATCACGAGGGCAGGAGATCGAGACCATCCTGGCTAGCAAGGTGAAACCCCGTCTGTACTAAAAACACCCAAAAGGCGGCCGGGCTTGGTGGCGGGCTCCTGTAGTCCCAGCTACTCGGGAGGCTGAGGCGGGAGAGTGGCGTGAACCCGGGAGGCGGAGCTTGCAGTGAGCCGAGATCGCGCCACTGCAGTCCAGCCTGGGGGACAGAGCGAGACTACGCCTCAGAAAAAAAAAATTTTGCCTTCACTATATGCCTAAGTAATTTCTCTATTAGAGCCCAGAGTCGTGGGGCCCACACCGCCAGCTGACACATGAAAATGTGGCAACGATGTGGTGGTGTCTCTGTGTGGCAGCGTGGTGGTGTGTCTGTGTAGTGGTGTGTCCGTGTGGCAGAGTGGCTGTGTGGTGCTATGTCCATGTGGTGGTGTGTTCATGTATCTGCATGGTGATGTCTCCGTGTGACAATGTGTTTGTGTATCCATGTGACAATGTCTGTGTGTCCTTGTGTCCACATGGCAGTGTCTGTGTGGTGGTGTCTGACAGTGTGGAGGTGTGTCCATGTGACAGTGTGGCGGTGTGTCTGTGTGTGGCAGTGTCCATGTGGCAGTGTGTTTGTGTGTTCGTGTGATGGTGTGTCCATGTGACAGTGATGTCTCTTGTGTGTCTGTGTGTCCCTGTGATAGTGTGGTGGTGTGTCCATGTGGTGATGTCTCCGTGTGTGTGTCCCTGTGATAGTGTGGTGGTGTGTCCGTGTGGATTTCTCCGTATGTCTGTGTGTCCGTCCATGTGAATGTGCCAGTGTGTCCATGTGACGGTGTGTCCGTGTGGTAATGTCTCCGTGTGTCTGTACATGTGACAGTGTGGTGGTGTGTCCGTGTAACAATGTGGCGGTGTTCCCTTCCCGGCTTGCGAAGCTGGCGTCTTTCCCTCTCAGCCCAGGACGCCCCAGGAGACCCCCAGCTTGGAGGGCAGGAGGTGGCTTCTGTGGAGGGAGGCGCAGGGAGCCCCAACAGCCGAGTTTGTGGGGTCCCCTGGGGAGTGAGGAGAAAGGCGCCCGGGCAGCCAGGACAAGCCTGGGCCTGCCCTAAGGAGGTGACCCACTCCGGGCCTGCATTTTGGGGCGAGCACTCCAGCTCTGTCATCTTGTCCTAAGTCCTTTGTGTGCCGTGGAGATTGCTGAGTTTTGAAGAAGGGAAGGTCATCTTTGTCGCGGAAAGCCTGATGTGTTTCTCTATTGCTGTCACTTTTCAGCCTCATCGCTGGTGAAACATCAAACATTGGGCACATTCTGCCAAGAAAACTCCCGGAAGAAAATGTGGGGACTGGCAGTATCCAACCAGAGGAGTCACACACAGATTTCTGTTTGGTTGGAGATCGGCCGTTTTTCCCTGTGGGTGGGGGAAGCGGAGCAGCTCTGCAGCGGGAAGGAAGGTGGGTTCTGTGCGGCCAGGAAGGTCCTGGCCCGGGGCGGAGGGGCGAGAGGGGATGTGCGGCGAAAGGCTGTGCAGGGCAGCGGGCAGTGTGCATCGCCCCTACTGCCGGGCGCCCAGGAGGAGGACAGGTCCCGGCCTGGCGGGAGCAGAGGCGGCGGGGCTGGAGTCCCCACACCGGGCTTGAGGGCCGGCGGAGCCGCAGGCTGTGGCCGAGGGGGACTCCCGGGCACCTGGTGGGCGTCCCCATGACCAGGATACACACCGGGCTCCGGAGGCCAGGCGGACCAAGCTAGGGGTGCCAGGGGAGGCTCGAGGTTCCCGCGGCGGGAGGTGGGTCCCTGGACCCTGGTGTCCTGCTGCTGTCCCACACATGGGCCGCCTTCGCTCAGGGGCACCCCGCCAGGGTCGCCTATCTGGGACCTCAGCGCAGCTCCTAGCGGGCGGGAGGCTGAGGCAGAGACCTCGGGGCCCAGCTGGGTCTGCAGTTTCCACCACTCGTGACGCAGGGCGAGCTCAAGCTGTGCCGCCCAGGCAGGAAACCCTCCGACCTTGCCATCTTTGGCGCCAGCCTTGGTGACTGTCTCCAGCTCAGCTTCAACACCTTTCAACAGTTCTGTGTTCTCTATTATCACAAGAATTCTTTCTGTATTTCCTATCCTTTATCAAATAGGCATTTAAATATGCATATGGAGTGATATCACAGTTGAAACATTAAACAATATACAATTTCATGTGTCTTTTTTTGTTTAATGTATAATTTTCTAAAAAGTAAAATTATGACTCTACTGCAAATATAAGATAAACACATATCAACAATGTTTTTCAACTCAATAAGCGATGAGGGTTCCAGTAAATAGGTTCAAATCCTTGCAAGGAACATTAAAGGAGCTTTACAGCCAGTGTTAAAGTCAGATCGTTGGGTACTTACAGTACTGGTTAGTATCCAACATAGCCAGAAGCTGTCATCTTTGTGAGTTCTCTCTTCCATGGCACAGAAATAATGTGTTTTTCTACTGTACAAAATATTTATCTTTTCTACTACTTCTGCACATAAAAATATTGCTAGTCAGAAAAGACCAGGATTGCACTGAAAAAAAATCTCAGTAATATCTCTCACCTGTATTCATACTTCTTTTCTTCCTTTATGAAATATCTTTCAACTGCATTTTCTATCTGAAGGTTTATAGAGAGAGGAAAATGAATAAAAGCATAGTAAGTGAATATTTGGTAACATTTTGCAGCTTTATTCATGTCTAATGAACATAAAACACACTTCCAATATTTAAAGTGTAAATGAGATGAATTTGATATGTACATGTGCCCATTAAACAATCACCATGAAGGGGACAATGAGCATATCCAATACTCTCAAAGCTTCCTAGTTCTCTTTTGTAATGCACACTCATACCTCTCAGGTGTGAAGTATTGAGCTTCACACATACACACAAATATATACTGGGATATCTAATTGTTTCAGAAGCATTTGTTGAAAATGTTATGTCCATGAATGGTCTAAGAACTTCATCAAAAATTAGCTGATAGCTGATATACATGTGTATATCTATATTTGTACTACATTGTCTTAAGTATTACTGTAACGTTCTAAGTCTTGAATCCAGGTGCTCTTGATTCTCCAGCAGCACCTGGTTTCAAAGTAACTGTTTCCTTTCAAAGTAATTTGCCATTATAGGTCCTCTACCCATCGATGTACATTTCAGAATTTTAGTTTCTCAATTTCTAAAATAAGAAATCCAGCTGTGATTTGATTGGAATTCTTATAGATCAATGTGGGAAGAGTAGACATCTTAACAATATTGAGATTTATGACTCATAAATTCCATTTATTTAGGTCTCATTTATTTTAGCAATATTTTGTAGTTTTGTAGTTTTCAAATGTTTCTCTTTTTTGCTGGTTTATCTCTAAGTACATATTTTGATATTTACAATAATATCAAAATTATGGTAATATTAATGCAAATGTTGTTTTATTTTTTCCTCCATTAATTGTCAGGTAGTTTCAAATCATAATTTAATTGTATGATAAAACTGAATTTTGTGAGAAATGTATATTGTATATATACTGTTTGTCAGTTTGGCAGATTGACTGCATTATCATATCATAATTTAAAATTGCACTAATTACCACTCAGCCTCCTCTCAAGGACAATATATCAAAATATATAGCATGTTTCAGTTTATTTCGCATCATGAAACTCTCATATTGCACTTACTTTTGGAAACCTGGAATAATAAAATAATGTAAATATCAGTTCACAGGCGACATATGAGTACATGCGACAATTTTCTAAATATCTACCTATCGCTCTTTAATTCTATGTTAATATTGTCAATTTTTTCCTCCTCTTGAAACTCTGTTATGCAGCTTATTGACTTTTGGTTCAATTCCTTCCCTGTTTTTCCCCCAATCTACTTTCTAATATTTTACTGATGTTGTGCTCCTTTTTATCTGGACACTTTTAAAAAGCTGTGTAATTTCTCCTTTGTATTAAAATGCAAATCCATATCCAAAATAAATGAGCGGAGGGACCAAACAGATGTTTGTGCAGTGTGTCCATTAGCAATATTATTCACAATAATCAAAGGGAGGGAGCAGCCCATGTGAATATTGATGGATGAGTGGTTAAACAAAATGTGGTATATACGGCAACATAATAATATTCAGCCTTAAAATATATTCTCACACATGCTACAAAATAGTTGAAACTTGAAGACATGCTAAGTGAAATAAGCCAGTCAGAAAAATTCAAACATTCTATCATGCCACTTCTATGAGTTACTTAGTGAAATTTGTAGAGACAGAAATAGAATGGTGATTGCTAGGGGGAAGGAGAGGGAGAGGAATGGGAAGTTGGTGTTCAATGAGTAAAGCATTTTAGTTGGAGAAGAAGACAAGTTTTGGAGGTCTATGGTGGTGACTGTTGCACAATAGTGCAAATATACTTAATGCCACAAAACTGTGCACTTAAAGTGATTAAAAAGGTAAATTTTATGTTGTGTATATCTTTCCAGAATTATAAACCTGCCATCACAGTATAGAAATAGAATATATTATATAGCGTTAGGTGATGATATTTTACACATTTGCACATAATTAGAATTTCAAAGCCTTAATTTCAGATAAGGTAGTCTAAGACATAACAATATTGATGTAAGAAAGCCATAAGCAATGTTTATTTTCAATCAGATTTACTAAAAAATTTTATTGAACTGGTCAATTTTCTTTGCCAATATTACTGTATTCTTATTTCTAGTAATAGAGGTGTGAGAAAGCATCAAGGAAACTTAAATTGCATTCTCATACTGACTGCATACAATAATTCTGAAAACAGCAGAAGTTATGTATATCCCCCATAAGTAAAACATGAGTAACACAACACAACAAAAATTAATAGGAGACAATTCAAATAATGGTGACTTGTTATTCTTATCTAGTTAAGTACTATTCTTTTCTAACAGGAATTTGCTATTTCAAATATATTTTCTGAGATGTCTACATTTATATTTTGAGATGACATACAAACTTGAGTCAATGACATAGAATTTTACAAATCAAGAAGCTTATTCTGGCGCCATTTCTTTTGACATTTTCTCTAAACTACTAGAGCGGCATTAATGATCCATAAATTATATTATCTACATTTACAGCATTTAAAATGTGTTCAGCATGAAATATTAGCTACAGGGTAAGCTAAATAAATTAAACATGGGATAAAGATTTATCCTTAAATATAAATTACAAGAAGACTTTGATATTAGTTTTTCACAAGTGAAGCATTCTTATAAAATGTCATAACCTTTTTGGGGAAACTCTGGGAAAAATGGAGAAACTCTGAAGGGTTTTAAGTATCTTTCCTGAAGCTACAGACTCCATAACCTCTCTTTACAGGGAGCTCCTGCAGCTCCGACAGAAATGAGTGGCTGAGATTCCTGGTTGCACAGCAGAGCTTCTCATCCAAACCCTTTCCCTTTTTAGTGTCTGTGTATCAGTATAAAAGTTCTATAAACTGTAGTTACTTATTTTAATCCCAAAGCACAGTAACAATATATTTCATCCAAGGGTTGGCAGTTTCTGTGAGTGTTTTGTCTAATTCTCCAAAACTCTATCTACAGGATTCCAAAGAGCCTAAAAAGTAAAATATTTTAAAAAGGGGAAAGGGAGAAAGGGAAAGAAAATAAAATTAATAGCCCATTCTGTCACTGTTATTAAACACCAGAGTACCTTTCTGCTAATCTAATTAAAATTAGTGACATCATTTAACATTTATGTCTTCAACAAAAGTTTGGAATCCTGAAAAAGACATTTAATTTGCTAATAAATATATTTGAATCGAATTGAAATCCTTACATATTACTTTAAATAAAGAACACAAGATGATTTATGATGTAGAAAATTCTATCCCTCATTGTCCAAAATCTAATAGTTAAATTGAACTTGTTAAATAATATTTTTGGCCAGGCATGTGGCTTACACCTGGAATCCCAATACTTTGGGAGGCAAAGGCAGGTGGATTGCTTGAGCTGAGTAGTTGCAGACCAGGCTCGGCAACATGGTGAAGCCCAATCTTTACAAAAAAAAAAAAAAAGAAAAAGAAAAAGAAAATTTAGCCGCGCGTAGTGGCTTGCCTGCCTGTAGTCCCAGCTACTCAGGAGGATGAGGTGGGAGGATCACCGGAGTCTGGGGAAGCTGGGGCTGCAGTGAGCCATGATTGTGCCACTGCACTCCAGCTTGGGCAACACAATGAGACCCTGTCTCAAAGAAAGACAGAAAGACAAGGAAGGAAAGAAGGAAGGAAGGAAGGAGAGAAAGGAAGGAAGGAAAATTAATAGTTTTGGTGCCAATAATCTTTATGGAATTTTGCTTTAATGAAATAGATTTAACTAAGTAGTGACATGATCTGCTTAAGTGTATTGACCCTAGCAATCAGAGGCCTCCGTATCCCCACAATGACTTAACAGTTACATTTGACAAGCCTTGATTCTCCTAACCTACGCACAGCATAGTCAGAATTTCAGAATTCCAACTTTCCCTATGCTATTTGGGCACATTGCTTAACTTCTCTAAGACTTGATATTTTTACTCTTAAGATACTACTAATAATAGTACCTAGTTTTTATGATATAATGTGCATCAAAAGCATTATACTTTCAGGCAGATGGCAATTTCTCAATAAATATTTGCTAATGTTTTAGTACAAACAGGAAAATTGGATTATGATATTTATGACACTGTTGATTCTCCTTCTCGAAACATTTGTTTCTAAAACTTGCTTTCAAATTAGAGCACTATTTTGTATTCAGAATGAAAATACTATATGTTCAGATTTTTAAAAAAACAGTATTGCATGAATGTTTTAATTAAAATATTCCTAAATGAGCTTGAGGAAGGAGGACAGGGGAGATAAGTAAAATAAGGCTTTGTGGCATAGGAGACATTTGGTGGAAATCTTTCAGCTCAACTAAGATTTGAAAAAAAAAGAGAATTTTTATAAAAAATGTACAGGCAGGATTTACCCTGATGAGCTTGTGGAGAAAATACAGAGTCTAACATAATTCAAAAGAGACTAATCAGTCAAAGTAGTTTTGAAGGAATATCTTGAAGAGAGAGAACATAAAATGAAGATCAGGTATGTAGTTATTTTAATAATCTATCCATGAGATAAAAAGCATTGGGTTTTATTTTATTTGTCAAAAAGGGACAATAGTTCCAAGAACCATTCTTTGTTCAGCCTAAAGAGGTTTTTACATTTTGAACCAGCGACATATTGTGCTAAGTAGGATAATATCCAAATTTGTGTCTATATCAACAATTTTGTTCTCAATTAAAAACACTTTATTCACACAACTGATGATTTTCTGCATTTGATTTAGTGCTGAACTGTCAAAGGGGGACTAACAAAAACAAAATATTAGAGTTGCAAGCAGTGTAAGTGGAAAATAATGATCATATTGAACTCATCATTACTGAAATAAGAAAACAAAGCAAAAAATAAATAAGAAAAAAATTGACTACATGAACATTTGCTTCTCTCCTAAGAATCAAAACCCTTAATTTTCTGTGGCAAAAAAGCATCTGGGTCCATGAACCCATGCAAAAGTCTACTGTTTCTGGGAGATAAGAAGAAGCAAAACACATCAGCTTTCAGAGAAGGTTAAGAAACCTCTCATACCCTACCCTACCCTACCTGACACCAGGCAAAGGATCACTGCTTCTGGGAGAGGGATGCAAGAAAAATACTCCTCCATCAGGAGAGGAACAAGGATTGTTTTGGGGCCCAGGATTTTGCACTAATGCAGAGTCGTGCTACTGTGGTAAAGGTTTGGAAAGTCTCCATCCAGTGACCACAGACAAAGGTACATTGTTCCTATGGAAGGAAAAATAAAAGAGTTTGTCCTTATTGTGGGGTTGAAAACTTGCAATGATATAAATCAGAGGTTTTCTACTACTGAGGTGGGAGGAGGGTAAGCTATTATTTCTTCTGCAAAAAACAACACAGGTAAGTGACAGTTTGACTCCCACTAGAATAAGAGTCAAGAAGTGCTAAAAATACCCCTTCTGTGAGTGTCCAATGATGAAACTGGCTCAAAAATAACATGAATCATCCCTCTGTCACCAACCTTAATTTTTTGCCTAGTCACACACACACACACACACACACACACACACACACACACACACACAATGATGTTCTACAGTTAGAGAGGAACAAGAAAGTGGAGAGAGACCCTCTCTATAACATAGGTTGTAAGGACTACCGAAAGCTAACTGTGGAACAGGATCATTGGCATATGCTCTCCAGAGTCTAAGGCCCCACACAAGGCACATCATATAGCAGCCTACTGCTGGAGAAATCTGAGTTACATTGGTCACTGAATGTTTCAGACACCGCAGCAAAAAGCAACCTTTGTTCCTGCCCACACTAATAGCATGACATAAAAATGAAACAGAAATATAAAACAATCTCGACATAAATAATTATCTCATGATCTACTGTTTTTCTACATCAGATGATTTGCATTTTTTAGAAATTGGGAGACATAAAAGCAAGTTAGAAATTTGAGTTATGAGTTATAATATTTTCAAAGGGTAAAAAGTCAACAGAATCAAATTCAGAGATAATTCAGATGTTGGAACTAAATGCAAGTAATTTAAAATAATAATGATCAAAATGTTAAAGGATCTAGTTAAAAAAAGACAACATGTATGGAAAAATGAGGAATTTCAGCAAAGATGGGAACAGTAAAAGGCAAAATCTAGAAATAAGTGAAAGCATGAGAACAGAGATGAAGAATTACATCAGCAAGCTGATTAGCAGACTGGTCATCAGAGTTAAAGAAAGAAGCAGTAAATTTTATACTAGGTCAATACAAATCATTTGAATGGTAGCACAAAGGGAGGAAAGAGAAAAACCAAATAAACCAATAAACCAAGCAAATAAAATACTCCAGTGAATCCAAGAATTCTCTGGTAATATGAAATTAACTAAAATACAATTAATTGGAATTACAGAAGGAGAGTAAAAACAGAATGTGAGAGAAGAAAAATTTGAAAAAGATGACTAAGGAGACCAAATAACCTCAAAATATCCAAGAAAGATTAATACAAAATTTAAAGAACGCTAGAATAATCACACTAGTCAAACTGCTGAAAACCAATGATTAGCATAAATCTTGAATTCAGTCACAGAAAAAATAGGAACACTGTGTAGAGAGATAAACAGAAACAAACATTATAATGAACTGCTTGTCAGTAACTCTACAAGTCAGAAACCAATGATACAGAATTCTTAAATAACTGAAGAAAAGTCAACCCCCAATCTTATATCCATTAACTGTAATACAGCAAAAATATCAATTAAATGACATTTGCAGATTAACACTGGAAGAGTCCCTTGCTAACAGGTATGCACTAAAATAAATGTCAAAATCATTTCTTGAGGCAAAAGGAATATGGAAGCAGGTGAAAGTTGAAACTACACAAAGAAATAAATAATGCCAGAGAAGATATAAAGATATATAACCCAATTATTTTACATTGCTCTAAAGATAATTGTCTAATTTTTTAAAAAAAGAGTAACTTTATATTATGGAATTCATAATATTTGAGACTATAATGCATGACATAAATAGTATAAAGGAGAGAGGAAACAGAAATATACATTTTAAGGTTTTTATACCATAGTTGGTATAGTACAAATTATAGGTTACTGTAATAAGCTAGGATAGGTATTGAAATCTCTAGAAAAACCATGAACATTTTTTAAAAATGGTATGTGCATTGTTTTCATAGAACTTCCAGCTTTTGTTTTTATTCATTTACTTTTATTTATTTTTTTTGAGATGGAGTCTCGCCCTGTTGCCCAGGCTGCAGTGCAATGGTGTGATCTCAGCTCACTGCAACCACCTCCGCCTCCCAGGGTTCCAATGATTCTCCTGCCTCAGCCTCCTGAGTAGCTGGGATTACAGGTGCCCACCACCATGCCCAGCTAATTTTTGTATTTTTAGTAGAGACGGGGTTTCACCATGTTGGCCAGGCTTGTCTCAAACTCCTGGCCTCATGATCGGCCCACCTCGGCTTCCCAAAGTGCTGGGATTACAGACTTGAGACACCATACCAGGCCCCAGCTTTTAGTTTTTAAGGTAGTTGTTGTGTTATTACATGTGAAGTAAGGTTATTCTTAAATATCCATGTTTTGAGAATTAATGATAATGACAAATTAATTTATCTCAATCTAAATGACATTTTAATATTAAATATTTAAATATTTTTATTATTTTTCCTTTTTAACAGAAGTCATTCTAACTGGTGTGAGATGGTATTTCACTGATGTTTTGTTTTGCATTTCTCTGATGATTAGTGATGGTATGCATGTGTTAATATGTTTGTTGGCCACATATGTGTTCTTCTGAAAACTGTCTGTTCACGTTCTTTGCCCATTTTTTAATGGGGTTATTTATTTTTTGCTCGTTGATTTGCCTAAGTCTCTTATGGCTTCTGGATAATAGGCCTTTGCTGTATGCATAGTGTGTGAATATTTTCTTCCATTCTGTAGCTGTCTGTTCAATCCCTTGAGAGTTTCTCATGCTGTGTAGAAGAAGCTCTTTAGTTTAATTAAATCATACTTGTCAATTTTCATTTTTCTGGCAATTGCTTTTGAGGACTTACCCATAAATTCATTGCCAAGTGCAATGTCCAGATGAATATTTCCTAGGTTTTCTTCCAGGATTTTTATAGGCAGAGGATGTAATCTCATGTCAATGGGTCTTAATAATCAAATGACTCCACACTGAGAATCATTACTGTGAAAAATCGATTTTGTTATAATGATGGAAATTTAAACATATAAAAGTAAAAACAGATGCCACCTCTTTGCCAGAACTCCACAAGGCAAATTACTATAAGAGAGGCAGAGGAAACATGATATATATATATATATATATATATATATACAATCTCCAAAATATAATTTGCAGTGAAATAAATGAAAGCACATTATAAATAAACTTACCTGATTTTGCAAACTAACCTGTAAAGGGATTTGTACTAATTTTTCCATTGCCTGCATTGCCCTTTCTTCTAGATCCAATTTATATTTTTGTACTTCACCAATGTGTCTTCACCAATGTGTACTTTCCATACGTTTTTTAAGATTTAATATTACTTCTTCCAACATCTTTTTAGCCTCAAGTTTTTTACATTCCTGTTGTATTTTTTCATACATAATAACTCCTGTTGAATACCTTGATTGTTTTGAGTCAAACAGACATATTTTGAAGATACAGCTTCCAGCTCTGCTGTAAGATCATCAAACTACATTAATAAAATAATATAGCTTGAAAATGAAGTAGGCTGAGAATAATCTCATACAAAACCAATAACAAATTTTGAAATACATTTACTTGCAATAAAATGTTATCTATAATGTAGATTCTTTAAATGTTAACCCTTAAATTACTCAGAAATTCAAGAACAAAGTAAAAGCCACCATAAGTCACATATATTCTTTACTATCATCATCTTCGCCACAGAACTTTTGCACTTGATCTTTCTTTTATTTTTCTGATAATTTGTGTCTGTTCCTCCTTAAATGGCTCTACGTTAACTCTTATTAGAAAGTTTCAAACCCTTTTCTCTCATCATCATGCCCCAAAATTTGTCAAAAAAAGTTTCAGAGATATAATATTGAGTTATTTAGGCCAAAGTCAATAAATGGCTCTTAGAATAAGACTTTGAAAATAATGTAATACTCTATGCTAGGCATGGTGGCTCATGCCTGTAATCCCAGCACTATAGGAGGCTGTGGCAGAAAGATTACTTGAGGCCAGGAATTTGAAACCAGCCAGAGCAACATAGTGATAACATAATCTCGACAAAAAAAATTTTTTTTTTAAATTAGCCAGGCATGGTGACTTATGCTTGTAGATCCAACTAGTTGGGAGACTAAGGCACAAGGATGGCTTGGACTCAGAGTTCAGGGCTGCAGTGAATTATGACCAAGCCACTCCACTTCTGCCTGGATGACAGACAGAGACCATATCTCAAAAAAACACAAAATAATCCTATAAATAAGGATTCTAATGCCATAAGCCTTTCCCTAGGCTGTAAATGTTTTATGCTAATTTGAATTGCATTTTTAAAAGTAATGACTCTTCGGGTAGAGGCCATAGAATACAGCACCCAGATATAAATCCACATATTTGCCTTACAAGAAATAAATCCACATTCTTGCCTTACAAGAGCTCCTGAAGGAAGCACTAAACATGGAAAGGGACAAACAGTATGAGCCACTGCAAAAACATACCAAATTGTAATGACCATCGACACTATAAAGAAACTGCATTAACTAATGGGAAAAATAAACAGCTAACAACATCATGACAGGATAAATTTCACATGTAACAATATTAACCTTAAATGTAACTGGGCTAAATGCCCCAGTAAAAAGACACAGACTGGCACGTTGGAAAAAGACTCAAGACCCATTGGTGTGCTGTATTCAGGAGACCCATCTCACATGCAAAGACACACACAGGCTCAAAATAAAGGGACGGAGGAATATTTACCAAGCAAATGAAAAGCAAAAAAAAAAAAAAAAAAAAAAGCAGGGGTTGCAATCCTAGTCTCTGATAAAACAAACTTTAAATGGAAAAGATCAAAAGAGACAAAGAAGGGCATTACAAAGCAGTGCCATCTGCTTTTCCTCAGGACTCTGCTCCATCAGCCATCAGGTGGCAGCCATTCAGGCTGTTGGAACATGGCCATCCATGCTTCTCTGAGTGGCTGAAGTTAAAGGCTGGTCCAGCTGCATCAGGAGCATGCTTGCAGAGGTGGCTGCTTGCTCTTTGAGCCAGCTTGGCCTTGCCTGGCATGCACAGGCCCCAGCTACTGACACGCTGCTCTGAGTGAGCTTGTCCTGCCTGGGGCCAAATTCTAAGTCTGGCCAGGGCCACAGAAAGGCGAGTCCCCTGGGTGGTAATCCTGACTTTTTTCTGCACTTGAACATAAAGTCCTCCTCAAGATGGCCTGTGGTCTGCCTCTTGGCAACCAAGAAGCCTGCAGTGCCATATAAGCTCAGAGGCATGGAATAGAGCCCCAAAGGCAGTGAACACCCTGCTCCTGAGCCTGCTGCTAATTTCCACTGTGTGGCTCCATTTGCACAGCTGTTGTACTGAGGCTTGTGCATGCTGGGCAAGGACAAGCTGGCTCAAAGAGCAACCAGCCACTTCTGCAAGGGTGTGACAGGAGCAGGTAGACCAGCCACCAACCTCACTCGCTACCTGCCAGACACGGCACATCAGTTCTTCTACCCTAGAGGTAGGGCCCCAGTGCCATCTGCTTTTCCTGAGGCCTCTGCTCCATCAGCCATCAGGAGGCAGCCACACAGGCTGTGGGAACCTGCCTATCCTTGCTTCCTTGAGTAGCCGAGGTTGGTGGCTGCTCCACCTGCTCCCGGTGCACCCCTCCAAAGGTGGCTGGTTGCTCTTTGAGCCAGCTTGGCCTTGCCTGGCAAGCAGAGGCCCCAGCTACTGACACGCTCCTCTGAGTGAGCTTGTCCTGCCTTGGCCCAAATTCTAAGTCTGGTCAGGTCCACAGAAGGCAGAGTCCCCTGGGTGGTAATGCTGGCTGCTTTCTGCATTTGAACACAAAGTCCTCCTCAAGATGACCTGTGGTCTGCCTCTTGGCAATGAAGAAGCCCGCAGTGCCATATGAGCCCTGAGGCATGGACTGGAGCCCCAAAGGCAGTGCACACCGTGCTCCTGATCCTGCTGCTCATTTCCTCTCTGTGGCTCCATTTGTAGCACAGTTGTTGCACTGAGGCTTGTGCATGCCGAGCGAAGCCAAGCTGGCTCAAAGAGGAACCAGCCACCTCCGCAAGGGTGTGCCAGGAGCCAGTGGAGCAGACACTAAACTCACTCGCTGCCGGTTGGGGCACATCAGTTCTTCTCCCATAGAGGTTGGGCCCCAGTGCCATCTGCTTTTCCTCAGGCCTCTGCTCCATCAGTCTCCAGGTGGCAGCCAGTCAGACTGTTGGAACCTGGCCATCTGTGCTTCCTTGTGTGGGTCAGTTTGATGGCTGCTACATCTGCTCCAGGCACACCCTTGCGGAGGTGGCTGGTTGCTCTTTGAGACAGCTTGGCCTTGCCTGGCATGCACAGGCTCCAGCTACTGACACGCTGCTCTGAGTGAGCTTGTCGTGCATTAGGCCAAATTCTAAGTCCAGTCAGGGCCACAGAAGGCAGAATCCCCTGGGTGGTAATCCTGGCTGCTTTCTGCACTTGAACATAAAGTCCTCCTCAAGATGGCCTGTGGTCTGCCTCTTTGCAACCAAGAAGCCCACAGAGCCATATTAGCCCCGAGGCATTGACTGGAGCCCCAAACGCAGCACACACCCTGCTCCTGAGCCTGCTGCTCTGTTTTCTCTGTGTGGCTCCATTTGTAGCACAGTTGTTGTACTGAGGCTTGTGCATGCTGGGTAAGGCCAAGCTGGCTCAAAGAGCAACCAGCCACTTCTGCAAGGGTGTGCCAGGAGCAGGTGGACCAGCCACCAACCTCACTCACAGCCGGTCGGTGTACATCACTTCTTGTACCCAAGAGGTAGAGCCCCAGTGCCATCTGCTTTTCCTCAGGCCTCTGCTCCATCAGTCATCAGGACGCAGCCATGCAGGCTGTGGGAACCTGGCCATCCCTACTTCCTTGAGTGGGTGAGGTTGGTGGCTGCTCCACCTGCTCCAGGTGCACCTTTGCAGAGGTGGCTGGTTGCTCTTTGAGCCACCTTGGCCTTGCCTGGCATACACAGGCCCCAGCTACTGACATGCTGCTCTGAGTGAGCTTGTTCTGCTTTGGCCCAAATTTTCTCTCTGTCCAGGGCAGAGTCCCCTGGGTGGTAATCCTGCCTGCTTTCTGCACTTGAACATCAAGTCCTCCTCAGGATGGCCTGTGGTCTGCCTCTTTGCAACGAAGAAGCCTGCAGTGCCACACGAGCCCTGAGGCATGGACTGGAGCCTCAAAGGCAGCGCACACCCTGATCCTGAGCCTGCTGCTCATTTCCTCTCTGTGACTCCATACCTAGCACAGATGTTGCACTGAGGCTTGTGTATGCCAGGCAAGGCCAAGCTGGCTCAAAGAGCAACCAGCCAACTCTGCAAGCGTGTGCCAGGAGCCAGTGGAGCAGCCACCAAACTCACTTGTTGCAGGTCAGAGCACATCAGTTCTTCTACCCTAGAGGTAGGGCCCCAGTGCCATCCGCTTTTCCTCAGGCCTTTGCTCCATCAGCCATCAGGAGGCAGCCACTCAGGCCGTGGGAACTTGGCCATCCCTACTTCCTTGAGTAGCTGAGGTTGGTGGCTGCTCCACATGTCCCAGGTGCACCCTTGCAGAGGTGACTGGTTCCTATTTGAGTCAGCTTGGCCTTGCCTGGCATGCATAGTCTCCACCTACTGACATGCTGCTGTGAGTGAGTTTGTCCTGCCTTGGCCCAAATTCTAAGTCTGGTCAGGGCCACAGAATGCCAAGTCCCCTGGGTGGTAATCCTGCTGCTTTCTGTACTCGAACATAAAGTCCTCCTCAAGACAGCCTGTGGTCTGCCTCTTGGCAACCAAGAAGCCCGCAGTGACATACGAGCCCCGAGCCATGGACTGGAGCACCAACGGCAGTGTACACCCTACTCCTGAGCCTGCCTCTAATGTCCTCTGTGTGGTTCCATTTGTAGAACAGTTGTTGCACTGAGACTTGTGCATGCTGGGCAAGGCCAAGCTGGCTCAAAGAGCAACCAGCAACCTCTGCAAGGGTGTGCCAGGAGGAGGTGGACCAGCCACGAACATCACTCGCTGCCGGACATGGTACCTCAGTTCTTCTACCCTAAAGGTAGGGCCCCAGTGCCATCTGCTTTTCCTCAGTCCTCTGCTCCATCAGCCATCAGGTGGCAGCCACTCAGGCTGTGGGAACCTGGCCATCCCGGCTTCGTTGAGGGGGTGAGATTGGTGGCTGGTCCAACTGCTCTAGGCACACCCTTGCAGAGGCGTCTGGTTGCTCTTTGAGCCAGCTTGGCTTTGCCTGGCATGCACAGGCCCCAGGTACTGACACACTGCTCTGAGTGAGCGTGTCATGCCTGGGACCAAATTCTAAGCCTGGCCCGGGTCACAGAAGCCTGAGTCCCCTAGGTTGTAATCCTGGCTGCTTTCTGCACTTGAACATAAAGTCCTCCACAAGATGGCCTGTGATCTGCCTCTTGGCAACCAAGAAGCCCAAAGTGCCATATGAGCCCTGAGGCATGGACTGGAGCCCCAAAGGCAATGTACACCCTGCTCCTGAGCCTGCTGGTCATTTTCTGTGTGGCTCCATTTGTAACACAGTTGTTGCACTGAGGCTTGTGCATGCCAGGCAAGGCCAAGCTGGCTCAAAGAGCAACCAGCCACCTCTGCAAGGATCCACCTGGAGCAGGTGGACCAGCCACCAACCTCACCCACTTAAGGAAGCAGGGAATGTGTGTTTGTACCATGCATTTCACTACAAGTACATTTCTCCTGAGTTTGGTGGCCTAGGTTTTCTTCTAGGTTTTTTATGGTTTTAGGTCTTAAGTTTAACTCTTCAATCCATCTTAAGTTAATTTTTGTATAAAGTGTAAGGAAGTGGCCCAGTTTCAGTTTTCTGCATATGGCTAGCCAGTTTTCCTAACACCATTTATTGAATAAGGAATCCTTTCCCCATTGCTTGTTTTTGTCAGGTTTGTCAAAGATCAGCTGGTTTTAGATGTGTGGTGTCATTTCTGAGGCCTCTGTTCTGTTCAATTTGTCTATATATCTGGTTTGGTACCAGTACCATGCTGTTTTGGTTACTGTAGCCTTGTAGAATAGTTTGAAGTCAGGTACTGTGATGCCTCCAGCTTTGTTCTTTTTGCTTAGGATTGTCTTGGCTACTCGAGCTCTTTTTTGGCTCCATATGAAATTTAAAGTAGTGTTTCTAATTGTGGGAAGAAAGTCAACGGTAGCTTGATGGAGATAGCACTGATTCTATAAATTACTTTAGGAGATATGGCATTCAGGCACAGAAATGTCCTTGTGTTAGGCAATACCATTCAGGACATAGGCATGGGCGAAGACTTCATCACTAGAACACCAAAAGCGATGGCAACAAAAGCCAAAATTGACAAATGGGATCTAATTAAACTAAAGAGTGTCTGCAAAGCAAAAGAAACTATCATCAGAGTGAACAGGCAACCCTCAGAATGGGAGAAAATTGTTGCAATCTATCCATCTGACAAAGGGCTAATATGCAGAATCTATAAAAACTTAAACAAATTTACAAGAAAAAAACAAACAACCCCATCAAAAAGTGGGCAAAGGATACAAACAGACACTTCCCAAAGGAGACATTTATGCAGCCAACGAACATGTGAAGCAAAGCACTGGTCATTAGAGAAATGGAATTCAAAACCATAATGAGATACAATCTTACGCCACTTGGAATGGCCATCATTAAAAAATCAGGAAACAACAGATGCTGGAGAGGATGTGGAGAAATAGGAATGCTTTTACACTGTTGGTGGGAGTATAAATCAGTTCAACCATCGTGGAAGACAGTGTGATGATTCCTCAAGGATCTACAACTAGAAATACCATTTGACTCAGCAATCCCATTACAGTGTATATACTCAAAAAAATATAAATCATTCCAATATAAAGACACATGCACACGTATGCTTATTGCAGCAGTGTTCACAACAGCAAAGACTTGGAACCAACCCAAATACCCACCAATGATAGACTGGATAAAGAAAATGTGGCATATATACACCATGGAATACTATGCAGTCATAAAAAAGGATGAGTTCATATCCTTTGCAGGGACATGGATGAAGCTGGAAACTGTCATTCTCAGCAAACTAACACAAAAACAGAAAACCAAACACCACATGATCTCACTCATAAGTGGGAGCTGAACAATGAGAACACATGGACACAGGAAGGGAAACATCACACACAAGGGCCTGTCAGGGTTGGGGGCTAGAAAAGGGATGGCATTAGATCATGGGTTGGTGCATGCAGCAAGCCACCACAGCATGTGTATACGTATGTAACAAACCTGCACGTTCTGCACATGTACCCCAGAACTTAAAGTATAATTTAAAAAAAAGAAATTTGCTTTTAATTAATCTTTTCATCATAGAACTTGTAAAGAAAATACTTCTGAATCTTCTACTACCACATCATAGCTGGGACAAACTGCTGATATTTTAAAAGTAACACAAATATCAAACAGAAAGAACTAGACTTAGGAACCAAACTCAGGTTTCTGTAGTGAACAGGGCAGAATCTTAACTTTGGGTCGCCACCACTACTCCTTCAGTTTGGCCTTGGCTAGCAAAAGATGCAACCACTTATGTAAAAAATAAAAATAAAAAAGTTAAAAAAAATCATTTCTGCTAACTGGATTTTTTTTTTTTTTTTTTGCAGCCACATGAGTTTTAGCCAATTCAGAAGCCTTGTTCCCCACAATTTGGAGCATTCTTTGGATCTGACCAAGTCAGGAAGAGATGGGAGAAAAGTGAAACAACATCAACAAAACCCCAAACATAAACAAACAAAAAGAGTTAAGCAAAACAAACAAATGCACAATTCATATGATTACTGAATGTTCTAATGGTAAGGAGAAATTAAAAGCAGCTGGTGAGTAATCTTAAATTTTAGTCATTAAGGAAAAATTTTAAGACAAAACTCTAATTCAGCTACTTACCTGGAAATAAGTCTCAGGCTAGTGATTGTTCTCTGCCATCTTAGAAGCTGGAAAAAACTTACACTCACCTTCCCTGTCAGAAGCAAGCTGAAACTCAAGAAAGGAGGTGCCTGCTCTCCATCATCATGGAAGCAGGAAAACTTGCCTTGTTGGAAATAAGTAAAACTTCAGAAAAGGAGTTGTATGGCAATCAATCTTAGATATCAACCAAATTTTGGGAGATCAGGGATTCTCTGCAGGGGAGAAGCTCCCTAACCTCAGCACATTATCCTATTGGTTTGGGCAATAAAGATAGCCCAGGTTGGTATCAAGCAATAATGAGATTTATCAAAGGTCAGGACCACCTTTGTAATCTCCTTCTCTGTGTTTTTTTTTTTTTTTTTTTTTTTTTTGAGACGGAGTCTCACTGTCTCTCCCGGGCTGCAGTGCAGTGGCACGACCTTGGCTCACTGCAAGCTCCACCTCCCAGGTTCACACCATTCTCCTGCCTCAGCCTCCCAAGTAGCTGGGACTACAGGCACCCGCCACCATGCCCAGCTAATTTTTTGTATTTTTTGTAGAGACGGGGTTTCACCGTGTTAGCCAGGATGGTCTTGATCTCCTGACCTTGTGATCCATCCATCTCAGCCTCCGAAAGTGCTGGGATTACAGGCGTGAACCACCGCGCCCAGCCCTCTGTCTTTTTTTTTTTTTAAATCTTTATTGGTATAGTCTGTTTTGTCAGAAACTAGGAGTGCAACACCTGCTTTTTTCTGTTTTCCATTTCCTTGAAATATTTTTCTCCATTCCTTTATTTTGAGCCTATGTATGGCACTGCATGTGAGATGGGTTTCTTGAAGACGGCATACTCCAATGGGTCTTGGTTCTTTATCCAGCTTGCCCCCTGTGTCTTTCAATTGGAGCATTTAGCCCATTTCCATTTAAGGTTAGTAATGGTATGTGTGGATTTGATCCTGTCATCATGCTGTCAGCTGGCTCTTTTGCAGACTTATGTATGTGGTTGGTTTTTAGCATCACTTGTCTGTGTACTTCAGTGTGTTTTTGTAGTGGCTGGTGGTGGTCTTTTCTTTCCATATTTAGTGCTTCCTTCAGGAGCTCTTGTAAGGTAGGTCTGGTGATAACGAATTCCCTCAGCATTTGCTTGTCTGAAAACGATCTTGTTTCTCCTTCACTTATGATGCTTAATTTTGCTGGACATGAAATTCTGGGTTGAAATTTCTTTTCTTTGAAATGTTGAATGTCTTTTCTGGCTTGTACAGTTTCAGTTGAGAGGTCTGCTAAGTCTGATGGAATTCCCTTTGCAGGTGATGTTGCCTTTCTCCCTAGCTGCCTTTAACATTTTTTCTTTTATTTTGACCTCAGAGAATCTGATGATTATGTGTCTTGGGGATGATCTTCTCATGGCATATCTTACTGAGGTTCTCTGGATTTCCTGAAGTTGAATGTTGGCCTGTCTGGCTAGGTTGGGGACATTCTCATGAATGATATTCTGAAATGTGTTTTCCAAGTTGGTTCCATTCTCCTCATCTCTTTCAGGTACATTAATCAGTCATAGATTTGGTCGTTTATATAATCCCATATTTCTCGGATGTTTTGTTCATTCCCTTTCATTCTTTTTTCCCCCATTCTTGTTTGCCTGTTTTATTTCAGAAAGCCAGTTTTCAAGCTCTGGGATTCTTTCCTCTTCTTGGTCTATTCTGTTAGATGGTCTTGCACATGAGATGGAGCTGGTCTGACCTCAGCCCTCCCTAGTCTGCTTGCCTCTCCCAGGACCCCAGCCTGGCCACACCTGCTTACAGGGCACTCTCAGGTGCCCACACATACTACAATAATATTCATAATGCAATCACACACAATCACCATGTGACTACATTATGAAAATTCTTCTAGTGTGATTTACAGCTCTGTCAGGTCAGTTATTTTCTTCTTTATACTCACTATTTTGTCTGTTAGTTCCTGCAATGTTTTACAATGATTTTTAGCTTCCTTGTATTGGATTACAACATACTTCTTTCACTCAATGAACTTTGTTCCTACCCATATCCTGAACTCTGCTTGTATCATTTCAGACATCTCAGCCTCAGCCCAGTTCTGAACACTTGCTGGAGAGTTGATGCAGTCATTTGGAGAAAAGAAGGTATGCTGAATTTTTGAGTTTTCAGTGTTCTTGCACAGAGTCTTTTTCTCATCTTTATGGGCTTATCCATCTTCAATCTTTGAGGTTGCTGACCTTTGGACAGGGTATTTTTCCTTTATTATATCTGATGACCTTGAGGATTTGATTGTGGTGTAAGGTGGATTCAGCCAACAGGTTTTGTTTTTGGAGGATTTTAAGGGGCCAACATGCAGCTCCCAATTCTTGGACTGTGTGCTTTAACTCTGGGGAACTTGTATTGGGCCACAACTTTGTCCTCTGGCTCCTCGAGGTTTGGAGTCCACTGCACTGAGGGGACCAAAGTGCAGCAGCTGTGGCAGAATGCTAGCAGATGCAAAAGTCCCTGCCTCCCTGTGGGCATTCACCCAGTGGTGGAGGCAAAACAGCTGGGGTGTGGGCCACGGGCCCCTGCTGACTGTGTGTGCTGTTGCACTGGAGGTAGTGCTGGTTTGGGGTGGGTGGCTGGCCAGTGAAGGTGCCTTCTCTGATCCCCCCCAAGCAACAGTGGTCACTCAGGGTATAAGAAGGTCCCTTTTCCTCTGCACAGCATTACCTCAAGGGTGAGATGCTAGCAGGGGTGGGGTTTTTGGTTCTGTGCCCACCATGGCTTCATCTTCAGTGGCAGTTGGTGTGGGTTGGGGTGTGTGCTGCATTCCCATATGCTGTTAGGGCAAGTACAACAAAACCCACCTGTGTAAACACACACAGCAAAGTGATGTAGGAAGTTTCCATATAAAGGGCTGCAGTATGGAATGGTAATGTGCAGGCTAGTGCGTGGCTGTAGAGGTCACCTTGCTGCAGCTCTCCACTGATCAGGCACGGTCCGCTTGTACAGAAGCTATGGTGTGGGCACCCGAAAGTGCCCTCTAAGCAGGTGTGGCCTGGCTGGGGTCCTGGGAGAGGCAAGCAGACTAAGGGGTGCTGAGGTCAGACCAGCCCCATCTCATGTGCAAGACTGCCCAGCACAGATCAGGTCTCAGAGGAGAACTCTCTCAAAAGTGAATCCTCAGCACAGCACAACTGCTCTACACAAACGTGGCCAGACTTCTTTTTTAAGCAAGTCCCCTTTTTTACGAAGAGAACTCTTAGACCTGATCTGTGCTGGGCAATCTTGCACGTGAGATGGGGCTGGTCTGACCTCAGCACTCCTAAAGTGCTGGGATAAAGTGTCTCATAAGAGCAAGTGGAGCCTAGAGACATAGCTGTCCCTGCCCTCCAGGCTCCACATCAGCTGACTTGCTGCTCCACTACTTTCCTTGTCTCCTGGGGGCTCCACCCCAGAGAGGTGTAAGTTAGCAGTTACTTAATGTAATCACCCCAGGATGGAGGGTCTGTGTTGTGGGCCCAAGCCACGGTTCCTTGTCTGGTGATGAGCAGTAAGGGGTGTGTTGTACCTGTGGAAGATGGACTGACTTGTTCCTTGTGTCAACTGCAGCTTGTTGGAGGTGTCAATATGGCACTTAGGGTCTTTGCTCCCTTGATATTCTGAGGGTAGCAAGGGCAGTTCCACTGCAGAGGCAGTGGCAGAGAGGATTTCTGTTGCTCCTGGAAGCTCTGTCCAGGGAGTTGCTGAGTTGCTACTGGCTTGAAAGCTCAAGTGGGGGGCTGGCTGGAGACCCAGGCCAGGAAGACCTGCCCATCGAGGAGATATGGAAATGGGCACCCACATAACAGTCTGGCCACTTTTCTGTGGGGCTGCCGTGGTATGCTGGGGGTCCACTCCAGTCGCCAATTGCCTCGTATTTTCCAGTGGCTGAAGGTATCAGCAGTGAAGCCTGAGAAAAAGCAAAGACGATAGCCTGCCCTTCCCTCTGGGAGCTCTGTACCTCTGAGGTATGAACCTGTTGCCAATCTCAACACACCTGTAGGATGTGACTGGAAGCAAGTTGAGAAGTCTTGCCTAGTAAGGAGGAACAGGAATAGGGACTTGTTTAAA